>NC_000003.12:40010000-40313030 GCF_000001405.40 Homo sapiens | reverse complement strand
GTGGTTATTTCTTACACCACTATCACCCCTGGTCATTGTCATCTGTGGCTCTGGTTCACTTTGGTGAAACACATACCAAAATCATGATGTAGTAAAAGAAATTTCCTGGCTGGAATCTCTGGGCTGACACCCTGTCACTTTCTAGCACTCTTGGGAAATTAACCTGAGGCCCAGTGTTTTCCATCTGTAAGGCAGTGATACCATCAACCTACACTTGCAGGGAAGTGCCTGTGACTAAATATGCTTTATGTCACAAGACTATTACAGTATCTGGTACTTAGGGATAGACTTATGTTGGCAACTCAGTAACAACTGATAAGAACACAGAAAAGAACTCTATGTTCTAATACTGTTAAACTTCATACTCTTTAACAACATTTAATACTACAATCTGATAAATTCTTTGACAACTTTTACTTGCTTTGCCATGACTAGTGGCTCTGGCTGAATTTCTACTCCTGCTTCTATTCTTAAATCAGTACATGAAAAACACAAGCTACAAATAACAAAGGTTCTCTAGCACTGGATATAAGGTTCTCCTCTAAGCGCTGGGTGTAACAGCTGAAGCTAATCAGAAGGAATATATGCAGAATGAGAGAACTCCAATTAAGAAAGACAAAATGTGTATTTTACTTGCTTAGATTTGGGAGCATAATTGCTCACAAAGATTCATAGATTTTTTTTTATTGTTAAGCTGCAACGTACATGGTTTAATACAACAACAAAAAAATTTAATCAAGTGAAACGTAATAAACTGAACAATAAACACTCAAAACATTTTCCATTGGAAACATGTAAAGACAATATGAGGTTTTGTTACCATCTTACTGCAATTTTCTTATGTGTTACTAGTCTACATACCCCATGTTTTCTGTAATCATGCAGATGTGAATGGAAGTTTGAATGATTAAATAAATGAAAAGTCCGTTTACTGCAGGGAATCATTTCACAAGGCAGCCAAACCGGGTTTAGAGAACAAAACTATTCAAGAAATTCTCCACGTATTTAGGTTCATTTTAGAATCCATGAACCTTAAGCTGTTCCTCCTTTACAATGCCAACCTGTAAAATAAAATCTAATTTAGCAAAATAACTCTGAGAAATATAAAAATTCATTAAGAAAACATGGAAGAGTAATTAAAAAGAATCACTATCAACAGCTTACTGCAACACTGTTGTCTGTGGCATGCACTGCTGATAGCCAACAATTCAACACGTATTTGAATACTTTACATGCCAAGAAATAGCCTGTGTGTGTATATAAAGAAATGATCAGAATACTCTAATGACAAAATAAACCAGATAAAGGTCTTTGCTTTCCAAATAACTACCATGTCTTTATTTCACCTAATTTCCTTCATTCGTATGATTTTTTACTTAGTAGAAAACAAATCATGTTGCCTTTAAATACAATTTTAAAAGCAATCTCAAGGTTACACATAAAGCACCCAATCACTCACCTCCAAGAGAAACTGGCAGATGTTTTTTCTTTGGTCACCTTGAAGCTGAATAACCTCTCCGTATTCAGGATGTTCAATCACAGTACCATTACAGGCAAATTTCTGGAAAAGTGCATAAATATACAACAAAATTTAGTCAACTACTATGAGGTTTTATTTCACCGTATGAACAGAATTAGCCATTTCAGTAAGCTAGATCATATTTAGAGAAACAGATTTTGTCTCCTATAATCCACAATCCTTCCAAATTAATTTGTAAACCAGGAAATGATTTTATGTGTAACATCAAGAACTAAATATTTCACATTTAAATTTATTTAAAAGCAACGCGAATCTTCTTTTAAAATGAGAGACCACACTGGGAGAATAACTAAATATTTACATGTTAATTACAAAAATGAGAACAACTTTCTTGGTCTAGTTATTTTCATCCACGCCGATATAAAGGTGTGAATCATAATCCAGTTCAGAGGTGTGCATCAGTAACTCTAATCCTTTCTTCCTAATCCCTTTACCTTTTTGAAAGCTTTCACAAGTTTCTTTTTGTCATAATCATCTGCAATGCCCTGAACAGTAGTCAGTGTCTTTCTGCCGTTCCGTTGCTGGATTCTTATATGAATGTAATCCTCAGTCCCTGCCGGGAGTAAGTCGTCACCCTTAGTTGCATCAGCAAAGGGGTCTGCGAATGGATAAAAAAAAAAAAAAAATCCAAAGTAGAAAAATATTTTTTAAGAAGTACTTTCCAGAAATACATTATACTACCAATCCAGACAGTCATCAATGAAGGTTCTAGTGCCTTTGCTGTTTTTGCCGGTAGGAATGGAGATGGGGGTGGAGTATTAATAAAACCCCCAAGATACTCTCACAAAAAGAGAAACATTTGAACAGCTATGTCCATTGTAGAAAAACGCTGTTATAGATAAATAATGTTATCGTTCAATATGGTCCTCTAATGAGAAAAAGATTTAGAAAACCTTAATATTGTAGCCGCTATAAAAATGTGCGTCATCTCGATTACATTCTGATGAAAACATAAACATTCGAATACGCCCACCTTAATCATTTAACCGTAACTGTGCCTTGCCAAAAAAAAAGTAGATTACATATATATCAAGAGGCGTAATTTAACAAATTGCTACGCAAGCAGAGAAGACTGAACCACTGGCCAGTGACAGATCAGAGGCTTGCATCCGCATCTTTCCCTAAGTGCCCCCAGGAGCTGCCAGAGAACGGGCGCCGATCCCTGGTTTCCCTGGCCCGGCATACCCTTTGCAAGTAGCAGGGCCGATCTAGGAGTCCACGAAATAGGATCGCCAAGGTTTCAAGGGGCAGAAGCGGAGGCGAGAGCCGGGTCAAGGACGGGGCAGGGGGTGGCGCAGGGCCCGCGGCCGGGGCTCCGAGAGGAGGGCTCGGAGTCCGGCGCTGTCCTCGGGGAAGGGGTCGCCAGGGGCCCCGTCGCCATTTTCTGGGCGCCGAGACAAAGCCCCACTAGGGGTGCGGGAAGGGCAGAAAGGGGGCCCCTAGGGGCGGTGGCCAGGCGGGCAAAAGGCCGAGATGCGCGCCGGGCAAGGGAGGGAGGCGGCGGCGACGGGATCTTACCGAAAGATTGGAGGTTCTGGATAGTGGACATGCGATACTAGTGTGAGGCCGGTGAGGGGATAAAATTCCTGCGGGGCCCGCCCGGATCACCTTGTCAGGAGGCTGTAGTGGCGAGAAAACGGAAATAAATAAGAAAACGCTTCGCCCTGGGGTTGGGATTAGGCTGGAGTGGCGGCGGCGGAAGCCGGGAGGAGGCAGGAAGAGGCGAAGGAGGAGGCGGAGGAAGAGGCGAGGGCGCGAGAGAAGAGGCGGCGCTGCGGCTTCTCGCACAAAATGGCCGATGGAGACTATTTAGCCGCGCCCGCGGCCCCTCCCACGTGACCGTCCCGCGCCGAGCATCCTGGGACTTGTAGTTTTCTGGAGGCAGCAGAGCCCGGAAAGCCTGAGGCCGGGGGCGGCCGAGACCGCAATTCCCGTCACGGAGTGCGTCCTCTAGCGCGGGGCGGAAGACCCGCGAAGTGTTCAAGCGGCCGCAGAGCGGCCCAGAGTTCGCAGGTCTGGGGCTCTCTTCCCAGAGAGCTCGTAGGGGAGGACAGTCAAGGGACTCAAGCGTCTCTCTTGACTCCCCTTCTCTCGCTGTGCAGTGGCGGCGCCGAGGGGTCGACGCTCAGGGCTAATCTCTATGAGTCACCCTCGAGGCCCCGGGTAATGTAAGTAAAATCGGGGTGCAGGAACAAAACAAGTCCCCTTGCTCCGGCTTTCAACTCATTGGCCCCCGCTCAGCAACTACCTGCATTGAAATTCCAACCCCAGTTGCAGGAGCGGTGTTAGTCTCAACCAATACTGGAGATGGGAGCCTCTCTTTCCAGGATTGGACGGACCTCCGATTCCCTAGCACGGTGGATCTCAGACTAAAGCGTGTGTCTCTGGAGGGCTTGAGAAAACACTGATAGACCCCAGAGTTTCTGTTTCAGGAAGTCTAGGGTGTGACCTGAAAATCTGCAATTCTCATAAGCTCCTTGGTGATGCTGATCCTGCCTGCTGGTCTGGGATCAGGCTTGAGAATCACTGCCCAGCTTAATCCTGGGCCTGGCATCGAGTGGGGGCCAGGTGTGTATGAACAGAAGATACCAGAAAATCAGCTTGTCAGCTCATTTTGTGTGCCTCAGAAGGCCCAACAGAGAATTCAGGAAAGATGCCAGGTATAAGCTGAAGGTGAGCTCAGCAAATAGGTTAATTGATGGAGTCATGTACCAGACCGTAATATCTTCCTATCAGGTCACGCACAGAAAAATAAACCCGAGACTTTGGGAATTGGCTCACTCAGGCAGGTGTGTTCAATTGTCAAACTTGGTTGGCTTTCTGGAAGCAAAGAGATAGACTAAAATTTAGGGATTCTTAACTTTTTTGTGTGTGCCATGGCAATCCTGTGAAGCTGCTGAATCCCTTCTCAGAATAATGAGAAGTTAAGTTTTAAGTTCACAAAGTACATAGGATTACAAAGGAAACCAATTATATTGAAATTTAAAAAATACATTAATAACGTGTATTTCTTTATTAATACACTAATAAGATCTAGCAAGATTAGGTCTAATACTATAATTTCAAAAAGCTGATAAATGTAAGAGATATTTTGTGATGTCCGTAACATCAGAAATTTAATATGAAAGTATGTGTAACTTCTGTTGGTGCGAAGTGACAGGTCCTTCTATCACTATGATGTTGCCTTTATTCATAATGGAAAGAAATGGTAAATTTTGCTTAGAGGTTAATGAAAATGCAGATATAATCTTTCCCCATCCAATTTTAGGGATCTCCACCCCTGCAGTTTTATCCATGAGCCAAGGATCTGCAGACCGCAGGTTAAGAATACCTGGATTTGACAATCTTTTGTAATTAACAATGATGATAAGTGCCATTTATTTAGTACTTACTGTTTGCCTGTTACAAAGCTTATATATAACATTATTAATCTTCATAGCTATTTTATAAGGTAAGCATTACTCTATGCACCAGGTGTGGAAATGAAGGCTTTTGTAGGTTAATGCCTGAAAAAAAAATCAAATTCTTAACTCTCAGAAATCTAACCACATTTGTGGTCTTCCAGCTCTGGTTCAAATGGAAAACACTCTTCGTATCCCAAATTGAGGTGTAAAGTTTAGAGCTGGCTCCAAAACAAGGAGCATCAAAATATCTAAATAAGTGTGCTTTAAAGTAATTTTATTAGTTCAATTTTGTGCCCTATGTTAATACTCTAACACTCTAATTTCTAAATAATTTGTAATCTAGATAATGCATCTCTATTTGTTTCCTTTCTTTCTTAGTAGATGTACATGAGTATTTTATATTACTTTATTTCTCAGAAGAAGCCAAAGGTGATCCAGTGAAGAAAAAACTACAAACACAGAGAAATTAAAAGAAAAATTCCAGAAATCTTAGGGTTTCATGGTCATTACCCCTGTCAGGAGAACTCACTTTTCTTAGATTTAGTGTTTGCATCAGAAACCTTCAGGAGTGAGAAAAAAAAAAAAAAAGAAAGAAAAAAGAAACCCCCAGGAGCTCAGAAATCTTTAATCAAAGCCAATATGAATACAGATTAGATACAGTTGTGGTTCTTAAGGCTCTTCTAACTCTCATGATTCATAGTCTTTGTGTTTAGACCTGCAGTGTCCAGTACAGAAACCACTAGCCACATGTGGCCATTGAGTACTTGCAGTATAGCTGATTTAAATTGGGATGTGATGTAAGTAGAAGATATACAGTAGGCTTCCAAAGACTAAATTGTCTTAATTTCACCTATTTCGTTTTACCTTTTTAATGTAGCTACTAAAGACTTAAAATTACATGTGGCTCATGCTCTATTTCTACTAGATAGCACTAGTTTAGAGTGAAAGAATTTGGCCTGTGTGTAAAGTTATCATAAAAAGAATAAACTGAAGCATTTAAAATCTAGCATTTTTAGTTCTAAATGGTACCAGCCTAGGTTAAGGTAATTATTTCTTGTCTTAATTCAGAAAAGCATTTTAGATCACTCACAGAGAACAGTTGTGCTGAGTAAAGGAATTATAGAAGATAATAATTAAAAAGCACCTAAAGCTGAAGGTAGAACCCCAAGTCTGGTTCTAACTTTCTGATAGTTAAGACAAAGAAGAAGTCAGCTAGAAAATCTTGTCTACAGGATGAAAACATACCAGTTGCGCAGGAGGAATAGCTTTGCCAGGCCCTGAGCCACAGGAGGTATTATTCTTGGGCCCTCATAAAGGGAGCACTGTGATGTAGTGGAAGCATCCCTAGCAGTTTGCCCACAATGAAGGCAATGGTGGGTTTTTTGCAGCTGTTTCTTATATCTGCTGGTCATGAGGATGTATTATCTGGTTGGAAACTTGGGTCCTCATCCATCCTTAGGCTGCCTACCGTGGTGGATGTGATAATGCACCATTCAGATTTCCTGCGTTAGTGGGCATAACTGATGAATAGCCCCAGCTGCTATGCTCTGAATTCAGCATTGCATCCCGTTGAGGCCACACTTCCCATCAGCCATTCCTAGCCAGTGACTGAGCACAACAAAGATGCTACAGCAGGCCTGTTCTTGGGAGATGTGGAACTTCTCTGACAGGCAGCTCTGGCTCAAGGACTCTCCATTGGCCTGGCTGAACTTCCTTAGATTTGTGCTGAAGTCTAAGATTCTTCTAATTCAACCTTTCTTCCTTCTGTCCTTCACAGGCATTTCCCCCAATAAATTTCTTGCACATCGAATCCCATCTTGATGTCTGCTCCTCAAAGAACCCAAACTGATAAACCTGACTCCAGACTGGTTGGTAGACGATAAGTAGAAGGAAAATTCCAGTTTAAATAATTCTGGTTATTACTACAAAGCTTTTCCTCCAAACTGTAAAATCTCCTGAACTGTGCTGGATTTCATGAGGCTAAGAGAACTTCCACATAGCCTGCATGAAGGCTTAAGGCCATCTATGTAAAAGCAGGCCAGGCAGCCTTTTCTTCTCCTGAGTGTGTACCCTAAAACAAGCCCTTTGTATCTTGCATATCTAATCGTAAGAAAATGTGAACATAGGCCGGGCGCGGTGGCTCACGCCTGTAATCCCAGCACTTTGGGAGGCTGAGGTGGGCGGATCACGAGGTCAGGAGATCGAGACCATCCCGGCTAAAACGGTGAAACCCCGTCTCTACTAAAAATACAAAAAATTAGCCGGGCGTAGTGGCGGGCGCCTGTAGTCCCAGCTACTTGGGAGGCTGAGGCAGGAGAATGGCGTGAACCCGGGAGGCGGAGCTTGCAGTGAGCCGAGATCCCGCCACTGCACTCCAGCCTGGGCGACAGAGCGAGACTCCGTCTCAAAAAAAAAAAAAAAAAAAAAAGAAAATGTGAACATATTGAAGGGCAAAAAGAATGTTTGCCTAGTACTTTGAGCAGATATCCAAATCTCGCTACGGACAGCTTCTGCCCTCCCACAATTGGGAAGACCCCAGGGTCTCTTTACTGAATTAGTGAAATGGGAAATCACTATTCCCAAGTGATGAGTCAAGGTGACTGGTATTTCCAGGAGACAAGGTACAAAGAGAAACCCCAAAGAATGAATGTCCTTTGAGGATCATAACTAGTATTTCTCACATCTCAACTTTAAATGAGAGTTAAGTAGCTGAGAGTTTAAAATTACGTTTCCTGGCCACAACTGTGTTGTCAAGTGGTTAATAATGTGCATGGTATGAATAAAACAATTTAGTTGCTATCTCTGTGTCTAAAATACATGATTATTGAGTCAATGTTTCTGTAGAATGGATCAGAAGATCCACAGAAGAGAAAGTCATAACCTAGGGCTGTTTCCTAATATCATATGCTTTGTACTCTCCCACTTTCCTGGGAAAAGAGTAAGGAAGGTGGGTGAATGGGATCTGTATTTGTAGGCTCTTAGTTAAAAACGTTAATAGTGATGATGATTAACATGCTGACAATTAGCACATTATACGTGGAGTATCCACGGAGTATAATATTGAACAGAAACAAAAATTATGCACATGTTAAAGAGTCAATAGTTTTTCTTATTTTCAGAGAGCTTTTGAATCTAAAAGAAGAGTTAAACCAAGCTAACATGTAATTTATAAAACATATCAGAATAAGAAAATTTCAACGCCTGCGAGGTTGAAGACTAAATGGAGCTAACTCAATAAGTACGAGGAAATTTCCCTGACATAGTAACTCCCCACTGGTGATCTTAATTAGGAGGGAATGTGGATACATGGCCATGCCACATAACTTCTAGTCTCAAGGAAGGGACAGTATTGCATTCAAGTTTCTTCCCTTTCATTCTACCCTCCTGCTGTCAAGAACTGTGAAGGGTCTGAGATTTTTATCCTACTTGCAGGCTAACAGGTTAGCTTGCCACAGTTTCATGGGTACTGAAACTGAGACTCTTGCGTTAGAGATAGGCCTTTATTACTCATGGCAAAAGCAGTAGCCAGAGCTTAGTGTTAATGCTGGTTTCCTATGCCCACAAATCTAAGACCCATGGATTGGACCCAAGTCCAACACAGGTGGGTCTTGATTGATGCCTACACATGCAGTGGGTTGTATTACAGGAGAGGAACACTGTGCTTGTGGAGTCTGTTGCTTTTATTGTAAGCAGTAACAAGCTTGTCTTGGGGGGCGATATTTCCTCATCCCTCAGGGCTGCTCCCTGCAAATACAACTCTGAGAAAAGGCCAAGGTAAAATGTGGTCAGGGCCTTGCATTCTTGGCAAACCAATAAGAACATGGAGGCACCCTCAGGGCCCATGGTGAATTACCTCTCCCCAAAACTGCTTACTCTCCTTTCATGATGGAGTGTTGCTAATCAGAGGGGTAAGCTCTTGGGACATTCGATTGGACATATTTACTAGAGGACAAGGCTGTTGTATGTTGACAGGTCATGTACATAAATGCATCTCACTTTTTATCCCCTTTTCTCAAATACCTGGAAGTTCAATGGGGCAGACCTAACCACCTTCTTTTCTCCCTTTTATCTCCTGTGTCTTGGAGCTTTCTCATCTCTTCAGTTTCCCACCTCCCATAGAGCCAGCTGGTTCTATGAGTTAAGTTGGGGTTAGGGGACGGATTTGGCTTCAGAGGCCTCCAATCTTTGGCTTTATGTTCCAGCCCAGGTTTCCTAACAGCTCTGCATTGGGGTTTCAGTCATAAGCTTGACCTACAATCGTGGTATTTTTCTTTCCTTCACCACTGACACTTGAGAATTTATCTTCCTTGTGGACTTCTGGGGCAGTAGTGGCTTATGGTGCAATGTATGATTTGAATACACTTGGATCCAATGGCTTATTTATGCTTTGTATAGAATGTAAGGGTCTAGGCTTAAAAGTGAGATCTGGCATCATATTCTTGTCTAGCCATTAGTAGCTGTGAAAACTTTACCTCTCTAAGCCTCAGTCTTCTGTGAAAAGGACATCATAATTTATACCTTATAGGATTTTGTAATGAGTGCATCAGAAAATGTATCACAAGCACTTACTAAAGTGTATGGCACAGAAGATGAAGTTTATTGTTCAAAACCTTTTCCAGGAGTTGTACAATGAGAATGCTTGGAAGTGACTGATTCTGATGTGAGGTTGGGGCAGTTGCTAGAACATTATACATTTTTCTACAGAATATATATGGTGTTTCTCTTTTCATTTCCTGTGATCCTGTACTCTTGTGAAATCTCATTACAGCCCTAGTCACTTTGGTTCATTACAATAAAATTTTTCTTGGAATGGTGTCAGTCAATTTATGCAACTTGATTACACTGGAATAGTCCAGGAAAGGTGGATACAGAATAAACAACAGAAATAAAACCCCTTTGCTGCCACAAGATTTATATATATTACCCCCTTAGGAAAGGACAAGTATGTGCATGGTGGGGTGCTTGAAGCAAAAAGGCCCACCCATTGCCACTCTCTCCCTACATCCATGCTTACATATCCATCTGCTCCAGGGTAGATGCAGGATAGCGTATTTCCCCCCACAAAGGTTAAATTATGTCTGTTTTTCAGTGAGACATAACCTTGACATTGCCAGATCCATTTCTGGCAACTTATGCAACTCCCATCTAAAAATAGACATTCTTAGAATCACATCTGTTTAAATGGGAGTAATTTCAATCTTATTGAAATAAGTTTAGAAAATGTGTTTGAGTATTATTAATTGTAGAGCTTCATTGTGAATGAAATTGGGGACTTTTGGTTAGATGTTGATTGTAATCTCAGTTGACCTGGAGGTGGAACCTTCAGTCCTTTCTTGTGACCATAGAATGAACTTTAATGGTAGTATATAACAATATATCTTACCTACAGGCACATATTTCTTTAACATTAAAATAGTGGCTGCATCTTATGTCATTTACTCCATAATGCATTGCCAGCGTAGAACTGAAACATTAAAAAGAAGGTCACTTTAAAAAGAGGTCTTACCCCGCAGTTTTTCTGCTCAGTGTAAAAGCTGATTAAGCTTCTTGGGAGAGTACAGGAGGAGGTAAATTCCTCAAGGAGAGGGGGTAGATTGTTTTCATCATTGTAACTAGGGCCCAAAAATGCCTGTTCATAGGATGTGTTTAGTACATATATTTTGTACCACTTTACATACAGTATTAGAACTTGACAAACATGTACATCTACTTCTTTCCTCTCAGCCTTTTGTGTTGTTATACATTTTACTTTTGTACTACATCATTTTTATTTTGTTTAAAATGGTTAATTATCTTTTTAAGAGGTTTAATAGGAAAAAATTTACCCAAAAAGTTACCATTTCTAGTGCTTTTCATTTTTTGTGTAGATCCATATTTTTTATCTGGTGTTATTTTCTTTCTGCTGGCAGAACTTCCTTTGTTATTTTTTGTAGTGTGGGTCTGAAGGTGATGAATTCTTAAAGTTTTTGCATGTCTGAAATATTTTTATTTAACCTTCATTTTTGAAAGACTGGTTTTGTTGGGTATAGGATTCTATGTTGACAATTGTTGTTGTTGTTTTCTAATAGAGACGGGGCTTGCTAGGTTGGTTGCCCAGGCTGCTCTCAAACTCCAGGCTCAAGTGATCCTTCCCTGTTGGACTCCCAAAGTGTTAGGATTACAGGCTTGCACTATTCATGCCTGGCCTATTTTTTTTTTCCTCTCAGAACTTTAAAGTTGTGGCTCCACTGTCTTCTTATTTACATTGTCTGTAAACAATGAGAAATCTGCTGTCATTGTATCTTTGGTCCCTTGTATGTAAAATTTTTTTTTTCTCTGACTGCTTTTAAGATTTTTGCCTTTATCACTAGTTTTGAACAATTTGAGCAATTTGATTATTATGTGCCTTGGTGTAGAGATTTTATGTTTCCTGTGTTTAAGGGTCATTAAGCTTCTAGGATCTCAGTTATAATTTTCATCAAATTTTAAAAATTTTTCTCCATTATTCCTTAGAATTTTTCTGTCCCACTCTTCTCTCCTCTACTTTGGAAACTCCAGTTGCACATATTTAAGGCTAATTAAAGTTGTTCATAGTTCACTGATACTCTTATTTTTTTTCTTTTTTCTCTCTCTATATGATGGCTTTATAATATAAAAACTTGGCTAGGCTGAACTACATTTCACAGACTTTCCTTTCTTGTGTATTTACAGATTGGGTGGATCACAAGAACTAATCTTTCATGATTTGGAAACCGGAAGGAAAGAAGCACTTTTGTAGCTGACTTACCTCAATGACATGACCAGTGTCTGAGCCTACAACTGCGCTATCTTCCCTGGATTTTTCTTCACCTTTTCCTTACTCATGAGCCAGGTATGTGTTTTTAGTTCCATAAAAAAGAGCCCTGGCCAGGCGTGGTGGCTCACACCTGTAATCTCAGCACTTTGGGAGGCTGTGGCAGGCAGACCACTTGAGCTCAGGAGTTTGATACCAGGATGGGCAACATGGTGAAACCCCGATCTATAAAAAATACAAAAAATTATCCAGGCATGGTGGCATGAGCCACTATTCCCAGCTACTCAGGAGGCTGAGGTGGGAGGATGTCTTGAGTCTGGGAGGTGGAGGTTGCACTGAGCCGAGATAAGTGCCACTGTGCTCTAGCCTGGTTGACAGAACCAGAGCCTGTCTCAAAAAAACAAAAAAAAGAAAAAAGAAAAAAAAAATTACCATTCCACTAAGGTCAGAGGCAACAAAAAAAGACATGGATTTCAGTCTATCCTCATGGAGTACTAGCTCACGATTACAGGGTTTCAGCTTGCTTGTGATAGTCTTTTCCTGACATTCCCTTACTGACTGCTTTCCCTATGGACTCTATATCAGATGCAGAGACACAGCCTTACAGAAGCTGCTTAACCAACTCTAATAACCACATAAGCCAATTCCCTGTAACAAGTTTCTTTATATATGTATGTATGTGTTCGACTAGAGAAGCAGGACCAGTGTGAGGTATACAGAGGTACTATTCCCAGACTGTGTGCATATTGCATACTGATTCCCCTTCGTCTTTTAGGTGTTTATTTCCTAGGCTTCACAGTTTCCTTACAATTCCTTACATTAGTATTCTGCTGAATACATGGGGAGGACTAAAGAACTTTCCAGCGTTCCCTCTCTGTGAAGCCCTCTCCTCTCTAATATTCTGCTTGCAAACTCTAGCTGCCCTAATATTTTTGCACTCCACTTTTTCTACTTATGGAGTCTGCTGGGGGTCTGCCTGTGTTCCCTCTCTGCTGTGACTAGAACGTGTTCCCTAAAGTTTGTGTGTTAGAAGCTTAATCTCCAATGTAACAATATTGAGAGTTGGGACTTTCAAGGGATGATTAGGTCATGAGGATGATTAGGTCATGATTAGGGCATTAGCTCTGCCCTCATGAAAGAATTAATGTTGTTGTTATGGGAGTGGGTTAGTTATTGCAGGAGCAAGTTCCTGATAAAAGGATGAGTTTTGCTCCCTTCCCCTGTGTGCTCTCTTGCTCTTCTGCTTTCTGCCATGGAATGACTCAGCAAGAAGGCCCTCACCAGATGCACTCTTCTTGACCTTGGACTTCCCAGTTTCCGGAACTGTGAGAAATGAATTTCTTTTCTTTAGAAATTGCTTAATCTGTGGTATTCAGTTATAGCAACATAATATGGACTAAGACAGAAAATTGGTACTGAGAAGTAGGGCTGTTGCTATGAGAAATACCCACAAATGTGGAAGTGGCTTAGGAACTGGATAATGGATAGAGGCTGGAAGAATTTGGTGTAGCAAGGTAGAAAAAGCTTGGATTGCTGTGAATGGTGCATTAAGGGCAATCCTGGTGAGGGCTCAAAAACAGAGAAGACGAGAGAAAGTCTGGAACTTATTAGAGATTATTTAGGTGGTTGTGACCAGCATAATGAAAGAAATATGGACAGTAAAGGCCATTCTGATGAGGTTTCAGATGGAACTGAAGAACAAGGTATTGGAAACTAGAGCAAAGGCCACCCTTGTTATAAAGTAGCAAATAACTGGGCTGAACAGTGTCCGTGCCCAGAGGCTTTATGAAGGGTGAAAGTTAAGAGTGATGGACTAGGATATCTGGTGAAAGAAATATCTAAACAGCAAGTCCTCCATGCTGTGCATGGCTACTTTTAACTTCTTACAGTAAAATAAGACAGGAAAGAGACGATTTAAAGACAGAATTTATCGTTAAAAAGTCCGTATGCATTCTGTCCTGCCCTTCTGCCTTCTACTGTGGGATGATGCAGCAAAAAAGTCTTCACCATATGCAAGCCCTTCACTGTGGACTTGCCAGCATCCAGAACTGTGAGAAATGAGTTCCTTTATAAAATAAATTACCCAGTTTGTGGTATTCTGTTATAGTAACACAAAACAGACTAAGACACCTTTTCTGTGCTCCGGCCTGGGACACTCTTTCAAGGCAGAAAGATGGGCCAATTGCAGGGCTCACCTTATTTGTTTCCCATCCCTCAGGAATCACTGTCCTTTGTTTGATGTGGAGTGTTTTGAAAAACTGTTGTTTCTTATATTTTGTCCTGTGATTTGGTTGTTTTAGGTGGAAGAGTAAATTCAGTCCTTGTTACTTCATCTAAGTTGAAAGCAAAGTTTCAATACATGTATTTTGAATGTAAGAATAAATTTCTCTTTGGCATCTATCATGAAATTAAACCTTGAATTATGAATATATCTGATACTTAGGAAAAAAATTAACTTTTTTAGAGTGATGACCCTTTATCCACCAGTGGTGTGTGTGTGTGTGTGTGTCCATGTGCACACACACATGCACAAATTTTTTATCTACCGGTGGTGTAAATTTGTTATTGTACTAAAAACCTTCACTTCAGAACACTTTTAGAAATGTGTATTAGTGTTGTTTTATAGCAAGGAATCTTTGGATTGTTTTATGGCTAGGAAATGAACCAACCTGTAAATTGTGTAATTGTGTTTTTGTTAAATTAGTTTGCCCATCTACTCACTTTTATAATTGAAACCTGGCAAATTTTCTTAGTGTTTCCAAGTACTATATAGGAAGTTAAAATACTATGAATACTAGGTAAATATGAGTTGACCCACTTTATAGCTAAAAAGAGAAAACATTCTGAACTGAGATACACAGTGAGTAAGCAAAGGGAGTTGCTACTAATATTTTGTATTCTCCACTGTGGGCCAGGAAAACTGCCAAGCATTTTATATTATTTATTTACTCTTCATACTCTTCATAACAACTTTGTAAGTGGAGTTTATTGTCCCATTTTACAGATGAGAAAAATGAGACCCCCAAGAAGTTTATTACTTGCTTAAGAATATACAACAAGTGTCATAGCTAGGATTTGAACTCAGGTTTGTCTGCCTCCAAATTTCATGTTTTTTTTTTTCTCATGTTATAATTCTGTCATGGAGGTTAAGCCTACCATTCGAGTCATTACATTTAGTGGTGTTTTCGCAGGGAAAGAGTGAATAAGTCTGGCCAATTGGTGACATGTAAGACATGGACCAGTAAAATACAGTTTCGGTGGTTATTAATTAAAGGCCTATAGTCACTCATGAATAAAGAAATCACTAAAGCTTGTGTGCAGCATACTAAAGCTAATTTATCATAATCATAGGGTTTAGGTGATAACAAATGAAGTATAAAACCACTGGTTAGGAAGAAAAAAGTGATTGTATCTCCCTTATTTTCATCATAGTCAAGGTAATATTTCTTAACCTTACCCAAGCACTGAAACAGTCCAGAAATTCCTCCCTAAGTGAAGAGTATGAATAAGTCCATTGACTCAGTTACAACATCAATCAACTTTTATTGAGGGCCTACAATGTGCTTAGCACTCTTCCAGGTTTTGTGATGAGGTATGTATGTTTGAATCGATTAGAGAGTAATTCAATATGTGCTATAGATCAAAGGTTGAAAATATAGGTCTACCCATTGTATTTAGAAGGTAAATTAGTTGTATATTTCATATGAAAATTCCGATTTATTTCTTCTTTTAAGAAAAAAACCGGACTTTCCAGCTTATATTTAAAAAATTAAGAAGAGCTGGTAGCAATTGCTCTACCTTAGATAAGGGATGGGTTCTTGAATTTGTCACAATAACTACTATGTCCTATTGGTTCTTCTACAAGGAAGCTACGTATCAATTGTCATTGCAGTTGTCACTGTCGATTGTCAAGAATATTGCCTGACTAACTGCTGATGGCATTTGGTTTGTAGCCTCGTGCTGTAGACTTAGAGAAGGCATTATAGATGCTTTTGTGCATTTTGTTTAGCTCAGAGTTTCTTGAGAGTTAAGGGAGGAAGAAAAGAAATAAATGGATTTTAGAATGTAAGACTGACTTTGGAAGAGAATCTATAGTTGGATAATAAAACTGGATGTTGAAAGGGAAGTATTGATCAGAGGAGCATTTCAGGAAAGAAGTGTGTAGAAGAAGGAATGGGTAACAAGGTCATTAGAAGGAAAATTATCTTGGTAAAGATAGATGAAAGAAGAGAAATGGAAAGAAAAGGGAGAAAAAAGGGAAGAAAGAACAGGGAGAAAAAGGCAGGCAAGATTTTCTGTGGAAAGAACTGCATCCCTATGACAACAAAAGTGAGGAACGTCAAGAGTATAGTGGACACTTAACCAAGCAGAGTTTAGGTCTTGGTCAAATAGAGGCTCACACATTGTTTTTTTTAAAAAGCAAATTAGCTGTCATTTTATCATATAAAAGTCCAGATTTCTGTTTTAAGAAAAATCTGAATTACTAGCTTGTATATATATGTGTGTATATACATATATATATTTAGAGATAGGGTCTCACTCTGCCACCCAGGCTGGAGTGCAGTGGTGCAATAATAGCTCACTGTAACCTTGAACTCCTGGGTTCAAGTGATCCTTCCACCTCAGCTTCCCGAGCAGCTAGAACTACAGGTGTGTGCCACTATGCCTGGTTGCCTTTTTCTTTAGAGATGGGATCTCACTATGTTACCCAAGCTGGTCTCAAACTCTGGCCTCAAGCGATCCTCCTGCTTTAACCTCCCAAAGTGCTGGGATTACAGGTGTGAGTCACTGAGCCCAGCCTTCTAGCTTATTTTCTTTTTCATCAAGGCTGATTTATAGAGAATTCACTTCTGATTACTGAGGTTGTGGGATTCCCTCCTTATGTAATGGAATTATGATGAGAGAAACTATCAATAAATTAAGAAAATAGTAAAGGTGGAGCCAAATGTGATCTAGATTGTTCCACCTTAGGGGACATTTTGGGAAGAGTTTGTGCCAAGTCAAAGGGTGAAGTCACCAAGGACATAATTTGCATTTTATTTTAAAAAGTTAAATTATACCTTTTTTCTCAAGAAAGATCTAGTGCTGCAGAATTTTTGGTTGATCTTCTGACTTGGGTTAGTTCAGCATAAATAATAAATCATGTAGTTGCCATTCTTTGTTGCTTTGCTATATGATTTGCTGTAATTGGTTTGTGGTGGAGATTGTGGGTTGCCAGCTAATATCCATTCTCTCCTTTTTTCGTAGTAAAACAGAATCCTGATTTTATTCTGGGCTGCAGTGTGCCCAGCTAAAAGACTATACTACGTTTCACAGCTTTCCTTGCGAGGTGTAGCCAATGGGATGTAGGCAGAAGTGTTGAATGGGTTATCCAAAAAGATTGCTGTGTTACTTCATTTTCTGTATACTGGAAACTGGGTGATTTACAAAGAGAAGGAATTTATTTCTTACAGTTATAGAGGCTGAGAGGTCCAAGGTCAAGGGGCCACATCTGGCGAGGGTCTTCTTGCTGGTAGGGACTCTCTGAAGGGTCCTGAGGTGGCACATGGCATCACGTGGTGACAGAACTGAGCATGCTAGCTCAGGTTTTTCTTCCTGTTCTTATAAAGTCACCAGTCCCATTCCCATGATAATCCATTAATCCATTATCCCATTAATTCTTAAATCCACGAATAGATTAATCCACTAATGAGGGCAGACCTCCCATGACCCCGTCACCTCTTAAAGCCCTACCTCTCAGTACTGCCAACATTGGGGATTAAGTTTCAACATAAGTTTTGGAGGGGACAAAAAAATATTCAAACCATAGAAATTGTTTAAAGGAAGCTGACTCAGTTGGGATAAGCGCCTGTTTTGGTCTTCTTTCTTTCTTTTTTTTTTTTTTTTTGAGACGGAGTCTTCCTTTTTCTGCCAGGCTGGAGTGCAGTGGCACGATCTTGGCTCACTGCAAGCTCCACCTCCTGGGTTCACACCATTCTCCTGCATCAGCCTTCCAATTAGGTGGGACTACAGGCGCCTGCCACCACGCCAGCGAATTTTTTTGTATTTTTAGTAGAGACAGGGTTTCACCATGTTAGCCAGGATGGTCTCGATCTCCTGACCTCGTGATCTGCCCACCTCGGCCTCCCAAAGTGCTGGGATTACAGGCGTGAGCCACCGCACCCAGCCTGGTATTCTTTCTTATTCCTTCCGCTTCCTGGAATGCCAACACGATGCTGGAAGTCTGATAGCTGCCTTGGACCATGAAGTAACCGTGCTATATGGATGTGCTGCAGCTGGTGGGGCAGAATAATAGATGGAGTCTGGGGCTCTGGACTGCCTGTTTATGGACTTGCTATATATGAGAGAAGAAACCCCATGTGTTTAACCTCTTCTCTTTTGAATTTTCAGTTAAGTGAAGTTGAACCTAACCCTAGCCGAAAGAGCACTGTTGTCTGAATGCAACCGCAGGACACTGAGAAGCTGGATAAGCACTCTCTTAGTGCTCTGTGTTGGATTTGTGTATGGCTTGGATCACACTCCCTACCCTAACCTTGATTCCAGAGAGTTGGGCCAGCTCAGGGTGGGGTGTAGGAGGATACACTGTATACACTCTGACAGTATATGTGTCTCCTCAACATTCAGAGGCCACATGGCAGGGCAGATGTCCATTAACTATCTTGGGCTTATCACATCTCTTTAATAAACAACAGTGGGGACAGATAGTGCCCTACAGGCATATTACAGGGAAGACTTGATGAAATTTAGCATTGTTTATTGTCTGTCTTACAAACAATGCACTTAGATTTTTACCATGAAACTAGCAGTAGAGTCCCTGAAGCTCAAGTTTAAAAAGCCTCAAGTCAAACGATATATATATATATATTTGTAATTTTGTTATGTGTTGGAGAGTTGACATCAGCTGGCATATATGACTGTCCATACCAGCTGTTATATTATTAAAATAATTTCGGCCGGGCACGGTGGTTCATGCCTGTAATCCCAGCACTTTGGGAGGCCAAGGCGGGCAGATCACGAGGTCAGGAGATCGAGACTATCCTGGCTAACACGGTGAAACCCCGTCTCTACTAAAAATACAAAAAATTAGCTGGGCGTGGTGGCAGGTGCCTGTACTCCTAACTAATCAGGAGGCTGAGGCAGGAGAATGGTGTGAACCTGGGAGGCGGAGCTTGCAGTGAGCTGAGATCGCACCACTGCATTCCAGCCTGGGCAACAGAGCAAGACTCTGTCTAAAAAAAAATAATAAAATAATAATAATTTTATACTGATTGGGAAATAGCTATTGTTCAACCTCCCCAACACCAGGCTCCTCCCTTTGGGCCTTCTAGACCCCTACATGAACCAGCAAGTAAGAGGTGAATGCTTGACAGCAGGGATCTTCCTGGATTTAGTCACTACCCATTTGCAAAGTTAGGCATTTGAGCCTATGGTGTTGTTGACAAAAAGAGTCAAACTCTATAAAATATTTGAAGAGATTTAAACTGAGCCAAATATAAGTGGCCATGGCCCATGACTCAGCTTTCAGGAGATCCTGAGAACATGTGCCCAAAGTGGTCAGGGGTGCAGCCTGGTTTTATACATCTTAGGGACATGTGAGACATCAATGAAATACATTTAAGGTATATGTTGGATTGCTGTAGACTTAGAGAAGGAATTATAGATGCTTTTATGCATTTTGTTTAGCTCAGAGTTTCTTGAGAGTTAAGAGGGGAAGAAAAGAAATAAATGGATTTTAGAATGTAAGACTGACTTTGGAAGAGAATCTATAGTTGGATAATAAAACTAGGTGTTGAAAGGGAAGTATTGATCAGAGGAGGATCCAGAAAGGCAGGGCAACTCGAAGTGGAGGTGGGGTGTGGAATGGGGTGGGGCTTTTAAGTTATAGGTAGATTAAAAATTTTTTGGGTTGGCAACTGGTTGAAAAAGTTATTGTCAATAGAAAGGAATATCTGGGTTAAGATAAGAGGTTGTGGAGACTAAAGTTTTATCATGCAGATGAAGCTTCCAGGTAGCAGGCTTCAGAGAGAATAAATTGTAACTGTTTATCAGACTTAAGGTCCTGTTAATGTTAAATGCTGGTTGGCTTTTCCTGAATTCAAAAGGGAGGAGGACATAATGAGGCATGTCTGATCCCCTCTCCAGCCCCTGAATCATGGCCTGAACCAGTCTTTCAGATTAAATTTAGAGGACCCTGGCCTAGAGGAGGAAGTCTATTCACATAGTTGTGGGGCATTCACATTTTATTCCTGGATTATAGTGTCATTATCCCAGCAGTAAGTTACTGCCGTCCAATATTTATCCGTAGTTTGATTGAAACAGTATACAGGGGATATCGCTCCAGGCAGTTTATAGTTCACCCCTGGATCAAATCAGATCCACAGAGAAACTGAGAATGTGTATTGCATTTCAATTAGCCTCTGCTACCCCTTGTCACCCTGAGAACTGGTCTTGCTGAATTGTCATGCAATCAGCATGACAATGTGATGTCATCAGTCTGTGCTGTCAACAGCCTGGGCTGAGAGACAGGGAGGGAAACAGCACAAATGACACTCATTGTCATCTGTCTTTTAGGAATGTTGTCAAGGATGTGTTTTTTTTATATCATGGTTTCTATTTATGAGGATACTCAGAGAACTGCCTAACTGCTTTTCGATGTAAGAACAATTGTATTACTCCTGAGAAACTGTTCTCTTTTTAACTTTACAAATCTCTTTGTAAGTGTCTAGTTTTCCCTTCTCCTTGTTTTTGTAGGTAGACTTACATCTATTCTGGTATGAAGCAGAGAATAAATAAATAAATTAAGTTAAATTAAATGAATCATATCATATTTAAATGAAATTATGAAAAAACTCAAAGCCCATGATCAAAGAAACCTAAATACGTAAGCATTTCGCATTTTTTTCCTCAGTGGAATTTCAGTATTAACTTATCACAATTATACTAATTATGATACTCAATTTTAAAAGCTCTGGAATGAAAATAATAACTAACTGAAGAGAATATTCTCTTTAAATTCATATGTTCACAGACATATAAGCTCTTTTTTATTACCATATTTTTACAGATAAACACTTCAGCACAGTCAAGGCCTTGCACAATTAAATTTGGAAACTTTGCTTCAATTCTAAGGGAGGCACAGTATGAATGTTTTTGCAGGCTTTGTCCTAATTTTCCTTTGAATAAACACGGGGAGAGTCTGTTCTCCATAATTTTCATAAACATGTAATCTGGACATACCCAAGTACTATGTCTTCTGGGATTTTCTTTCCATTTTCTCCTTCTGTTGATAAATGGATTCCACCAGGCACGGTGGCTCTTGCCTGTAATCCCAGCACTTTGGGATGCCAAGGCAGGAGGATTGCTTGAGCCCAGGAGTTTGAGACCAGCCTGGGCAACAAAGTGAGACTTGTGATTCCCAATAAGTAAAAACATTAGCCAGATGTGGTGAATCACATGCCTGTAGTCCCACCTACTCAGGAGGCTGAGGCAGGAGGATTGTTTGAGCCCAAGAGGAGCTGTGATTATGCTACTGCACTCCAGCCTGGCAACACAGCAAGACCCTGTCTCAAACAAAAAAGAAAAGAAAACAAACGGATTCAAATCTCGTCCCATGTAACTCTGGAATGTCCTGTTCGCTCTCTAAGATTATCAAAGATTCCCAAGAGGGTTGCATTCTCCTGGTTATCTCCTACTGATAGCAGCAGGAGACAGCCAAATTCCTAGGCAGACAGGGGCAGGTCCTTGGTGAAACCTGATGTTCAAGGCAAAGACAGCTTAGAGCCTGAAAACTGGGCTGCCAGTTCCAGGTTGGGTCCTCAACCCGAAGTGAGAACTTTCTTGATACTATTTAGCTAATTGAATGGTGCTTTTTCCAGGCCAGTCCGTGGACCACTCAGCACACACTCCCCTATTCTGAGCCCATAAAAACCCCAGACTCAGCGACATGTCGGAACTACCTGCCTTTGGGTAGGGGCTACCCACTTAAGGTCCCCTCTGGTGTTAGCAGCTGTTTTGTCACTCAATAAAACTCTTCTCCACCTTGCTCACGCTCTGGTTGTCCACATAACCTCATTCCTCTTGGACACAGGACATGAACCTGGAGCCTGCCCGGATGCGAAAGGAGCTGTAACACTGAATCCCTCTCACCCTATGCCAGTGCTGGATGGCTGTCCCATGTGATGGGAAGTGGTGGTGGGGCCAGGCCAGCCCAGGAGCCATCATGGGCCAGAGTGGGGCAGCAGGACCAAACAAGCTATAACACAAATAAGCTGAAACATGTTCCTGGCTGGCCTGCCAAGCTGCCAGCAGTGACATGTTCCCATTCGCCAGACTACAAGACAAGAGAGCTGTGACCCTTCTGGGGACCCAGACCTCGGGACTCCCTGAGTCAGAGCTGTGACATGCTGTAACACCCCCTTGGGGCTCTGTGGTTGCTGGTGTCTCTGAGTTTTTGGGCACCACTGCATTCCCCCTGTCCAGATGCTGCTGCCTGGCCCAGCTACAGCCCCTCACAAAACTCACGCCTGTGCTGGTGCCTGGAGCTGCCCACCCCACTGCAGCAGCTGGCACACCTGGCTGTGCATCATGGCTGGACCCTACACTTGCTCACTCACACACCCCTTGCCATTCTGTGCCTGGCTTGTCCACAGTGGGCATGGGATCTGGGCCAGTAGCGCAAGCTCAGTACAGCCTGCCAGGCCGAGTGGGTGGAGCCAGCTCAGCAGTCAAAAGTGAAACTCAGGCAGAGGCACCACTGGCCACAGAGGTTACCGAAAGAATCGTGTGTCACTACTGTTAGCGGTGCCTAATTTATACAGGTCTGCAGCAACTTCAGTTCTTGCCTTCTAAGAAGAGAGAATTCAACTGAGGTGGGTCATAAGGCAGAGTCAGAGACTGAGGCAAGTTTTAAGCAGGAATGAAAGTTTATTAAAAAGTTTTAAGTAGGAATGAGAGGAAGTAAAGTACACTTGGAAGAGGGCCAAGCAGGTGATGTGAGAGAGTCAAGTGCCCAGTTTGACCTTTGACTTACAGTTTTGTATGTTCCAGCATCTTCTGTCCCTTCTCACCTGATTCTTCCTTTGAAGTGGGCTGTCTGCATGCACAGTGGCCTGCTAGCACATGGGAGGGACCACAGGCACAGTGAGTTTACTGGAGTTGTATGCATGCTCAGGTGAGGCATTCTTCCCTTACCAGTTGAGTGTTCCTAGAGGAAGGTCATATACCAGTTAAACTCTGCCATTTTGGCTCTTAACGCACATGCTTGAGACCACTCACCCAATTCCTGAGATCTTATCGGAAAGCTGCTGATCACCAGTTTCAGTTTTTTCCATCTATTGGGAGACTGCCTTTCTCTGGTGCCGGCTGCGACCCATTAGTATTTTGGAGAGACAGTTAACTACCTGACTATCACCTGATGGTTGCCTAATGTTAGTAGGGGGGCATCTCTCCTACCCTGCTCATGTCTGCCTGACTACCTAATGTAACACTACTTTAAATTATTATTCTGGTTGATTTCTTAGCCCCAAAGATGAATCATCCCTCCTCCTTTCTTATTTCCCAAAACATTACTAACACAGGGTTATTTTGTGTAGTACTTTTTAAAAAATTAGAGATAACCTAAGAGGCCACAGCACTGCACAAAATGGGGATCACCTTAAAGTTCAGTGTTAGGCAGCATTGCCCCTGGCTATTTCCATCATAAGTAAACAGCCTTCTTTCTCCAGAGCCCCCTCCTGCTGGCTTGTTGCTGGCCCCTCCTCTTCTTCTTGTTTATTGTACAACAAAACCGCACAGGCAAAGCTTAAAATTTGCTGGTACTTTAACTTGCAGAGAAATTTAACTGCTTCCCTCAACCTCCTGCCCATATCAGAATAGAGGCCTTTGTATGCTAGAGTTTCCAATACCAAATAATGGCAACAATAATAAATAGTGACAACATTTTACATTATATATTACTTTAAGTTATAGCAAAGCAAATTTTGAGTAGGGCTCTCTCCCCACCAGCAAGATTCTTGGGATCTTATCGTTTGTGGGGAGGAATCTGGAAACTGTATTATAATAGACACCCTTTTATCTGATATTATTGAATTGTTAGTAGGGTAACTATTAACAATTAATTGAAAAGTCAGTTAATACAAAGATTCATAAAATGATATGTTTTATATTTTATTAAAATGTGTAACCTGTTCATCTTTTGATGTTGGGCTGAGTTTTCTTTTGATTACTTAGTAATTAGAGTTCTAGTGTTTCTTTTTTATGAATTCTAGCTATAATATATTTGATACAGTGTCTTGTTTTTATTTAAAATAAAATGAGAACTTAATATTTTAAAGCAATCATTGCAAAATCCACTTAGATTTTTACGATTATTTTTCACCAATATTTATATTTATCTAATATCTTATTTGACCACAGTCCTCTTTAGCAATTTGCTTTTAGTTTTTCCAAAGTAGTCAATTTATGTGTCCTAGAAGTGACAACCATCTTTTTTTTCATTCATTTAATCAGTTTCATTATCTTTTAATATGCAGTTACAATCGGATGTAAAATTAGCATTAACATCTTTGGGGCTGGGCGCGGTGGCTCACGCCTGTAATCCCAGCACTTTGGGAGGCCGAGGCAGGCGGATCACTTGAGATCAGGAGTTCGAGACCAGCCTGCCCAACACGGTGAAACCCTGTTTTACTAAAAATACAAAAATTAGCTAGGCGTGGTGGCAGGCATCTGTAATCCCAGCTACTGAGGAGGTTGAGACAGGAGAATCGCTTGAACCCAGGAGGCGGAGACTGCAGTGAGCTGAGATTGTGCCATTGCACTCCAGCCTGGGTGACAAGACCAACATTCTGTCTCAAAAAAAAAAAAAAAAAATCTTTGGGAGCAGACACGATGGACTCCTGGTAAGTGTGTATTTCATGGTGACATAAGGGCCAAATGAGGCAGCAGCACGTGGGGCAGGTGATGTTCTACAGAAGGAATGGAGGATGTTGATTAGTTTAGACAGCTGGTTAGTGGAGGTGCTTTATGACAGCTTCTCTGAGAGCAGATTAATATTAGTAATCAGAGGCCCAGGGCCAGCTCTGCCTACCAGGTATATGATTTCAGGAATGTAACATCACTTCTCTGAAACTCAGTTTCATCTGTAATTTGTGAAAAAAATAACATTTGCTAAACCTACCTGCCAGGAAGATCAAATGAAATAATGTACATGAAAGCCTTTTTTTGAAATAGCAAAATACTGTTAAAAAATAGGTGTTTTTGCTACTTTAGGTTTTATTTTATTTACAACATTTGATAAGCTGTAGGGACATACTTCCTTGGAGTCTCTCCTATCTTTTCCTTTATTTATGATGACTGGTATTCCAGATTTTCAGCTTAACTGGAGTGGTATGTGATGTAGAAAGGCTATTGGAGCTTTATTGTCTTGAACATGAGTTACCTTTTCTCAAATGATAAGTAACAGCCTTTCCAGATTCTAGTTTCAGAAATAAATTGGGTTCCAATTATATATACGTTGAAACATGATGGTTGACCTGGCAACATAATGGCCCCCAAACAGAAGTATTCATTTTCCCCAAAACTGTACATAAATTTCAGCTTCTGACACTTAAGACCTCTGATGGTGTTATTCAAACATACAATCATTTTGGCTAAAAGTCTTCATAGTGCTTATATGTAGATATATAATTTTATATAGTGAATGTAAACAATGCACATGTTATGATATTAATTTTACAGAAAAGGAAGCTGAGGCTGAGAGGGATTAAGAATCTTATTGAGGCTCATAAGCGTAGTAGCAAGTAGTTGGACTGAGACACGAATCTAGGGCTTCTGATGCTAAATGTCATAATGACTACAACTGAAACTCTCTAGATAGCAGAGATTGAATAAATATACCTGAATGAGTCACAGAGCTGGAGCAAATAGTAGATACACTGGATGTCTGACAAGTCAAGATGTATAGGAATAATTTCATTTTTAAAAGTATATTGATTGCATTTAAAAATAATATAGTCCTTAAGATTTTCTACAATCTACAGAAAACTTTTCAGGTGAAGTACCTCAGAGTTTAAAGCAAAGGTCTAATTTTTTATTCTGAAAAACTACAATAAATATACTACTTATGTATCCAGACCTATTGGACACTGTGATATCAAGGTTAGTTAGAAAATGCCAGTAAAAATCTCAACATTTTCTCATGAGACTTGATTGTTGTATTTATGCTTTATATTAGGATCGTGTGATATAAATGAAATACTTAGTATTGTAAGAAGGATTTAATCCTTGTATTTATAACATTAAACAGAGTAGAATTCTATTACAACAAAACTATTATGAATGTTTGCATAGGCCAAAAGTATAATCATGGTAGGTCATTAAAAGTTTGATGACAATGAACGCTGATAGTATCTTTAAAGAGAAGAGATGGTGATTGGCCTAAGAGGGCAAGCTAAACATCTTCACCATAAAGCTATCTCTAATAATGTCAGAAAAGATATATTTTTGGAAGGAATAAATTCAGTGCTGGACAACTGCCATCAGTAAATGAGACATTTCTGTCCTCTTGAAGAAGAACACAGGTGAAGATCAATCAGTGGAGAAAACCGCATTCCTAAACACTGACACCACTGGATTATTGAAGATCATGGTGTAATAGCTTCAAAATTCTGAAGGAAGATGATTGTGAATCTAAAATTCTATATCCAGGCAAACTAATATATAAGAAGAAAGGCAAAATAAAGGCATTTTCAAAATATGCAACAACTCAGAAAGTTTACTTCCACAGACAACTCCAGGAAAATAAAATATAAATTCAAGGAAAATGAAGATATGGGATAAAGGAAATATAGGTATATAAAGAAATCAGTAAAAATTGTGGTTGTATCTAAATCATATTGTTTTGTAATGAGTGCCAACCGAAATAACAGCCAGAGAGAGGCTCTCTAAAGTAAAATGATATTTATCTGGGAAGGAACATTGCAAGGGAATTCACATACCATAGTAAAGTGTGTGCATATTCAGGGAGGTAAAGGAAGACAAAGGTTTTTAATGGAAAAATGAGAAGGATTACATAATCGTTTTGAGTTAAATTGTTTTGAGATCTTTGGCTACAAAAATTAGTTACAAGGGTGGCACCAGTCAGAGGTTGGAGAGGCAGTTGCTGGGCAGATGCCCTTTCAAAAGCATTTTTGTGTGTGTGTGTGTACGGTTGTGATGGCTGTTGTGTAAGGGTGTGGTTTTTGCAGTCTTTTATGATAGTTCTTATTATCAGGCATTTGCATATGAGACCCCCGCTGCCCCTGCTTCATGGCTTCCCCTGGCTCTATTTGTCAAGGTTTTTAATATGAG
The DNA here is from genome assembly GCF_000001405.40 of Homo sapiens. Classification (NCBI taxonomy): domain Eukaryota; kingdom Metazoa; phylum Chordata; class Mammalia; order Primates; family Hominidae; genus Homo; species Homo sapiens. Next base: position 40,285,969 of record NC_000003.12, on the reverse strand, counting down.
TGACTCCATTTTGATTCTGACAACTTTCATATAAGGGTGAAATACTTTACTGGTACTTTACTTTACTGGTAATTTCTAGAAGAATAGAAATATGTATTTTCTAACCCACAAAAGGCATGAAGAGGAAAAAAGAGCAACCATAAACCATAGTAAATTAAAAATATTAAATTAAAGAAGTTAAAAGTTTACAATTGCCAGTAACCACAAAAAATGTACATGTGTTACATATTTTGTATTAAAAGGCAACCTTTGGTTTAGGTTAAAACTGTCTCAGAACTTCACCTTACTGCTGTTTATAAGACATGCTAAAGTGAAATAACAGCAAGAATGAAAGAGGGATTGAAAAATTTGTGCCAAGCAACTACTATTGTAAAGGAGGGTATAACAATATTATTATCAGAAAAAATGAATTCAAGGAAAATCACATTAAATAGAACAAAGAAGAATAATTCATATAGATCAAAGTCATGCTACCCCAAGAATATGAGTTATAACCTTTTTTGTTCCTAGCAACTCAGCAGAGTTGTTACACATAAACAAAACGGGGAGAAATAAAGGAATTTGTAATTACCATGGGGTATAATAACGCCTGTTTCAGAAATGGACAGATACAGTAATCAAAAATTAACATACAGATTTAAAAAATAATACAATGACCATGTTTGTTCCAATAGGCATATATAAAACTTTGTACCCAATGCAAAACATACCAGTTGTTTTCAAACAACCATGACAAAATCATTTTATAAAGGGAAACAAAATTTAAAATATAGAAATTATATAGAACATAGTCTCTCACCAGAATTTAGTAAATTATTTATTAATTTAAAAAGGTAGCTACAGAGAAGCTGGGGGTGGTGGCTCACACCTATAATCCCAGCACTTTGGGAGGCTGAGGTGGTGGGATCACTTGAGGTCAGGAGTTCAAGACCAGCTTGGCAACATGGTGAAACCCCATCTCTACTAAAAATACAAAAATTAACCAGGCATGGTGGTGCATGCCTGTGATCCTAGCTACTTGGGAGGCTGAGGCAGAAGAATTGCTTGAACCTGGGAGGTGGAAGTTGCAGTGAGCTGAGATCACACTACTACACTCCAGCCTGGGTGACAGAGGAAGACTGTCAAAAAAAAAAAAAAAAAAAAAAGTAACTACAGGAAAATATTTACTTGGAAAATTTAAAATTTAAAATTTTAAAAAATATTCCATCTGAAGAAAGGAACCTGGCCAAATTGTTTTATAGTCAAGTTTTTCAAACATCAAGGATTCTTCATTATGGAAAATGTTTCAAAGCATCGTAAAAGATGGAAAGCTTTTCAGCTTATTAAATAATGCTAAACGCAAATATGATAAAGAAATGTGAGTATATCAACTTCTAAGTAATTATTAGATTAAATGGCAAGTCAAAATTGAAATAATAAACCATATTAAGAATTCAGTTTTAAAATGAAAGGAGTGCGTATCAAAACTTAGGGGATGCAGCCAAAGCAGCATTAGGGGAAAATTTGTAGGATTACATGTACTTATGAGAAAACATGAAAAATAAATGGATTGTATTTTCAATTCAAAAACTAGAAAAAGAACAAGGTAAACCCAAAGAATGTGGAAAAAATAAAATAATAAAAGCAAACATTAAAGTTATGAAAAAAAGAGTAATGATCAATATAATTTGTTGATAAGTTAAAAAAGCAAATTTTGTTCTTTTAAAATACTGTTGAAATAGACAAACTTTTGGCAATTGTGATCAGGAAAAAAGAGAAGGCTTGTAAATATAACCTTGATAATAAGAAAGGGACATACTTATAGATACAAATGACTTTTTAAAAATTATAATTCTTTATAGGAATAAATTTAAAAATCTAAATGCAAAGGATGATTTTCTATAAACTCCTGTAATTAATTTACAAGGTAGAAGGTAGAAAAATATTCTTTCCTAAAAAAGGCACCTGGCCCAAATAGGTTTACAGTCACATTTACCAAACACTAAGGACTGTACATCAAATAAAATGTTCTAAAGCACAGAAAAAGATGGAAAGCTTTCTAAAGTATTTAATAGTGCTAAAAGCAAATATGACAAAAAAATAATTTACAATAGCATCAGAATAACAAATACTTAGGAATAAATTTAGCAGAATAATTGTAAAACTCATAAAACTGTAAAACATTCTTGAAAGTAAATAAATGGATCAAATAAATAAATGGAAATGCATCTCATGTTCAGGGATTAGAAGACTTACTATTGTTAAGATGGCAGTGTTGCCAAAATTGAACTACAGGTTCATCACAATCCCTATCAAAATCCCAGTTAGCTTCTTTGCAGAACTGACAAGCTGATTCTAAAATTTATATGGAAATGTAAGAGACCCAGAGTAGCCAAAAGAAGAGCAAAGTTGTTGTATTCACACTTCCTGATTTCAAAACTTACTACAAAGCTATGTTAGTCAAGAATGTGGTACTGAAATAAGGATACACATCTAGGTCAATGGAATAGAATGGAGGGTCCAGAAGTAAACCCTTATATTACTTTTGACAAGAATGACAAGAGGACTCAATAGGGGAAACAACAGTCTTTTCAACCAGTGGTGCCCAGTTGGAAATTAACATGCAAGAGAATGAAGTTGAACCACTATCTCACACCATATGCAAAAAATAATTCAAATGAATCATAGACCTAAATGTAAGAGCTAACACTATAAAACTCTTAGAAAAAACATAGGCATACGTGGCTCACGCCTGTAATCCCAGCACTTTAGGAGGCCAAGGTGGGTGGATCACTTGAGGTCAGGACAAGCCTGGCCAACATGATGAAATCCCGTCTCTACTAAAAATACAAACATTAGCCGGGCATGGTGGCACATGCCTGTAGTCCCAGCTACTTGGGAAGCTGAGGCAGAATGGCTTGAAACAGGGAGGCGGAGGTTGCAGTGAGCTGAGATCATGCCATTGCACTCCGGCCTGGGCAACAGAGTGAGACTCTGTCTCACAAAAAAAAGAAGGAAAAAACATAGGCATAAATCTTCATGACCTTAGAATGGGCAGTGGTTCCTTACATATTTCACCAAAGTACAATCAATAAAAGAAAAAAGTAGATAATTGTATATTAAAATTAAAAATTTTATGTTTCGAAGGATATCACAAGAAAGTTAAAAGAACCCACAGAACATGAAGAAATATCTGCAAATCACACGTCTGATAACAGAGTTGTACCTAGTATACATAAAGAACTCTTACAACTCAGTAGTAAAAAATAGCCCAATTAAAAAATAGGCAAAAGATTTGAATTGGCATTTCTCTGAAGAAGATATACAATAACCAACAAGCACATGAAAAGATGCTCATCATTAGCTCTCAGGGAAATACAACTTAAAATCACAACGATATGCCACTTCACACCTGGTAGGGTGGCTACAGTCGGACAGAAAAAATAACAAGTGTTGATGAGGATACGGAAAAAGTGAAACATTCATATGCTGCTGGTGGGAATGTAAAATGCTGTAGCCACTTTAGAAGACCATCTTTCAGACCCCCAAAAGGTTAAACAGATTTATCATATGACCTATCACCCCATAGAAATGAAAACCTTGGTGCTCACAAAAACTTGTATAAGAATGTTTATAATAGCATTATTTATAATAGCCAAAAAATGGAAATGACCCAAATGTCCATTAGTTTGGATAAAGTAAATGTACTATGTACATACAATGAAATTATTCATCCATAAAAAGGGATAAAGAACTGATGCATGCTACAACATGAATGACCTTTGAAAAACACTATACTAAGTGTGAAAGAATCCAGTCACAAAAGATTACATATTGTATGATTCCATTTATATGAATCGTCCAGGATAGTCCAATATATAGAGACAGAAGATAGATTAGTGGTTGTTTAGGGCTGGGGATGCATTTCGGGGAAATGGGGAATGACTGCTAATGCTATGTAGTATTTTGGGGGTGATAAGAATGTTCTCAAATTGGTTGTGATGGTTATATAGCTCTCTGAATATACTAAAAATGATTGAATTCTACACTTAAAATGGGTAAATTATATAGTATGTGAATTATAGCTTAATAAAACTGTTAGAAAAAGGAAACAAGCTAATACCCAGTTTCAGTTATTCACTATCAACATATTAAATTTTATTTTTACTTTTATTTGATACCTTATATTGATAAATCAGCCATGTGTTAAAATCTTATTAGCCTAGAAATGCTAGGATAACTGATCATAAGTAACCATATTAGTATAATTGTAAGTAAAGATTCAGAAGGCGGGCGGATCACGAGGTCAGGAGATCGAGACCATCTTGGCTAACACGGTGAAACCCTGTCTCTACATATTGTATGATTCCGTTTATATGAATCGGAAAAAAAATACAAAAAATTAGCCGGGTGCGGTGACGAGTGCCTGTAATCCCAGCTACTCAGGAGGCTGAGGCAGGAGAACGGCGTGAACCCAGGAGGCAGAGCTTGCAGTGTGCCGAGATAGCGCCACTGCAGTCCAGCCTGGGCGAAAGAGCGAGACTCCGTCTCAAAAAAAAAAAAAAAAAAAAAAAAAAAGATTTTAAATATAAGGATTCTGCTGTTTTGGAGGAACAAAGGAGAGAACTGTTCCCCTTCCTTGCACATCAAAATGACAGGTTTCTTTTTTAATTTAATTTTTTTTTTTTTTTTTTTTTTTTTTTTAGAGACAGGGTTTTGCTCTGTCACCCAGGCTGGAGTGCAGTGGTGTAATCATAACTCACTGTAGCCTCAGGATCCTGATCCTGGGCTCAAGCAATCCTCTTGCCTCAGCCTTCCAAGTAGCTGGGGACTACAGGAGCGTGCTGCCATGCTTGGCTAATTTTTAATTTTTTTGTAGAGATAGGATCTCTACATGTTGCCCAGGCTGGTCACGGACTCCTGGCTTCAAGTGATCCTCCCGCCTTGGCCTCCCAAAGTGTTGGGGTTACATGTGTGAGCTACAGCGCCCAGCTTAAAATGACAGATTTGAAAACACTAATACAACTGGTCATTTTCAAGAGTTGCCATTGAGTCAATAAGGTTGGAGGGGCCTTGAGATTCTCAGAAGGGGAATGGAGACCTTGCATCTCTCATGTGGAGGTGAGACTCCTTGACAGTCAGTGTGGGAAAGGAAAGCAGACATCATAGTCAATAGCCAGCTAACTATTTTGTTGAGATTTTTCTCATTTTGCTGAGACTTTTCTGTAATAGTTACAGACATGAAGCACCATTATATTGCGAAGAGACTGATCCATCCCTCCCCCAACACACTGACAAATTAAATGACACAAGCTCTGTGGTCATCTCAATAAATGCACAAAAGCATTTGATTTTAATTGATTACCTGGTTCTCTTCTCCAAGGACACCCCACCCCCTGTTTTGTTTTTTCCCCAGTGAGGGAAGGGCCAAGGATCACAGTGTGGAAATTAAGACTGCGTTTTATATTATCTCATACAATTTCTGGAAATGGGATGACACAGAAGCTTTTGCTTCACATTTTGGGGGTAGAGCAGTGACCTTTCCAAGTTTTAAATCTATGCTGATATTCAGAATGTAATAATAGTTCATCTGAATTCTTTTCTTAGCTCACTTTAATGTAAGAGCTACTTTATTGATTCCATTGCTCTTTTAACTGAGCCATCTTTTTTAATATATAATATACCCACATCATAGTCTTCCCATCATGGTATGTAATTCCAAACCAACCATGCCCTTATATTACAAGGCTGTGGAAAGTTCTGATAACAGCTATGTTGAGATGTAAACCTGTGGTGCTATGTCCTCATAGAATTTTATTTAATTGATATGTACTTCATATTTTGTCAGTTTCTTAAGCCATTGGGTCTACATTTTCAAGACTTTTAAGTTTAATCTTATTTTATTGGAAACAATTTCTGTACATAATGGATTTACAATGCTGGTGAAACAACCTCACCCAAGATTTAGGCTCTTTTTTTTTGAAAGGATTGGATCTCATCTAAGCAAACAAACAATAAATATTCATGTGGCAGAACAGTAATAGCTTGCATTTAATGAGTATGCAGTATGTACCAGATCAGGGTTAAGTGCTTTACACGCAATATTTCCATTATTATCTAGCCTCATTTTAAATTCAGGACCACAAATCTCAAATGGGAAGTCAGTGCCATACTTCTTACTGCACTTCCTAGGATGTCCTTTTTCTTACTCTCCACAATGATTTCATACATCTCTCACTTCAAAACCCGACTTTCTCCCCTGTGTTTTCTCTCAGCTGATGACCTTGCCCATACTTTGTTGAGAAAATAGAAACAATCAGATAGGAACAAACATCATCCAGCCACCAAATCTCCCCGCATTTGTACCCCCAGTCTCTGCCTTGTTATTTGTTGCAATGGACGAAGTGTTCCTATTTTCCTCTTTTGCCCTCTCAAGGATGTTACTCCTGTGAGCATCCCCTCTCCTTCCTACCTTTATAATGTCCCTCTCTATATAGTATTAGTTCCATCAGGATGCAGATATTTTCTGGAATCTTGCAACTAAACAAAAGCAACAACTTCCCTTAACCTTATATCCTTTCCTTTCCAGGACCCATTTCTCTGTTCTTCTTCCAAAGAATTGTCTATAGTCACTGTCTCTAGACAGTGCTTGTGACCCACCTTTCCTCTACCCCACCAAACAGGCTTTTATCTCCACTGCTACACAGAGCTCATTCTTGGCCAAGTTGGCTTGATCTCCATATTGTCAATCCAGTGCCATTTCACTGTCATTATTTTACTGGACCCTTTCCACAGTGTTTGACAAAGTGAACTCTTTTCTCTTGGCTTCTATGACAGGACCCTCTCTTGGTGTCCTTTCATATCATTTGGTCACATGATTTCCAAGTCCTTTGCTGGCTCCTTCTCTGCCCAACCACTGCCAGTGTGAGCACTGAGACAGGAAGAAAGCCCAGAGATGGTGGTTTCTTGGAAGCCAAGGGAAGGAAGTGTGCATCCTAGAGATTGGGTTTAGAAGGAGCAGTCACCAGCAGAGGACAGCTGAACACAGTGGCCTGACAACCTCATAGTTGTGCTCGTGACATCATGATGTCAGGATGAGGGGGATAGAGCCAAATTAGAGGAGGAAGCTAGTTCCAAATACTCATGAGACCAAGGAGAATTTCAGATCATTTTTGTTTGTGTTACACTGGAGGCAATAAGCCACCAGCAAGAAGGAAATGCATTAGAACTTCCCCTTGAGTTAAAAAACAGGGAAAGAAAGCTATTCTGCATCAAAAACATCTTTGAGTAAGAGAAGCAAAGGAGGACAATTATGTAAATAAAGCCAATCAGACTTTAGAAATGAGTACTTCATGGAGACAGGGTGAGAAAACAGAGTATTTTGGGTTCTTTTTGGTTCTGTATGAATTTTAGCATAGTTTTTTTCTAATTATTTGAAAAAGATGACCTTGGCAGTTTGATAGGAATAGCATTAAATCTATAGATTGCTTTGGTCAGCATGGACATTTTAACAATATGGATTCTTCCAATCCATGAGCATGGAATATTTTTCCATTTGTTTGTGTCATCTCTGATTTCTTTCAGCAGTGTTTTGTAGTTCTCCTTGTAGAGATCTTTACCTCCTTGGTTAGGTTTTTGTTGTTGTTTTGTTTTTTGTTTTTTGGTGTGGCTATCATAAATGGGATCGTGTTCTTGATTTGGCTCTCAGCTTGAACATTATTGACATATAGAAATGCTACTGATTTTTGTACATTGATTTTGTATCCTGAAATTTTGCTGAAGTAGTTTATCAGGTCTAGGAACATTTTGGTGGAGTCTTTAGGGTTTTCTAGGTATAGAATCATATTGTCAGTGAAGAGAGATAATTTGACTTGATAATTCATTTTTTCCTATTTGGATGCCTCTTATTTATTTTTCTTGCCTAATTGTGAATTTTAGGCTTTTAAAAGTAACACTCCTTAATAGAAACAAGAGAATTTGTGGAGCTATCTGTAATAATAATGAGTTTGGAGGGCAATGACATTGCTTTTTGGAGTATAACTCCAAAATAAATAAGGGACCCCAAGCAATATTACAGACGTTCTTCAACAGAATTTTTTGTGGTAACTGCAGAAAGGGATTTAATGTGGCTTTTTCTTATAGGTGATAAAGAGTGAAGACCTTCACCCTGTTAGAAACAGTTGTGTGTTTATCTAAGCTACCCAATTACAAAAACCAAATCTGACTTTTCAAAGTAAGCACATTATTTTCTATATAATTGCTATAATTAACTATGGGGATATCACTGACCCATTAGCAGAAAAAAACATATGGAATGAGATTTGTCTTTATGCTTGGGCTAGGATGTTATAAAATTACACATCGTTAACCATAAACTCAGTCACTGTGTTGTATAGCTGGGATGCTAAGACACAAATAGTGGCAGAAATAGCACAACCAGTCCATTACCACTTTTAATTACTCAGGATGATAATTTTAGGTATCTTTTTTTTATTATTATACTTTAAGTTCTATGGTACATGTGCACAACGTGCAGGTTTGTTACATATGTATACATGTGCCATGTTGGTGTGCTGCACCCATTAACTCGTCATTTATATTAGGTATATCTCCTAATGCTATCCCTCCCCCAGCCCCGCAGCCCATGACAGGCCCCGGTGTGTGATGTTCCCCTTCCTGTGTCCAAGTGTTCTCATTGTTCAGTTCCCACCTATGAGTGAGAACATGCAGTGTTTGGTTTTTTTGTCCTTGCGATAGTTTGCTGAGAATGATGGTTTCCAGCTTCATCCATGTCCCTACAAAGGACATGAACTCATCATTCTTTATGGCTGCATAGTATTCCATGGTGTATATGTGCCACATTTTCTTAATCCAGTCTATCATTGTTGGACATTTGGGTTGGTTCCAAGTCTTTGCTATTGTGAATAGTGCTGCAATAAACATATGTGTGCATGTGTCTTTATAGCAGCATGATTTATAATCCTTTGGGTATATACCCAGTAATGGGATGGCTGGGTCAAATGGTATTTCTAGTTCTAGATCCTTGAGGAATCACGACACTGTCTTCCACAATGGTTGAACTAATTCACAGTCCCACCAACAGTGTAAAAGTGTTCCTATTTCTCCACATCCTCTCCAGCACCTGTTGTTTCCTGACTTTTTAATGATCACCATTCTAACTGGTGTGAGATGGTATCTCATTGTGGTTTCGATTTGCATTTGTCTGATGGCCAGTGATGATGAGCATTTTTTCATGTGTCTGTTGGCTGCAAAAATGTCTTCTTTTGAGAAGTGTCTGTTCATATCCTTCGCCCACTTTTTGATGCGGTTGTTTGTTTTTTTTCTTGTAAATTTGTTTGAGTTCTTTGTAGATTCTGGATATTAGCCCTTTGTCAGATGAATAGATTGCAAAAATTTTCTCCCATTCTGTAGGTTGCCTGTTCACTCTAATGGTAGTTTCTTTTGCTATGCAGAAGCTCTTTAGTTTAATTAGATCCCATTTGTCAATTTTGGCTTTTGTTGCCATTGCTTTTGGTGTTTTAGACATGAAGTCCTTGCCCATGCCTGTGTCCTGAATGGTATTGCCTAGGTTTTCTTCTATGGTTTTTATGGTTTTAGCTCTAACATGTAAGTCTTTAATCCATCTTGAATTAATTTTTGTATAAAGTGTAAGGAAGGGATTCAGTTTCAGCTTTCTACATATGGCTAGCCAGTTTTCCCAGCACCATTGATTAAATAGGGAATCCTTTCCCCATTGCTTGTTTTTGTCAGGTTTGTCAAAGATCAGATGGTGGTAGATGTGTGGTATTATTTCTGAGGGCTCTGTTCTGTTCCATTGGTCTATATCTCTGTTTTGGTACCAGTACCATGCTGGTTTGGTTACTGTAGCCTTGTAGTGTAGTTTGAAGTCAGGTAGCATGATGCCTCCAGCTTTGTTCTTTTGACTTAGGATTGACTTGGCAGTGCGGGCTCTTTTTTGGTTCCATATGAACTTTAAAGTAGTTTTTTCCAATTCTGTGAAGAAAGTCATTGGTAGCTTGATGGGGATGGCATTGAATCTATAAATTACCTTGGGCAGTATGGCCATTTTCACGATATTGATTCTTCCTATCCATGAGCATGGAATGTTCTTCCATTTGTTTGTGTCCTCTTTTATTTCGTTGAGCAGTGGTTTATAATTCTCCTTGAAGAGGTCCTTCACATCCCTTGTAAGTTGGATTCCTAGGTATTTTATTCTCTTTGAAGTAATTGTGAATGGGAGTTCACTCATGATTTGGCTCTCTGTCTGTTATTGGTATATAAGAGTGCTTGTGATTTTTGCACATTGATTTTGTATCCTGACACTTTGCTGAAGTTGCCTATCAGCTTGAGGAGATTTTGGGCTGAGACGATGGGGTTCTCTAGATATACAATCATGTCATCTGCAAACAGGGACAATTTGACTTCCTGTTTTCCTAATTGAATGCCCTTTATTTCCTTCTCCTGTCTGATTGCCCTGGCCAGAACTTCCAACACTGTGTTGAGTAGGAGTGGTGAGAGAGGACATCCCTGTCTTGTGCCAGTTTTCAAAGGGAATGCTTTCAGTTTTTGCCCATTCAGTATGATATTGGCTGTGGGTTTGTCATAAATAAGTCTTATTGTTTTTAGATACGTTCCATCAGTACCTAATTTATTGAGAGTTTTTAGCATGAAGGGCTGTTGAATTTTGTCAAAGGCTTTTTCTGCATTTATGGAGATAATCGTGTGATTTTTGTCTTTGGTTCTGTTTATATGCTGGATTATGTTTATTGATTTTCGTATGTTGAACCAGCCTTGCATCCCAGGGATGAAGCCCACTTGTTCATGGTGGATAAGCTTTTGGATGTGCTGCTGGATTTGGTTTGCCAGTATTTTATTGAGGATTTTTGCATGGATGTTCATCAGGGATATTGGTCTAAAATTCTCTTTTTTTGTTTTGTCTCTGCCAGGCTTTGGTATCAGGATGATGCTGGCCTCATAAAATGAGTTAGGGAGGATTCCCTCTTTTTCTATTGATTGGAATAGTTTCAGAAGGAATGGTACCAGCTCCTCCTTTTACCTCTGGTAAAATTCGGCTGTGAATCCGTCTGGTCCTGGACTTTTTTTGGTTGGTAGGCTATTAATTATTACCTCAATTTCAGAGCCTGTTATTGGTCTATTCAGGGATTCAACTTCTTCCTGGTTTAGTCTTGGGAGGGTGTATGTGTCTGGGAATTTATCCATTTCTTCTAGATTTTCTAGTTTATTTGCGTAGAGGCGTTTATAGTATTCTCTGGTGGTAATTTGTGTTTCTGTGGGATCAGTGGTGATATCCCCTTTATCATTTTTTATTGCATCTATTTGATTCTTCTCTCTTTTCTTCTTTATTAGTTTTGCTAGCGGTCTATCAATTTTGTTGATCTTTTCAAAAAACCAGCTCCTGGATTCATTGATTTTTTGAAGGGTTTTTTGTGTCTCTATTTCCTTCAGGTCTGCTCTGATCTTAGTTATTTCTTGCCTTCTGCTAGCTTTTGAATGTGTTTGCTCTTGCTTCTCTAGTTCTTTTAATTGTGATGTTTGGGTGTCAGTTTTAGATCTTTCCTGCTTTCTTTGTGGGCATTTAGTGCTATAAATTTCCCTGTACACACTGCTTTAAATGTGTCCCAGAGATTCTGGTGTGTTGTGTCTTTGTTCTCATTGGTTTTAAAAAACATCTTTATTTCTGCCTTCATTTTGTTATGTACCCAGTAGTCATTCAAGAGCAGGTTGTTCAGTTTCCATGTAGTTGAGTGGTTTTGAGTGAGTTTCTTACTCCTGAGTTCTAGTTTGATTGCACTGTGGTCTGAGAGACAGTTTGTTATAATTTCTGTTCTTTTACATTTGCTGAGGAGTGCTTTACTTCCAACTGTGTGGTCAATTTTGGAATAAGTGCGATGTGGTACTGAGAAGAATGTATATTCTGTTGATCTGGGGTGGAGAGTTCTGTAGATGTCTGTTAGGTCTGCTTGGTTCAGAGATGAGTTCAATTCCTGGATATCCTTGTTAACTTTCTGTCTCGTTGATCTGTCTAATGTTGACAGTGGGGTGTTAAAGTCTCCCATTATTATTGTGTGGGAGTCTAAGTCTCTTTGTAGGTCACTAAGGACTTGCTTTATGAATCTGGGTGCTCCTGTAATGGGTGCATATATATTTAGGATAGTTAGCTCTTCTTGTTGAATTGATCCCTTTACCAGTATGTAATGGCCTTCTTTGTCTCTTTTGATCTTTGTTGGTTTAAAGTCTGTTTTATCAGAAACTAGGATTGCAACCCCTGCCTTTTTTTGTTTTCCATTTGCTTGGTAGATCTTCTTCCATCCCTTTGTTTTGAGCCTATGTGTGTCTCTGCACATGAGATGGGTTTCCTGAATACAGCACCCTGATGGGTCTTGACTCTTTATCCAATTTGCCAGTCTGTGTCTTTTAATTGGAGCATTTAGCCCATTTACATTTAAGGTTAATATTGTTATGTGTGACTTTGATCCTGTCATTATGATGTTAGCTGGTTATTTTGCTCCTTAGTTGATGCAGTTTCTTCCTAGCATTGATGGTCTTTACAATTTGGCATGTTTTTGCAGTGGCTGGTACTGGTTGTTCCTTTCCATGTTTAGTGCTTCCTTCAGGAGCTCTTGTAGGGCAGGCCTGATAGTGACACAATCTCTCAGCATTTGCTTGTCTATAAAGGATTTTATTTCTCCTTCACTTATGAAGCTTAGTTTGGCTGGATACGAAATTCTGGGTTGAAAATTCTTTTCTTTAAGAATGTTGAATATTAGCCCCCACTCTCTTCTGGCTTGTAGAGTTTCTGCTGAGAGATCTGCTGTTAGTCTGATGGGCTTCCCTTTGTGGGTAACCTGACCTTTCTCTCCGGCCCTTGACATTTTCCCCTTCATTTTAACTTTGGTGAATGTGACAAATATGTGTCTTGGAGTTGTTCTTCTCGAGGAGTATCTTTGTGGTGTTCTCTGTATTTCCTGAATTTGAATGTTGGCCTGCCTTCCTAGGTTGGAGAAGTTCCCCTGGATAATATCCTGCAGAGTGTTTTCCAACTTGGTTCCATTCTCCCCGTCACTTTCAGGTACACCAATCAGATGTAGATTTGGTCTTTTCTTGGAGGCTTTGTTCGTTTCTTTTTACTCTTTTTTCTCTTAACTTCTCTTCTTGCTTCATTTCATTCATTTGATCTTCAATCACTGATACCCTTTCTTCCAGTTGATCAAATCGGCCACTGAAGCTTGTGCATTCGTCACGTCATTCTTGTGCCATGGTTTTCAGCTCCATCAGGTCATTTAAGGACTTCTCTATGCTGGTTCTTCTAGTTAGCCATTCTTTTAATCTTTTTTCAAGGTTTTTAGCTTCTTTGTGATGGGTTCGAACTTCCTCCTCTAGCTCGGAGAAGTTTGATTGTCTGAAGCCTTCTTCTCTCAACTCGTTAAAGTCATTCTCCATCCAGCTTTGTTCCATTGCTGGCGAGGAGCTGCATTCCTTTGGAGGGAGAGAGGCACTCTGATTTTTAGGATTTTCAGCTTTTCTCCTTTGTTTTTTCCCCATCTTTGTGGTTTTATCTACCTTTGGTCTTTGATGATGGTGACATATAGATGTGGTTTTGGTGTGGATGTCCTTTCTGTTTGTTAGTTTTCCTTCTAACAGTCAGGACCCTCAGCTGCAGGTCTGTTGGAGTTTGCTGGAGGTCCACTCCAGACCCTGTTTGCCTGGGTATCAGCAGCAGAGGCTGCAGAACAGCGAATATTGTTGAACAGGAAATATTGCTGCCTGATCGTTCATCTGGAAGCTTCGTCTCAGAGGGGTACCTGGCCGTGTGAGGTGTCAGTCTGCCCCTACTGGGGGGTGCCTCCGAGTTAGGCTACTCGGGGATCAGGGACCAACTTGAGGAGGCAGTCTGTCTGTTCTCAGATCTCAAACTCCATGCTGGGAGAACCACTACTCTCTTCCAAGCTGTCAGACAGTGTCATTTAAGTCTGCAGAGGTTTCTGCTGCCTTTTGTTCGGGTATGCCCTGCCCCCAGAGGTGGAGTCTACAGAGGCAGGCAGGCCTCCTTGAGCTGTGGTGGGCTTCACCCAGTTCGAGCTTCCTGGCCTCTTTGTTGACCTATTCAAGCCTCAGCAATGGTGGGCGCCCCTGCCCCAGCCTTGCTGCCATCTTGCAGTTTGATCTCAGACTGCTGTGCTAGCAATGAGCAAGGCTCTGTGGGCATGGGACCCTCTGAGCCAGGCATGTGAAATAATCTCTTGGTGTGCCATTTGCTAAGACGATTGGAAAAGCACAGTATTAGGGTGGGAGTGACCCGATTTTCCAGGTACCATCTCTCACAGCTTCCCTTGGGAAGGAAAGGGAATGCCCTGACCCCTTATGCTTCCCGGGTGAGGTGATGCCTAGCCCTGCTTCGGCTCATGCTCAGTGGGCTGCACCCACTGTCCTGCACCCACTGTCCGACAAGCCCCAGTGAGATGAACCCGGTACCTCAGTTGGAAATGCAGAAATCTCCTGTCTTCTGTGTCGCTCACACTGAGAGCTGCAGACCGGAGCATTTCGTATTTGGACATCTTCCATTTTACGTATCTTTAAGGTAGCTAATTAAAAAGTATGGATATTCCAAAATCAGTTCAAGCAACATTATTGAGCAAACTTCAGAGCAAAAGAAAGTAATTACTCTTCCTCAAATCTATTCTACGCTTTTAGTTGAGGAGCTGCCACTGATCCTGCAGTCCTGGGAGGAAACCTGGGGCCTTTTCACACTCTTCTTTTCTCATCCTTCCTCTTTCTGCTTGGTCTCTGAGTCTGCCTGCAATTCCCACACCTGCTTTCAGTCTCACTCTTGCCCTGGGCCTGGGTTGGGAGATGGTTAGAGAACAAGACTGTATGAAATATTAGAAATGTTGAAGAGGAGTGGGACTTTGGGGTTTGCTGCCCAGTGCTGCCTCAGGCCTCTTCTCCCCACATTCAGCTGCAACACTCCTTGGTCCCCTGAGGTATGGCTACAGTGGGCCTGGGTGTGGCTCAGGCCACCTCTCTGGGAAGCACAGACGTCCAGGTGGTGCTAACTGTGTAGGTACACGGATGGTATGAGTTGTGGGCACATGGCTGCCTACACCTGGATTTCAAAGGATGCCCTGAAGAGCCAAGGGTCTCAGGCAGAGAACTGCCACAGGGGTGTGGCTATGACAGATTGCTCCATAGGGCAATGCTTTGTGGTGCCAGGGAAGCAGGGCCACCCCTGAAACCCCAGAACAATAGAGTCACCCGTGTGCAACTCCAGTCTGGGAGAGTTGTGGGCATAAGACTAATGTGTGAGAGCTGTGGGACTTGGGACATGGAGTTCAAGAAGATTATTCTGGAGCCTTAAGATTTAATGTTATTTTCCCTGTTGGGATTTGGATTTGCTTGGGACCAGTTACTCTTTTCTTCCTTCCTGTTTTCCTCTTTTGGAATGGGAATGTCTATCTTATGCCTGTCCACCATTGTATTTTAGAAATCCAAAACTTGTTTGATTTTACAAGTTCCCAGCTGGAGAGCGATTTGCCTGAGGATGGATTGTATCTCACTCATATCTGATTTAGATGAGACTTTTGAGTTGGTGCTGGAAAAAGTTAAGACTTCTGGGGCTGTTGAATTGGAATGTATTTTGTATGTGAGAATGACATAAATTCAGGGGGCTAGGAGTGGAATGCTATGGTCTAAATGTTTGTCTCCCTCCAAATGTCATATGGAAACTTAATTGCCAATGCAATAATATTAATAGGGCCTTTAGAAGGTGGTTGGGTTATGAGGGCTCTGCCTCCTGAATGGGATTAGTGCCCTTATAAAAGGGTTTGAGGGAGTCTGTTTGTCCCTTCATGCCCTTCTGCCGTGTGAGGACACAGGGAGAAAGTACCATCTTGGAAGCAGAGAGTGGGCCCTTACCGGATACTGACTCTGCTGATGCCTTGATCTTGGACTTCCCAGCCTCCAGAACTATGAGAAATACATTTCTATTAATTATAAATTACCCAGTCTAAGATATTCTGTCATAGTAGCAGGAAGAGACTGAGACATGCTATGTGTACCTCCTCTCCTCTGCTTCTTCCAACTCCACCATTCGTTGGTGCCCTTCATTCACCAGCTGTCCTTCATTGAGGTCTGCTACTAGGGGAAAGCTGATTGTTTTCTTTGTTGTTGTTGTATTAAGTGAAATGGTGAAGGGTTTGAGTTTTCTGTCTGGATTGATATGGTACAAGACAGAGGCTGCAATAAGGAAGCAAAGACCAGAAACCATTGATCTCTAAATATGAATTCCTAGGCTTTTTGGAAGGATTTCGGGCTTCACAGAAAATAGAATTAGGGGTTTGAACCAGTGTAGATTTGAACCTAGATTTTGAGTGCCATGAAACCTACCCATCTCGATTATCTGGGTTATGCCAGGATTATCCTGGGCTAGGAAGGAGTCAGGGACCATCATAGAGGTAACATTTGAGCTGGGCATTCTTGAAGAATTCGGTAGGATTTTCAGTATCACAGGAAGGTATTCCAAGAGACCTGAAAGTAATGTGGGAAGACACAGAATTGAAAAAGGTCCTAGCTTGAAAGGTTTGTGACCCTTAGAGGGCAAATTGGGCCCTGCCAGGAACTCTGCCAGGAACTCTGATCCAAAATTTCTGTAGGGTTACAGTGCAGCTCTGACAATGCCTGGAACAGGCTTTCCAACTGCATTTAGAGTTGCCTTTTTAGAGTTAGCCAAGAAGTCCATTGGAAGAGTGGGGGCCGAGGGAAGCAAAATCCTGACTGTTTCAAGTCAAAAGGGGTGGCTTACTCCTTTGTCAGCAGACAGTCCAACAATTGATGGGCACCAAGCTGATGTCTGGCTGAGTGACATTAGCAGAAGCTGTTGTATCCAGACAGTCAGCATTTCAACAGCTCAGAGTGATGAGCTTGGACACAGGAAAGAGAATAACAAAGTCATTTAAAGACAAAGAGGAATCTCAGCCCAGCAGACCTAAAAGAACATCCCATTCATCACCAGGGTGGCTCTACAAAGACCAAATTACAAATAGGGTAAAAATGCTCATGCATAGAGTCTGTCCACAGTGGAGCATTCTTTACACATAGCCTGTGTTTATCAGGCAAAGCATGCTTGCCCTGCCTTCCCATTTTAAAGACTGTCTTTAAAAGTCTTCCCAACTTCCCCGTGGATTTGTCCTGAAATGAATGAAATAGTAGAGAAAAATAAATCAGAAAGGACAGGCTCTGAAATTGCAAATTGCTGTCATTACTAGGAAACAGGAAAGGGCATGTTGAAGATAGAAATATAGTAGAAAACATTTACTACCACCACTGCCTACAAGTAGCCCTCTTATCTTCGATTAAGTAATTACCACAGTGCTCAGTGAATGAGGACAGCAATTACATGCTTTATCATCCTGTCACCTCACCACCTAATGCTTCATGGTTATGGCATGTCATGGCTCTAGGCAAGCAGTGTTCCTTGTCATGTGAGATAGCATATAGAAAAGGTGGCTTTCACAACCTTGAGGCTTTTAGCCTTTCAGTTCTGTCTTCCCCAAACGTCCCTGAACAGTACAAGGCTGAGAACTCGGCACACTTGAAGGAGCCATCTGGGAAGCACCAAAGGCATGCCAAATTGCCCTAATTGTGGCAGGGTGCAGACTCTCTGGACTCATGGAAGGTCTTAATCATTAACAGATGTACAGACATTCATGGCACTTTTCCTGCACAAGTAGACTTTACAGAGATGCTTGGGTTGCCGGGCTTGTAAATTGCTGCCCCTGCCTGCCTGCCTGGCTTTGAACACTATAAACATGGAGATAGGCAGAGCTAGATAGAGGAGGAGTATGTTACCTCATTCATTTGCCTCATAATGTCACATGGCTCTTACCTGTGTTAGCAGAAAGATTTAACTTTGGCACATTTCAAAGAACCATAAAGACACTTGACTGAAAAGCCCAAACCTCAAGGCAGTCCATTGGTTTATTGCTAGGCAGTAATAAGCTGTTGTCCTTTAGAACTTGAGTTAAAATAGCTGGATAGTAAGTAGACATTCTGTCTCTGGCTTGGGGAGGAGAGTAAGGAAGAAACAAGATCGACAGAAAGTTTTCACAAAAGGAATGGCACAACACATCCCAGGACCTAATCCTCTTATGAGGGTCACCAATGGCTAGGAACTCTCTGGATTACCTCCCCACCTCTGTCCTTCTATCTGCCCTTTACACATTGAATCAGGTCTAAAGAATTAGCACTGCCCCTTACAGGGGTAGGGATGGGGACAAGCTGGAGGGGGAATGTGAGTCATCAGAAGCTTGCTATGTTTTCTAACTGGTAGATGGTCTTCAAACCTTTTAAGCCACACAACCCATCAGTAAAAACTGTTTGACAATGTACCCCTGAAATATATGTATTTATTTTTAAATTATTTACATGTACTTACTATCAGCTATCCACTTTTTTAAAATATTGATACATCTTACTTTCAGATTAAAACAAATAAAAGGTCTAATATTTTCTTTTACTTGCTCCTAATTGACCATCTTCTTTTTTTTTTTTGAGATGGAGTCTTGCTTTGTTGCCCAGGCTGGAGTGCAGTGGCGTGATTTTGGCTCACTGCAACAACCTCTGCCTCCTGGGTTCAAGCAATTCTCCTGCCTCAGCCTCCCAAATAGCTGGGACTACAGGCATGTACCACCACCCTTAGCTAATTTTTGTATTTTTAGGAGAGATGAGGTTTCACCATGTTGGCCAGGCTGGTCTTGAACCCCTGACCTCTTGATCTACCTGCCTCAGCCTCCCAAAGTGCTGGGATTATAGGCGTGAGCCGCTGCACCTGGCCTAATTGACCATCTTCTATACCCCATGTGTAGTCTAGACTCAACTTTGAAAACTACTGCTCTAACCTTTGGGTTCCCCAAGTTCCGGCTTTTTGTTGGCAAAGGAGGAAGGGGAGGGATCCACTCAGAGAAAAAAGGGGCCATGACTGCATACATGAACTATGTTCAGAGAAATCAATAAAAAAAATGAGCACTTCAAGCTCTCCCCTGGTTTGCCAATGATGACAGGAGAAGGCAATGGTATTCATGAACTCTGTGTTACCTCTCACTGAGCCTAGAGATGGCATTTAAAATGGCACAGCTCGACTAAGCCAAAGTTGATGCTGTGTCTCATTGGGCCTCATGGGTCATGAGAATCTGGAAATACACGGGCTTGTACCAGACTCTGGGGAGCAGGTTCCTGGACCACTCATTACTACCTGGGGTTATGTCACCCTCTCTAAAAGAGGAGTGAAGGTAAAGTAGAGGTTGGTGGAGCCTCCTAATCCTTCATCTTGGTATTGTGATTCCCTACACATTTCAGTGTTGTGGGATCCTCACCCCCAATCCCAGGATGGGCATGAGAGAGACTGCTCCCCTGCTGTGCATGATCTTCATGCAGTTCAGTCACATGGACAGAGGTAACCACAGCCTAGAGCCAGGACCACCACAGCCGCTGGAGGTGAACCAAACTCATTTCAAGCACCTGCTCTATGGCAGTCTCTGTGTGGGAAAAATGGAACCCAGATCCTTAAGAAGCTCTTGGGCCAGTGCAGGAGAAAGATATGCAAACACACACGTGGAGTGCAGGGGATGTCTTAGTTTGGGTTTTCTCCCAAAGCAGACTGAGTCAAATTGTTCACTTGGGAGGCATTCCTAGGAAAAATACTGAGGGCGGGTGAAGTGAAAGAAGGAAGGGAGGAAAAGTCACAAAAGAGGCATCAATGAACAGGCTGTCACTGTGGGTAACTGGGCCTCCATCCCTCAGAGAACCCCTTGAGGAATTCTGTTGAACTTTCTTTCTCAAAGTGTGGCCAGCAGCATTGGCATCACCTGAGAGCTTGTTAGAAGTGCAGCATCTTAGGCTGTACCCTAGACCTACTGAATCAGAAGTTGTTTGCACATCAAAGTTTGAGAAACATTGCCTTAAATCTTTCATCTTTGCCAAACATAACAACTTTGATACAAAACATTTTTTAAAAACTATTTTAGGACTTGGTTCCACTAAACTGGATACTTCTATAACTTTTTTGAGGTTTCCAATATTTGAAGTGCATATTAAAGTTTTTTCAGCCCTTAGAAAGCTATTTAAAATGCAACTCCATTTACCTGTACTTTATCATAATTACAACTCAATTGCCGAGACAGAAGGCTCACACAGCCAACTGTTCTGTAAAATGCAAATTTTGTATGGGAAGTATTTTCCCTCAGAGAAAAATAGAGCGGCTGTCATGTAGAAGTTATTTTTAAAGAAATACACCAAATGTCTCCTGTAATTTAATGTTTTATCAAAATTTCAGTGAATAGAATACCCTTTGTGAAAGATCAATATATATAACTCAGATGTAGCTGGACTGTCTTTACTGTCTTACATTTCTTGCCAACTGATGGGAATGGGATGTGGGTGGGAAGATGAGGAAGTCAGGAATTTTAGCCAGGAATTGCCTTCCTGGAGAGGATTTCACATGGTCTACTGATGTTCTCTTTAATCTCCACTCCTGATCTGTGTCTGACCATTTAAATGTTAGCTTGTTTGCTGTTAATGTTTAGCAAACATTATTGTGCCAGGCACACTAATGGTAGTTGTCAGCATAAAATGAGCAATAGAGAGACTGACTTTCCAAAGCAGAGAGTTTATTTGGGAAGAGCAGGAGATTGCAATCCAAGATATACATGCTATGATGGATCATAAGTGCATCCAAGGTGTTTGGGGAAAGGGGAAAGCTTTTAAAGACACAAAGGAGAAACCCACATAAGCTGTTTTGAAACAAGGACCATTGGTTATAGGGGCTTGTTGCAGGAGTTGGCATTAGCTTTTTGGTGGAGACAGCTGGTGTCAGGCAAGTATCCTTGAGCAAGTGGCTTATCTGGATTACTGCTTTGTATATTAACAGACTCAAATATGTTTAGCTTTTTGATATGGCATGAAAATGAGATGCTGAAGTATATATACTTTAAAACTTATGTTAAGCAATAATGTTTCAGTATTTTACCTTACTTGGAAATGATCTAGATTTAAATTTTAACTTAGAAAAATTCGAAGGGTATGGTTACCAAAGAAATTTGGGACACTTTTGAAAGCAGACATTTTAAAATATAATTATTGTTTAAAACTACATTTATAAACTTTTATTTCAGTTACATCTATTTAATTCACTCATTCTTAACAATTATGCTTGGAACACTCATGAAAATTACATGAGACATGAGACAAAGCTGCCATCACCTCAAGTTATTTTCCTATTATCCATCTTGACAGCACATGCATGTCAGGCAGTCATGACAATGCAAGAGCCCTAAAGTTAAGTACATGAGTATTGTTGACAACTCAGAAGACACAAATGTTCTCATTAAACTGACAATATTAAACGAGTCTTATTACAGATTTACTCAAGTCATGTAAACCTGAAAAGCATTTAGACTAGTTCCTATATTTCTAGGAATTTTAGGTATACTCATTTATCTCTAAGCCAATTTGAATAAAGCCTTTAATATTTGTAGAAAAGACCTTTACAATTTTTCATTTGCTCAATATTCAAATAGTCAAAAATCATGCCAACAAGGAAGAAAGTGGACAGAGGGGCAGAGCATATAAAGTTAGCAGGGCTTTTAGAAAAGGAATTTCAGTTGACTAAGACGTTCCCATGGGAGAAGCAAGATTTAATAGAACAGAGGGGCCTTAAAAAATGTATGCATAGCCTGAATATTAGCTTCCAGTTGACTTCTGGCCATAGTGTTCCTTAAAAAAATTCCTCCTCGGCCTGGCGCAGTGGCTTACGCCTGTAATCCCAGCACTTTGGGAGGCTGAGGTGGGCGGATCACGAGGTCAGGAGATCCAGACCATCCTGGCTAACACGGTGAAACCCTGTCTCTACTAAAAATACAAAAAATTAGCCGGGCGCAGTGGCGGGCGCCTGTAGTCCCAGCTACTCGGGAGGCTCAGGCAGGAGAATGGCATGAACCCGGGGGGCAGAGCTTGCAGTGAGCCCAGATGGCACCACTGCACTCTAGCCTGGGTGACAGAACGAGACTCCGTCTCAAAAAAAAAAAAAAAATCCTCCTCAAATGTCTTACTATCAGGTTTCATCTGTGACAAACAGCAAATATTCCTGGCAGTATTGAACTTTTTTGTTTTCCTTTCTGAGTATACAGCTTAGGAGAGAAAGCCAAACAAACAGTTCAATTCCAAACCAAAGGTGTAATTCAAACTCATTCTTACAAACGTTTTTCTCCTGAGAAGCTCTGCATTTCAATTTTATGCTGCAAACGATAGGCTGTGTGTGGATGTGTGTATGAAAATCTTGGTCTACAATCCCACACAAATTTCATTCAGATTAATGGTGGAGGAGTCAGTCTAGTCAGACACATTGTCTTTCTGAGAGCCTCACAAGAGTTACTTTTATAGATAAGAATGATGTGTGGTTAGCATAGTATTTTATGCAAATGGTAGCTTCCTCATCCAGTGTAATGCATCTTTTATTCCTTAAGAACAGATACTTCAATGGTTGAAGCTGCTATATATTTACCCAGTCCTTCACAGGTTGGTTGTTGAGGATCAAGAATAATTTCCCCCTTTTTCCTGTTTATTTTAAATAGGCAATATGTTCCTATGACTCAAAACGTAGATGGTACAAAAAGGTCTTTGGTGACAAATTTCCCTTTCACCTCAAGCCACTATCAAAGAGAAATTACACTGGATACTTGTTAAAAATGGCAAGACAGATTTTATTTGAGCTATTGCAGTAGGGAAGAGAGACTTCAGCATATAACCAAAGTCAACTCTGAATATAGCAAAGGTAGCTGGGGATTTTTAGCCAATGGACTTGGTGAGGAAATCAGTGGATAGAAAATTATTAAGAGGAACTTGATTAGATATTAAGGGTGGGGGTTCTCACTAAACTGACTTGCTAAACTTGTGTTGGCAGGCCAAGGACAAGGCCTAGTTGAGAAGAGGACTCAGAGAAGCCTGAATAATTTGGTCAAGGAGGGAGTCCATGTCACCAGCCAGCAGTGTTCCTTTCTGTGGACAACCACTAATACTGTATTTATTTTGTTTTAATAACCTCAGGTATTTTCTTTATATTAAATTATGTTAGGAAAAGTCTCATTTCAACCAGATATGATCCAATCTTACTATTTGTTTAGGGAAACTTTGGTTCTAGAAAATGCTGCCCTATTCACCAATTCCATTTAGGGCCTCATTTTCTTGGGTATAAAGTGGGATTGCTGTGAACTTCCTCAGAGATTGTAAAGATATAATTGATGTATAAGGACTCAGCAGCACCTGGCACATGGCAGGCATCTAATGATTGAGATTGCCCTTCCTCCCTTTCCCTGTTGCCAAATGGGCTGTTTTCCCAGCTTTTCCTGGGCCTCTTGTTTGAACCACAAATTTTGGTGCCCTAGCAGTCCTTGGTGCTTGTGATGGAGATCTGTTTCCCTGCCATCTGTCTTTGTCTGACAAGCTGCATGTGAGTTAGTGCTGCTCACATGCTCTGCACCTCCATTCCATGCTGCTGCTCAGCAGCAATGTCTGCAGCCTGAGATTTCCTTAGTGAATATTCTCAACTTACTCCATACTTTGAAAAAAATAGCTTTACCTGTGTCACATGACATTGCTAGTTGTGGTTCACTATGTGCTTTAAATACTAATTATCCTGGAAGTTGAATGTATGGAATATTACTTGAATTATGTGGAGAGTACAGTAGCTAGTGTTTGGCTGGGTTGTTGTTCCATGAAGGATACATTCTTTCTCAGATTCCTCTTTGCCTAGCAGTGCAGTTAGAGACAGTCCCTACTTTTGAGTGGAGGGGAAAGGTTTGGGCTTTACAGTTTTGAGGGAGCTTCCTTTAAATCCCGGCTCCCTGGCTTTCTAGCTTTTCCAAGCATTAGCTTCCCTAGGATAACCCAGGTGCAGGTGGAATCTCTTAAAGCAAGTTGGTTGCCCTCCACCTTGCTCCTAGGTCGGAGGTTCTCAAAGTGTGCTCCCTAGATCAGCAGCATCAATATCACCTGAAGTTTGTTAGAAATGTAAATGAGAAACATTGAGGTGGAGGCTGGGTGCGGTGGCTCATGCCTGTAATCCCAGCACTCTGGGAGGCCGAGGCAGGCAGATTGCTTGAGGTCAGGAGTTCAAGACCAGCCTGGCCAACATGGTGAAATGTTGTCCCTACTAAAAATACAAAAACCAGCCGGATGTGGTGGTAGGTGCCTATAATCCCAGCTACTCAGGAGGCTGAGGCAGGAGAATCGCTTGAACCTGAGAAGCAGAGGTTGCAGTGAGCTGAGATTGCACCACTGCACTCCAGCCTGGGTGACAGAGGGAGACACCATCTCAAACAAAACAAAACAAAAACCCGAAACATTGAGGTGGAGCCCGGCAATTTGTCTTTCAACAAGCTGGAATGTTTGTTGTTCCAGAGATTCCTTCAACAAGAATCTTTGGAAAGATGATTCTGATGCACTCTCATGTTGGGATACTGGCTTTACTGCATAAAGCCACCAGGCAGAGGCTCTTGGCTTCTGTTAATATTTTCATATATTCATTTATTTTAGGTTAGTGGAAGGTTCGTATTCATATTTGGGGATGACAGGGGTCAGTGTCTGGCTTGAGTGCTCTGGGCATGCCAGCCTTAAAGATGCAACAACCTCCACTGAGCCTGCAAAAGACTGAGAGAGTCACTGCTTCCTGCTCAGCTATACAATCCCCCTGGAGGTTGACAGGGGCTTCTCCATTGATGTCCAGGTTTACCACTAGGGTCTAACTCAGGGTTCTCAGCCTCACCACTATTGACATTTCAGGTTAATCTTCGTTGTAGGGGGCTGCTATGGTTTGAATGTCTCCCAAAGTTCATGTGTTAGAAACTTAATCCCCAATGCAATAGTATTGAAAGGTGAGAACTTTAAGAGCGTTTAGGTCATGAGGGTTCTGCCCTTATGAATGGATTAACATTGTTATCATAGGAGTAGGTTCATTATTATAAGAGTGGGTTTGTTATAAACGTGAGTTTGGCTTTCTCTTGCTCTCTCTCATGCATGCTTTCTTACCCTTCTGCCTTCTGCCATGGGATGACACAGCAAGAAGGCCCTTGCTAGATGCAGGCCCTTTGACCTTAGACTTCCCAGTTTCCAGAACTATAGGAATACAGTTTTTTCTTTGTAAATCACCCACCCAGTCTGTGTTATTCTGTTATAGCAACATGAAATGGACTAAGACAGGGGCTGTCCTATGCATTGTAGGATGTTTAGCAGTATCCCTGTTTTCTGCCCACTAGATGCCAGTGGCAGCACACCCTTAGTTGTTACAATCAAAAATGTCTCCAGACATTGTCAAATATTCCCTGAGGGGCAAAAATCACACTGTACCTCCCTTTGAGAACTGCTGGTTTACTTGGGTGACCACTTGATTGGGTGACCACTTGAGTGGAGGTAGTCACTGGGAAATTCTGTTGTCTGGACAACTTGCAATGGAGGGGAGAGCAGTATAACTGGAAGGAAGGTATTGAATCTTGGCCCCTCCAGTTACTAGCCACATGACTTCTTTCCCTATCCCCTACTCACTCCTAGTCTCCCTTAACCAAAAAATTGCACACACACAATCTTTATTTTCA
This sequence comes from Homo sapiens, assembly GCF_000001405.40. NCBI lineage: Eukaryota > Metazoa > Chordata > Mammalia > Primates > Hominidae > Homo > Homo sapiens. Next base: position 40,260,311 of record NC_000003.12, on the reverse strand, counting down.
TAAATGACTTTTACTTATCATTTCTCTTGACAGTAATTCTTGGCAATGTGCATATAACATGAAGGGAAGCATAACTTTCAGAAGTCATCAAAGATATTATCCTGTTGTCCTCATTTTCTTAAACCATTAAAATATTTTCATTTATAAAAATTAATCTAAATATAAATATTGACACTAAAGATCAAAATCACTTGATGACAAAATAATTCTTCTGGAACTATAACATATGCTTATGGTTTTTAATAGTAAATTAAATCTTTGCACTTATTTGGCACAAGGAAACCTTTATAAAAGTTCAGATGCCACACAGCAGGCTGCTGCTGCTGCTTCTTTTTTGTTGTTTTTTGTTTGCAAGGCTTACACAGTACACATTTTTGTCAAAGAAAACTGAATATTTTTAACACTGTAACACAACAATAGTTGCTTTTCATGCCTCTTAAAGAAAACATTCTATTCGGAAGTCAAATCTTTTTTGTTGTGTTCTTAAAATTTGTTTTTGTTTGTTTGTTTTGCTTTGAATCACACCAACAGAACAAAAAGCCAAAGATTTACTTATTTCAAAGGAGTCATTTCTGTTAGATGACACATAACACAGCATCAGCAAGGAGTACTGGAAGATTAATGTAGACCCCCATCAGGAGTGGATCATAGCACACAAGTTAGCAGAAAATCAGATCTGGAAATGCACATAGCAGCAAAATAACGTAGAGGTTGAAAACAACAGAGTTAGGCTTTTGTGATGCATTCCAATCATAATTAGCATAAAGGTGTGGCTTTGGCAAATTAATCTCTCTGGCCTTCAGTTATTAAATCTGAAATATGGGAAAACCTATTGAATAAGGTTGCCATAAGGATTCAAATGAGAAGAACATTGCCTCCTTCAGAGCAGGCACTTAACACATATTCATCATAACTATTCTCTTGCCTCCTTTCTTTTACCTTCTTCCTAAGATTCAGACTATATCAGGAACAAACATAAAAGAAGGTTGTTAATGCCCAATTAATTGAGTGAAAGTTCAGTTCCATTATCTCTTATAAACACTCTAAATAGTCATACATTTGATATGGGTTCAAAGAAACCACAGACATGGAGTTAGAGTCAATTCTTGTGTCCATTAAATGCACAGTTTGTCCTTGAATTTTTTATACCTATAAATTTTCTAAGGCTATTCCCTAATCATTTTTATCTTTAAGGTCATTTTACTACTTTGCTGAATATTTATTGGGAAGTAAATTTGGAGTACAAAAATTTTCTCATGTGGTTTTTCTCTGCGATAATTCATTTACCTAAACTTTGTTTAGATGTGATCACTGCTAAACCACATCATGTTGACTCTGGACAGTGCCCTAAAGTTGAGCCAGTGATGGTCTTTCTCAAGACCCTTTCCCCTTCAGATCTGGGCAACTGTCAGTAAGCCCATGGAAGAACCCTAAATTCTTAATGAGACATTGTTTCAGATAGCCCTGGGCATGGCATGAGTGAGTCAGAACTTCTCATCCTGTGGCTTGTGATTGCAAAGCGATGGGAATGACTGGTAGTGTGGTAGGCTAAGCTTTTAGCAGGAAGGAGGTGGCTGAAGGGAGACCTGCAGTCTTGATGGTTGAGCAATCCCCAAATTAGACTGTCCCTAGTGCTCACTGCAGGGACTTGCTTTTCCCTTAGGATTTGCAAGACAAAGATGCTTGTGAGAGATTAATAAGCATTAATGATGTATTAAATAATAATTCCCACCTTCCTCCCTCCACCTCCCTCCAGCAGTTTTCCTTTGGACAAATTGTTGACATGGAATACTAGCTGAATCAAATGTATTTAAAAAAAGATCTTAAAGTCAACATACAGTAGCAAAGCAAACAGGGAAAATATGTATCTTAAACATGGAGCGCTGCTGTTGGAAGCCAGTGTCTTCATTTTCTGTCTTGGATTCCCCTGGGAGCCTAAGGCAGAGAGTGGGCAAGACCGCAGTGCTGAAGTCTGAGACGGCTTTCTGGATGAGGTATCAGGACAGCCCTGTGCAATGGTGCACTGTGGCCTCCCCAGGCCTTCTCCTCAGGTGGAAATACATACAGTACTCGATGGCTGTTGGGTCAAGGCACTGTCGTGTACGGCCGGAGGCAGTGGGTCACTGGCAGTGGAATTCCATGGTGTCAGTACATCACAGCTGACTCCAGAGCAGGCTCCTGAGGTGAGACATTGAACACACTCCCATCAGCCACTTGGGAAGAGTGAGAAGAAGCAATGAAAAATAATGTTTACTGCTTTTTAATATCAAAAGCTATTCATGCTTTTTGACCAGTTAGATGTTTCACAACATTTAGAAACTGATGTCATTTTTAAATGCATGCTTCTTAATCCACCTGAAATTAATTTTGGTATTTGGAATAAGGTAATGATCAAATGTGCCTTCTTTCCCACTACCATCCCAATGTCCAGTATTCCAAGCACAGTGTTCTTGTTTAATAATCCATACCTTCTTTACTAGTTTCTAAATCTTTTATAAAGATAATATAACACATTCTCATATGTGGTTGTATCTATTTCTGGGCTATTTATTTCATTAATGATCAGTTTCATTTCAGCTTTTAATTTGTCTTAAAATCTGGGAGGAAAATCTTTGTAATTTTGCAAAGTGCTTTTGTCTATTCTTTCTGATTTATTATTATATGAACTTTAATTCAAGGAAAATTTCACCGAGTTTTTTATGAAAATTGGATTAAGCTACAAATTAATTTGGGAAGAAATGACTTTTCTTATTGAACTGTTGATGTGATTTATTAAAATCCACTTATGCCTAGTGTTCCATTATTGGAATGCTAAGCATATGAGAGTTATTTATATCCTACTGCTCAAGGTCATCACCAAGGTCTGATTTTTCACTCATGCAAAAATTCAAAAAACTGCAATCTCCAGCATAAATGGGATTGATATCACAGTATTTAAGCTATCCTTGCATTCCCACAAAACCTACCTGTTATTTTTTCATTCATTCTTAGAGACAGGGTCTCACTCTGTTGCTCAGGCTGGAGTGCAGTGGTGCAATCATAGCTCACTGCAACCTCAAACTTCTGGGCTCAGGGGATCCCCGCCTTAGCCTCTCCAGTAGCTGGGACTACAGGCATATGCCACCATGACTGGCTAACTTTTTATTTTTTGTAAAGACAGGTCTCACTATGTTGCCCAGGCTGGTCTTGAACTCCTGGCCTCAAGTGATCCTCCCACTTTGGTCTCCCAAAGTGCTGGAATTATAGGTGTGAGCCACCTTGCTTGGCCTACTGTAATTTATTACTGAATGCACTTCTCTTTAATTGGCTAATATTTTATTTCATATTCTTCATCTCTGAAGAAGTACAACTGGTGTAACGATTTTTGTGTGTCTGTATGTGCCTGTGTGTGATGGGCACAGAACATGTATACATGCTTACCAGCCACGGAGCAGGCTTTCATGATTGAGGTTATGATAGCTTCACAACATGAATCTTTTAGTTTTCAATATTTTGATGACCTGGAATATTTTATATGGTATGGGAATTGTTCCTTAAAAAAAAAATCAGCAAAATCATTTGGCCACAGAATGTTTTTGAAAGGTTTAATAAATTTTAAGTTTCTTTTTATTTCTTAAGTTAGTTTTTGCTATTTTTCTGATTTGATTCTGATTTGACTAGTATTGATTCTAAATTTATCAGAATAGTTTTACATCACATTGTATATATAAAAAATTGACATCCTTTTATATAATCTAGTTTGCAGTTTTTTTATGTGACTTACAAAATATTTTTTTTTTCAAATAACTTCTAGATGTAGATGTAGAGAGATCATTTCTATAATTTCTGGTCTTAATTAAATGTTTTTTGGGTTTATTTTTGATGTCGGGAATTTTCTTTAACAAGGAACAAAATATTTAATATTATAAATTTGACGCAGTGTAGTTTTATATGTATCCTATTTGCTTTGATATATGTAATGTTTTCATTTTGTAAGTAAGTGCCCTGTGGATTTTTCTAATTCAGTAGTTATTTTGAAGTGTGTGTGTTGCATGTGTATGTGTATGGACAGTTGTGTATATGAGTACAAGTGCTTTTTAACTTCTAAGTAGGGTTTCTGTTTTTTAACTTTTGTTCTGATTTTCTAGATTGGCCCTGTCCAACATGGTGGCCACTAGCTACATGTGGCTATTTACATTCAGATTAACTAAAATTTAAAAATCAGTTCCCTCAATGCAGTAGCCACATTTCAAGTGCTCAGTAGCCACACGTGGCTAGTGGCCACTGTACTGGTCACTGCAGATATAGACCATTACCCTCATTACACAAAGTTCTATTAGACAGCACTGCCCTAGATTATGTTTGGCATTGTTATCATAGAGGGTTTGTTTACTTTTTGGAATTTATTGAGGTATTCTTTGTGATTTGGTATAAAGTCAATTTTTATAAATGGTCCATTGATGCCTGGAAAGACAGTGAATGATCTATAAAGCATAGTTAGATAAACATCTTAATTAAAGCTTAACAGTTACACTATTCTCTAATTTGTATTTATTTATGGGTTATTTGGGCTGTCAAAGGCTGATAAGGGAGTTTTAAAGTCACCAACCGTTGCACCATAAATTGTGTTGCTCTACTATCTGCCAAATCAATCAAGAAAGGCTCATGACTTAACTACTTTATTTTATCAAAATTTAAACATCTTTCCTCCTTGTTTTCTCTCAATGCTTTTTATCTGGAATTCTCCTTTCTTTGAAAGTAATTATTTCTGCCCTATTTTGCTTTTATTTGTTTAGTAAATATTGTCTGTTCTTTCGTTTTTAACCTTTCTGTGTTACTTTAAGGTAATTTATTTTTATTTTATTTAAAAAACATATTGAGGTGAAAGCCACATAACATAAAATAAACCATTCTAAAGTGAACAATTTGGTGGCACTTAGTATGTTCACGAGGTTGTACAACTACCACCTTTATCTAGTTTCAATAAATTTCTGTCACTGTAAAGTAAAACCCCTTACTCATTAAGGAGTTTCTTCCTGTTCCCCCTTCCCACAACCTCTGGCAGCCACCAATTCATGTCCTGTCTCTATGAAAGACAATTTATTTTTAACTTTCTTATTTGTAACCAATTCCTTCCCTGACACTAGTGGTCTGCCCTTTTAGTGTGATAATGCATCTTTTTCCGCTCTGTGAACTAATGGTCAGAAGCAAGGGAATTAGACTTTAAAAGGTCAGGGTTAATGGCTGACCAATGAAGAGAAGGCAGTGAGTAGAGCTATTGCCATGTAATGCCTGAGAGTAACTTTTATTTCAAAAGGATGTATCCACCATTATGCCATTACGTGGTGCTTCTATCCTCATGAGACAGGGACAATGATAGGGAGGAAGAGGAAGGGAGGAATGGGTGAAGGATAAAAGGTAACAAAATAAATTTGTCCTTGTTTTAGTCTTGTCATCTCAGACATGATCTGCCCTCCGCTTAACTGGTATCACTGAGGCAGCTTAGTTAGATGATAATTTTCTATGTAAGCAGCATCAAGCATTTGCCAAAATTTTGACATGTATGTTGGTTTTGTGAAAGGAAAATAAATCTGGGGGGGTTCCCAAATTGCTAAGCTAAAGGGAAAAGTCAAGCTGAGAACTGGGTCATGCAAGCCTGCCTCTCCTTTCAGTTCCTAAATAAGATGGCTACAAGATGAAAAGCTATATGCCTCCCCCATATTTTGCCCACATGGAAATTCCTAGTGAGCTCCAAGATCTGTACCCTAAGGTGTTTCTGTTAAAATTTCACCATAGCAATGCAAATTGATAGCTTATCTTTACAGGTGCAGTCACCCCGCCCCCACCCCCCCCAGACACAAATGAATATCTGATTGTTCTCCTGCCCCACTCTTTCTATATTATCTGCTGTAAAAATGCAGATTCCCTGCATTATTCCTCTGCCCCATTTGTCTGTGTCACCTGATGTAAAAAAAAATGCAGATTCACTGAGCCAGACAAAGGCATGAATGACTATTTTTCCCTACCCTCCTCTTACATGAAAATTGTGTACTTCTCAATAGCCTGCCCTTTCCCTTTTAAATTTGGAGCCCTCAAAATCACCTTCGGAGAAAGGCATAGACCTGTCTCCTGTGTGCACATCCTTAACTTTGGCAAATAAACCTCATAAAATGATAGGGACTTGTCTCGTTATTTTTCTCGATTGACAGTTTTTAAGCAAAAGAGCCAACAGTCCTTTCTGTATAATTTCTAGAGTTCATGCAAATTATTTACTGTCTCTTCCTTTGCTACATTTAGGAGTAGCTGCTGACTTTTTTCAGGAACACAGCATTAATGGCTAATGAAAAATTTAAGGAAGAGTGAATATGGACTGAAAACAGAATAAAAATTGTTACACCTCAACCAGACCTTAATCTTCCATTTACATATTTTCATTTCTCTTATATCAAACCTGCTTCCTCCAAGGAGCTAGAGATACAGTTGAGAGGATATACCCACATATTAAAGAGGTATATAGCAGGTAGGATGTTACTCACTTAGTTGTAGAACCCCCGTCCCTACTGCTAAACGAACCCTTAATAGCGGCTACACTGTTAGGATGTCCTGATCCAACATCGAGGTTGTAAACTCTATTGTCAATACTGATTCTAGAATGGGATTGCGCTGCTATCCCTAAGGTAACTTATTCCGTTGATCAAATTATTGGGTCAATGTGTATTAACTCACTAAGACTAGTGCGATCTTAGTTTAGGTTGTTTGGAGGTTGAATTATGCTCCAAGTTCACCCCTACCAAATTTTTTAATGCAGGAATAGTAGGCTAGGGCCTGTAGGCTTGTTTGAGTTTTTATTTGCATTAATGAATTAAAGCTCCATAGGGTTTTCTCGTCTTATTTGTTTATATCCGCCTCTTCACGAATAGGTCAATTTCACTGATTAAAAGTAAGAGACAGCTGAACCTTCATATGGCCATTCATACAAGTCCCTATTTAGGGAACAAGTGATTATGCTACCTTTGCACGGTCAGGATACCGCGGCTGTTGAACATATGTCACTGGGCAGGCAGTGACTCTAATACTGGTAATGCTAGAGGTGATGTTTTTGGTAAACAAGCGGGGTAAGATTTGCTGAATTCCTTTTACTTTTTGTAATCTCTCCTTAGAGCATACCTGTGTTGGGTTAACAGTGTAAATAATAGGGTGCTTATTATATTGGTTATTAATATTAGGCTGTTAACTGTCAGTGGGTTATTCTGGTCTGATGTAAGCTTATGCAATGGAGAATGTCTTCATGTTACTTACATTAACATTATTGCTTCTATTAAGTAATAGATTAGTCCAATGTGATGTTAGGAGTTCAGTAGACTGATTAGAATTTAAGATAGTTAGCTGTTGAGCTTAAACGCTTTCTTAATCGGTGGCTGCTTTTGGGCCAACTATGGTGGTAATATTTTTTACTCTCTGTAGGAAGGTTGTTTCCTAGGGTCTAAAGAGCTGTCCCTCTTTAGACTAACAGTTAAACTTACAGGGAGATTAAGTAATTCTGTGGGTAAGTTTAAAGCTGAACTAAGATTCTATCTTGGACAACCAGCTATCAACAGGCTTGGTAGGCTTGTGACCGCTACTCATGCATCTTCCCACTATTTTGCCACATAGGTGAGTGTGCTCTTTCAGCTGTTCTTGGGTAGTTCATCTGGTTTCGGGGGACTTGGCTAAAGTTCTCTGTGTATAGTTATTTCTAGTTAATACATTATGCAGAAGGTATAAGGGCTTGTCTTTGCTTTTTAGTGCTTGATACAGTTCTTTCATCTTTCCCTTACGGTGCTATGTCTATTGTGCCAGGGTAAAAATTTCTATCGCCTATACTTTTGTCTAAGGTAAATGGTTTAAGATAGTTGATAATATTTTTAGCAAGGTTTGGGGCCAGAGTTGGCTCAAAGTGATTAGGTCATGATGAAATCTTCTGGGTGTAAGCCGGATGCTTTGGGTTAAGCTACATTTTGGTATGTCCAAGTGCAATTTCCAGTACACTTACCATGTTACGACTTATTTCCTCTATACTTGCGTAGAAAGTTATTAGTAATAGTGATTTCTAGAGTAACAGTTGAGGAGGGTGACCGGCGGTGTGTGTGTGCTTCATGGCCTTATTCAACCAAGCACTCTGCTCTTGGTTTACTGCTAAGTCCACCCCCCAGTCAAATCCAACAGACCATAAGACCACGGAGGAAGGATACTTTTTGGGGGTTCTGATGCGGGAGCTACAGAAGGAAAGGCTGCAGAGTGGAGGTACCATCAACAGTGAAAGCGTTGAACATTAAGACAGAGATGACATTTACCATCAAATCCTTGGTGGTGCCTTTCCTTTCCTTAGTCCTGTTTGTTGAGGAGCCTTGGAGAATGAAGTTGTGGTTAAATGTTTTAATGGTAGTCACTGAAGATGTCTCAATTTTTTCAGCTAAAAGGAAATAAATGGGAAAAAATGTTACCCAGAAGATGGACTGATTGATTGTTAAGGAAAAAACAAGGTGGCCAGATTACTCAGACTTTTGTTCTAGACTTGGAATCTCATTCCTGTACTGTGTTTGATTGACTATGGGATCTTTTTGTTTTGTGTTTATTTTTATGATGGACAAATAAGTCAGGGCATCATTGATAGCTTTCTGTGGAACGATAGCTCAGAGATAACCCAGTACAGTTCATAAATACTTATGTGCAGTCCTGAAATAGAAAAGGTTCTAAAACTTGCAAATTTTTACAACTTTGGAGCCAAAAGAATCTGATTATAAAACCTGACCTGAACTGACATGAGGCCATTTAATGTCCTTGTCCATCTCATGGAGTGCAAATGTTTTTGTGCTCTGCTGTAAGGATATTCATGTGTTTGTTTGATTTTCAGATGCTGCCTAGATGCCATGGGGGGTGTAAAGAAATATACAGCACGTGTACTATATTACCTTTCTAATGCCCAAGAAATTATGAAGCACATAGGGACCCAAGGGTTTCAAATAAAGGACTGTGAATCTGTGATAAATTTTAACTGCATACAGTTTTGTAGATTATAAACATTCAATAAATGTTTGTTAAATGATCAATAGCAGAACCAAGGCCCAAATGCACATTTTTGGACTTTCTCCTCCTCTAATTTGTAAATCTAAATTTCTAGTTTGGTATCACCCTTTTGTGGCTTCTGAACCTGGGGCATTTGTTGAAAATGTCCATTAGATAAAGGCGACATGACTGGCATTGCCAGATCATTTCTAGATTGGACACTGTGGCAGATACTTTTGGTGTTCTGTTCACTTCTCTTTGACAGTCACCATTCCAGCATATTCCAACAGATCCTACAGCAAGTACCACCACTCTGTCTTGGCTCATGCATGGGGCAGGTCAGAAGTACCAGGGAGTTAATACCTCTAGAAGTAACTCTCAGCCAGAGATGGATGGGAGTTTTAGAACAAATATCCCATCTCCCTGCCCTTTGGGCAGAAAACTCTGAGGTGCAGCCAACATTGTCTCCCAGAGGTCACCAGGAGGACTTAGCTTTATTTGCCCAAAGAAATAACTCCTAATTCAAGTACCCTGTATTGACTGACTTAATTTCTTTCTCTGAATCATTTATCTTCTTCTCTAGCAGTGCACCTTCCAAACAAGCTACTTTCACTCCTATCCTTGTCCCAGGGTTTGCTTCTGGGGGGACCCAAATCAAGATAGACAAGAGCAATTCTGTGTGAGAACACTCCATTAGATCTAATTCTCAAACTCAGGTCTCTTTGTTACCCAAAGTAAATGATTCAGGCTTAATTTTTTGGTAGCTTTGTGGTTTTAATTTAGCATACCTTTCACCGGTGGAGCAGGCAGTTTCCTCCTTTGCTGCCTTGATGTATCTATGGTTTGTACCTACAAACAGAACACAATGAGCAATATACCTTTGCAGAGCCAAAGATATTTTGTCTTCTAAATTTTCCAAGCCATGTAACATTCCAACAGAGGGAGAAAGGGACAAACACACCTGGGTCCTTTGCTTCTGATCCCGTCTTCTTGTGAAGCGCACACATGGTGCTATGTTTAATCCTGCAATGGTCAGGGCTGAAATCCGGCTCTCAATATCTGAAATCTTAAAGCAACAGAAAGACAAGATTGGCAGGGAGAAAATACGGAAGGGGAAAATATTTCTTAAAAGTGTTAAGAATTTATAAAGACAAATCTGCTTTGATGTATGCTCATTCATTCATTCATTCATTCAACTTCTACCAAACACTCCTCTATCTAGTGTGTAGCAAGAAAATAAAACACAGGCCTTTCTTTATAAGTTTAAATTTCTAGTTTGTTAGCTCTAGAGCATGTCAACAATCCTGTCAGAGTATGCCTGGGGATAAATGAAAGCCTGGGGACACGATGGGGACCCTGGCCCGGGGCCACCTGGCTCAGCATGGGGGTGAGAAGTGGTCAGGGAAGTCATAGGATTTATATGTCCTGTTATAGTCATTTATATGTCCTGCTTTCTTCTTCCATAACTTCATGAATCCAAAACCACAGCACCAGGTTTTAGAAGGGAGGCCTAGCGGTCCCTGGTTCAAGTCCATCTCCTCCATTAAGAAGCCAACCAGCCTTGAGAAACTCTCTCCCCTCTCTGGGCATCATTTTCCTAATTTGTAACATGGGAAGGTCAAGAGAGAGCTCAGATTTTCTTTCAGCAGAGTCTGAATGCAGAAATGGAAAGTAAGAACCCACTTAGTGCCCAGAGAGAACCCTGGTCCTCCCCTGTCTCCAGAAATGAAGATATTGTCCCTGCTCTTAGAAAAGGGCATTATTATGTGCCAGGAACCATGCTAAGTGTTTTAAATAATTCTATGAAGTAAGTACCATTATCTTGGTTTCACAGATAAGGAAACTGGCTCAAAGGGACAAGTGATACACCCATCATCTCACAGCCAATCTGGGCAGTGCATGGAATTCATGTCAGTGGCCATGCTCTCGTCACATTGCCACAGTCTGAGAGGATGTGCCAACACCCGGTATGGGGGACGCTGGAAAAGGCAGGGAAAGGCTAGCAGAGTCAAGGGAAGAGGTCAAGATTCTGCTGAGATGGTACATTCTGAGTGTTGTTAGGGAATCAGACAATAAGCTGATGGTAGACCCTAGCCAATGTGTGTGTGTGCTCCACACATGAGGTCTCCATTGCCTCTCAGCCCTCCACAATTCTGTGCTACTCAAGACAAATTTGAATTCTGCTGTCATTTACTGAGGGCTTCTTTGAACAAAGTCTACTGTGATAGGAGCTATAGGAGGTACACAGAAAGATTGAAGGGTCAGCAAATTTGGAAGATGCATCCCCTACCCCTGAGGGGTGGCAGTCATGGTCAGAAAAGGAGGAGGAGGTAGGTGAAGGCCAAGTCTGTGGCAGCTGGTAAGAGAATTACAAGCTACCCAGTAGCCAGCCCCAGAAGGCACCACTTGAGTCCTTCCCTTCCTGGTCCCCAGATGCCTTTCTGTTCTTAATCTTCAAATTTCACATTAAGAACTGCATTCTTTTGGTTTATGAACCAACAAATTACACAAGCCTCTGAGAAAAGTTGCAGGCTAAGCTTTTACCAGTCATAAGCAACTGGTGTGGATTAGATGCTCACATTCTTCCCTGGAAGCAGTTTTGATGGAGGGCCTTGCTCAGAGGGCCCTGGGAAAGACAAGGTCAATGGGAAAGCAAGCTGCTGACCTCTTCATTTGTGGACTATCAGGTTCTGGAATAAGAAAGGGCTAATTTTTCAGGTTTCAGTCCATAGGACAAAGGACAAAGAAAGAGGAGGCTACTGAGGGCTGATTTTGCCTGTATCTTCTCTCTCTATATAATTATGTCCCACTTCTAGAACTGCATGTCCAAGGAGCTATACATTTGCTAGAAGGGGATGACCAATTCAGCTCTGAGTTTCCTGGGAGCCAAAGCCAAGAGCTCCATGTCCACAAGATCGAAGACCAAGTACTCAGAAGAACAGCTTTTCCTGATACTAGGAGTTAAGAGAAGCTTTCTCCAGGAACTCTCATAGAGACAACTTGCATGATGCAGTGGACAGCACCCTTAGCATGCTCCACAAGGGTCATTCTGCAGTCTCTTTCAGCACTGGATAACGGCACTCTGTCTCAAAAGTAGACTCTAAGTAAGTTGATAGCATCCTTAGACTCTGTCCTAATATTACCAAGAACACAATTTAGCATATGTGCCCCCCTCAATGGGGACCCTCCTACCATCCTGCAAGAAATCCTCTGTGAAACTAGACTTTGGGTGAGAACAGACAACAGGGAGTTGGAGGCTTCATTCTCTGGCACCAGTTAGCCTGGTGGGGAGAATTTCCGCATGCCTGGCGGTGCAGTTGAGATAATCCACAAAGCTGAAGGCAGGGTCAACAACCTCCCATGCCATGCAAGTTAAGGACACCTAGGCAAGTGCGTGTATGCCTGAGGGCAGGACCAACACATTTCCCAGGAAACCACACAGCACAGACTGGTTAAGAATGTGAGCTGTTTGGCGCTGGATCATGCCTGTAATCCCAGCACTTTGGGAGGCCAAGGCTGGTGGATTACTTGAGGTCAGGAGTTTGAGACCAGCCTGACCAATATGATGAAACCCTCTCTCTACTAAAAATACAAAAATTAGCTGGACGTGGTGGTGCGTGCCTGTAATCCCAGCTACTCGGGAGGCTGAGGCAAGAGAATCACTTGAACCCAGGAGGCGGAGGTTGCAGTGAGCCAAGATTGTGCCATTGCATCCCAGCCTGGGCGACAGAGTGAGACTCTATCTCAAAAGAAGAAAAAGAGTGTGGGCTATGAGGTCACGAAATTTGGATTAAAATCCCGGTTTTATCACTTTCTAGGTATTTGACCTTGGGTAAGTTTCCTCAGATATAAAAGGAGGATAGTAGCAGTAGCTCACTTATGGGGTTGCTGAAAAAAATAAATACAATAATGTGGTAAACCATTAAGGACAAATACCTAGTACAAAATAACGCTCACAGAACATTGGGAATTATTGATAACATTATTGTAATATTTAAAAATAAATGAAAAATTAATAGGCACACATTTAAACACATGGAAAATGGACATTTGGAACTCTAGAGTTTTCTGCCATAAAACATGGCTACAATAATTTAAGTCTAGAAAAATGTGGAAGGGGGAATAACTATCCAATAAAGGGGGAATAATTATCCAATAAAATCCTCCCAAACACCCATAAATATTACTTCCTGCAAAATCATTCAAGAAGTATTTGCTACACAATGTAACAGAAAACAAGTGATTTGATTCTACTTAATATATCTTTGACAATAAATTGATTAAGTCTTGGGTGAAATTTATGGAAAATAATTTTTTTTTAGGAGAATTGCTGTTCAGCCATTCTTACTGATAATAGTCAACAGGGCCATCTATCTGATAAGCTCATTTCTAGTTCACAGCATTGACCCATCCACAGAGTGGAGAATTGTGCCCTTTCATTCTCTAGAGTGGTTAATGATGTCAGGAGTTGTATTTTTGACTCAATAAAGTGAAAATATTTACTTTTAAAATAATTACCACCTGAGAGTGTCATTGTCTCTGTGAAATGAAAATAAAATCTCGGGACCCCCAATTCACTATGCCAAAAGGGAGAAGTTTGGAAGCTGAGTCACAACCCCCTCCTCCCTGTCCCCCAAAACTGCCTTTCCTTCTTTTGTTCCTAAACTGATAGCTACAGATAGAAGGCCACATGTCTTCACAGCTTCCGTCACCCTCACAATGTAAATTAATAGCTTATCTTCATGGGTTACAGGACAAGAGGAGACTAGAAATTGTCCCCTCACCCACCTGAAAATAAATGCATATTTGACTGCTTCCTCTCTTCTGTTTACTTTTACTTTATCTTATGTAAAGCACAGATTTACTGAGTGCAAGATGAATACATAGTTGACCATTCCCTTTACCCCTCCTTTTCATGTGCAATGGGCAGATTCACAAGAATGTCACCAAACCCTTCCTCTTTCCCTCCATCTATTTCCGCTCCTGCCCACTTTTCCCCTTTAAATATTGAAACCCTCAAAATCCTGTTTGGAAAAAGTGTGAGCCACAGATCCTACTGTGGTTTCTGTCTCTTTTTTTCTGGGTGCATCCTAAATCTTGGCCGAAAAAAAAACCCTCTAAAATGATTGAGACTCACTTCAGTCATTTTCTTTGATTTATGTCTCTATCTAGATATGGTTTTATTGACGACCACAGTTCTCCCAATGATTCAGTTTTAAGATGCAGGATCTATTGCAGTGGCTCACACCTGTAATCCCAGCAGTTTGGGAGGCCAAGGCGGGTGGATCGCCTGAGGTCAGGAGTTCGAGACCAGTCTGGCCAACATGGTGAAACCCCCGTCTCTACTAAAAATACAAAAAAAAAAAAAAAAAAATTAGCTGGGTGTGGTGGCGTGCACTTGTAATCCCAGCTACTCAGGAGGCTGAGGCGGGGAATTGCTTGAACCAGGGAGGTGAATGTTGCAGTGAGCCAAGATCATGCCACTGTACTCCAGCCTGGGTGACAGAGTAAGACTCTGTCTCAAAAAAAAAAAAAAAAAATCAGCAAACCAGGGGTCTATACTGAACTCAAGCTGCAGAGACGAGTGTCTCTCAAACTTGAGTAACACATGGAGCCCTTTTTTTTTTTTTTTTTTTTGGAGATGGAGTCTCACTCTGTTGCCCCAGGCTGGAGTGCAGTGGTGCAATCTTGGCTCACTGCAAGCTCTGCCTCCCGGGTTCATGCCATTCTCCTGCCTCAGTCTCCCAAGTAGCTGGGACTACAGGCGCCCGCCACCACTCCCGGCTAATTTTTTTGTATTTTTAGTAGAGATGGGGTTTCACTGTGTTAGCCAGGATGGTCTCGATCTCCTGACCTGTGATCCACCCGCCTCGGCCTCCCAAAGTGCTGGGATTACAGGCGTGAGCCACTATGCCTGGCCTACATGGAGCCCTTTTAAAGAAAAAAATTGTCATGGGTCCCAAGAATATATCTGTAGACCCTAGTTTGAAAATCAGTGGCTTAATCCATGGTCAATTTTTTACAGAGTCAAAGGCTACGGGAATATCTGTGAAAACTTCAAACAGCCATAGTCACAAAGTTATAGAGACTATGTCAATCAGTTCTGAAATAGCCGTATCTAAATCCTCCCTGTTCCTCATGAAAAATATTGTCCTGAGAAATCTATGCTTCCAATTTCCTTCATTTGTTCACCCCATTTTTATTGTGTGCTAAATCTGTGCCAGGTATTGTGCTAGGCACTGGAGTTACATGTTAAGCCACACAGCTATAGTTCTATTCTCATGGAGCTTTCAGTCTATAATGGGGAATATTACTTAATAATATTACTTAATAAGTAATCAACAGTGTGACAAGGGTCAGAAAAGGATGGTCTTGGAGTGGAATGGAAACCTGTATAGTAGAGAGACCTATGTATGGGTCAGGAAACTTCTCAAAGAGGAAACTGGTATAAGGTTTAAAGGGCATCCAATATATTATCGAGACTTTAATTTGGCAGAGAAGAGGACTACACTTTTAAAGGGAGAATTTGGTGGAATCCATCTGGAAGGACTGTATCCACGCAAACATGCTGGAGATGATGGGAGCTGATAGATACAATGGCTTTAAAGTGATTCTTGTAGAACATGGGGCTCCCTGTTTCACCCTGCAGGACCCATGTGGGCAGAGAGGAGAGTTCTCACCTGGAGTTCAGCATGGTGGACTTGGGCTGCAGCCGTGGCCACCTGGTCCTCCAGATCCGCCAGATGGGTCTCATCAGTGCCACTGTGGATGCAGCGGGCGGCATCTTCTAGCTCAGTCAGCTGGGTCTCCAGTCCATACACAGTGCCTGCTGCCAGGTATACCTGTAGAGACAGTGCTACATTTGAGTTCATGTCTGCAGACTTGGGACTGGTTGGGGGTCCCTTGAGGGGACCCCAGCAATTCAGGGGAGTGAGATAACTGGACTTCACATTGCAGGGGGGATGTTATTTTTATAACATTTATAAACGTTCTTCACACTTAAATGTGTGAGGTCTTGACACCCCTCACTGTCAACCACACCTTCCCTCTCCCACAAACTTTCCTGTAAGAAAAAGCATTTCAAAGTTGCTTTTGTTCAAATAGTACAAAATACATGACATCAGCTATGCGAATTGTGTATTGGTCCAGTGACTATAAAAATGACTATAAAGAAGAAACAAAGAGACTCATGATGGAGTTTTGCCAATACAATTTTTGGTTGGCATTTAGTAATTGAGAAAAAAATCAGAAAACAAGAAAGAGGGGAAATAATTTAAAATAATTACAAATTTTGAGTGAATTCTCTCTGATTAATTAGCTTCTGCATGCTTCAACGAGGTTAAGGGAATTAAAATAAACCTGAAGTTTGTAATAGAAAAATATTTCTTAGAAAATAGTGTGATGTTAAGAGAAGCATGTATCTATTTATCTGTCAATTAGGACAATTGTTGAGAGCTGTTAAAAATAAGAGAGCAAGTCTGATAAAGAAATTTAAGAAAAAGAAACATTTTTTACTTACAGGTTTATAAGGTTATTCCCATAAAAGTGAGCAAGGTGAAATCCTTGAAATAATTCAGACTAAGGGATGTGGGCCAGGGTGAATGAAACAAATACCCCCCCATCCTAATCAATACTGTGATGAAGCAACCAACAACATAAGAAATGAGATGTATCTAAAGAAAGTAATTACTTAAAGAGAGGTTCTTGAGGTTTAATCAACATATATAAAATCCTAAACCTGTAATCACAGCAATTTAGAGTTGATTTGAATGAAACATATGGCCAAGACTTTAACAGTTTCCTTAATTTGAGTTAAAAATATAGCAGAGTTGAAGATGAGTCAAGAGCTCAGGTACACTAGTCATGCACTTTTTTTTTTTTTTTTTTACACTTAGTGATGCTGTGTTGGTGAGGGAAAGAAGCCTGAGATGTTCCCACTCTGTCAATTCCTTGGCATGATTCACTCATCTGTTTTAAAACTGGCAATTTTACAAAACATTTCAAGGTGGAGCAAAGGCAGGTACAGGTTTGATGAAAGCAAATTTGCGCATCATCATCAGGCATAATTACCTGGGCTGTGGGAGCTTTCAGCAGTGACTGGTACAGAAGATGTCACATCAAATGATTCACCAGTCATACAGGGGCCATGAATCAAATGTCTGATGGGAATTGCCACACTTCAGTTTATCTTTTGTTTTATATTTCTTTATTATATGCTGAATATGTAATTCTGTTTCATACAGAGAAATTCTGTTTCTAAGAGATCTTCACAATTTAATCTTAGCCATTTATTTTTGTTTTTAAAGCAAGAAATGATTATTGTCAAATGAAAGAAATGATAAGTATTTCAAAGGTATTTGAGTGAAGAAATTATTCAAATAATGTATCACAAAATTTCTCAAGTTGAAAAACTTCCCTTTAGAGGGTAAAAAAATAATTGGGGGTGGGGAAAAGGGGGAGAAACAGAGAGAGAGGTTTGAAGTTTATCATACTTTTTTAATACTTTTCCCTATCTACACCAAAAAAGTAAATTTATTTTAATAAGATAATTTAAAATATAAATCTACAGTTTTACACAATGAGACAACATTTGGAGTTATTTAAGTGAAACGAAATAATTTAAGCATGGCAGTGGTTAAACATAACTTGACATAACTAAGGTCTTGGAACCTTGATTTTAGCAGAAACACGCAAAACTCAATGTCATCACACCCTGGGATGTGCATCAACCTGATTGCTATTTACATCTTCAACATGTTCATTCACTAATCTTCCTTTTTTTTTTTTTTTTTCCTGCCAAGACAAAGCAAGATGAAAAAGCTCCAAGCCCTCAGCAAGGCCAGAATGTTCATGTTTTACTCTGTGTTCACTAAAAGCCTACTTTCCTGGCACCAGGAGGCAGAAGAGATTTAGTGGTTTAGCACTGATACCAGCTGAACAGGAATTTACAGCCAAAGTGATGGTGCCTAAAGGACTGGAGGAGGATAATGATGATGATGGTGGGGATGATGATGATGATGATGATGACAGCATTAATTTATTGAGCCAGTGGCTAAGCCAAGGGTTTTATGTGACTTATATATGCTCATAGCAACCCTTGAGGTAGAGACTATTATAATCACTGTGTTCAAGATGAGAATTTTTTTGCTCTAGGAAGGTTTAGTGACTTTCTGAGGTCTCACAGCTGGGGACTGGTGGAGCCTAGAAGTGATCTCAGGAGGGCTGAAGCTAGTTCCCTTGCCTTTATCCTCCTTGCCCTATGATGCTGTGATAATCTCAGTTGGAATGTTATAACATTTTGCATTTCAGATTTTAACATAAAGGTACTAGAGTTACTATGGTTATAGATGGATATGATATTGGCTCTGTGGCTGGCTTGAAATAACAAAAGGTAACATGCTATATGATGAAAATGTTATTCTAGCTTTATAAAACATAACCCATTTGAAAAATATTCACTTGGACTTGCTTGGCAAGTTAAGGTCCACTTTTGGTGAGAACTGTGGTTACCATGTCTGAGTAATCTATGACCCCTTCAAACTCTAGTCATTGATGCCTGTGATTGCATTCACTGGCTCTTGGTTCAACAAGGCTTTCTCAGAGTGGTTCAAGGCATAAGAATAGGTGTTTCCTTAATGAAACACCTATTTGTGATTAAATTCTCTAGAATAAAGAGTGTTAAACAGATTTCTTTACTGCAGGTCTTCACAGAGGCTTTAATGTACTAATATGTATCTCAATTTTCCTAGAAAGAGTGTGCAAGCTTCCCAGACTTATTTGACCTTAGAGCATCTTGTTGGATGTGGCTTCCATGAATTATACTTTAGGGGACTAATGTATTTCTTTCCTTGCTCTCTGAGGGCACAGAACCACCTGAGTAACCATGGTTGTCTCCACAAGTTCTAGTGCTACATCCTCTTTAGTGCTGTAAGGGTTGTAGGAGAACTTTAAGAAAGAGGACCAACATCCTCTGCATGGATCTGGATTCAGTGGCAGAGCTGGGCTCCCTGTAGTGCAGGTCTACTGTGTCTGCTGCCACTGGTTGTATACTCCATGGGCAATGTGGGGTGGAGCTAAAAGGGAAGTTGGGTTTGCTCTCCATTCCCTCTGAGGCTGGGGATTATGGGTTACTTACAACCCTGCATACATCCTCAAGGTGGCAGTCCTACTATTCACACCACAGGTCTGAGAATGCTATGCTAGTCCTTCTCTGTTGACCTTCTAGGGCCATTTTCTATCCTTCTTTGTCCTGCCCTGTTCCCTGGGAGGCCGACCAATTTGGACTTCATCACCAGGGCTTCCTGGCTGTCTGGGATGGGTTTGACCAGTGGAGATACCACTGTCTAGGGCTGGTAACAGCTTCCTTTTATTGCTACTGTTCCACCCTCAGCATCCCTTAACCTTGCCCACACCTGAGTTAACAGCCCCTTTCATGAAACTCTCCTCTTCCAGCCAGACCCCAATAGGTACAGTGGAGCTCTTCACAGCAAGAATTTAAAATACCTACAGACCAAGGCATTCAGCCCAAGGAACTGAGCCCCCATTGCGTGCTGCTGTGGAGGGTGGGATTAGTCCTAGGTTGTTTCTGCCTTTAGGGGAGACAAGAGCTGATTTCACAGCACTAATGCCAGATAGCAGGTGAGGAGTGTCAAAGCTGAGAGACAAGATAATTCTCAAATACCCATGCCCTCTTTTTTAAGCCCATCGGAAAAGCGCAGTATTCGGGTGGGAGTGACCCGATTTTCCAGGTGCCGTCTGTCACCACTTTCTTTGACTAGGAAAGGGAACTCCCTGACCCCTTGCGCTTCCCGAGTGAGGCAATGCCTCGCCCTGCTTCAGCTCGTGCACAGTGTGCGCACCCACTGACCTGCGCCCACTGTCTGGCACTCCCTAGTGAGATGAACCCGGTACCTCAGACGGAAATGCAGAAATCACCCGTCTTCTGCATCGCTCACGCTGGGAGCTGTAGACCCAAGGCTACAGTAACCAAAACAGCATGGTACTGGTACCAAAACAGAGATATAGATCAATGGAACACAACAGAGCCCTCAGAAATAATGCCGCATATCTACAACTATCTGATCTTTGACAAACCTGAGAAAAACAAGCAATGGGGAAAGGATTCCTTATTTAATAAATGGTGCTGGGAAAACTGGCTAGCCATATGTAGAAAGCTGAAACTGGATCCCTTCCTTACACCTTATACAAAAATCAATTCAAGATGGATTAAAGACTTAAACGTTAGACCTAAAACCATAAAAACCCTAGAAGAAAACCTAGGCATTACCATTCAGGACATAGGCATGGGCAAGGACTTCATGTCTAAAACACCAAAAGCAATGGCAACAAAAGCCAAAATTGACAAATGGGATCTAATTAAACTAAAGAGCTTCTGCACAGCAAAAGAAACTACCATCAGAGTGAACAGGCAACCTACAAAATGGGAGAAAATTTTCGCAACCTACTCATCTGACAAAGGGCTAATATCCAGAATCTACAATGAACTCAAACAAATTTACAAGAAAAAAACAAACAACCCCATCAAAAAGTGGGCAAAGGACATGAACAGACACTTCTCAAAAGAAGACATTTATGCAGCCAAAAACACATGAAAAAATGCTCATCATCACTGGCCATCAGAGAAATGCAAATCAAAACCACAATGAGATACCATCTCACACCAGTTAGAATGGCAATCATTAAAAAGTCAGGAAACAACAGGTGCTGGAGAGGATGTGGAGAAATAGGAACACTTTTACACTGTTGGTGGGACTGTAAACTAGTTCAACCATTGTGGAAGTCAGTGTGGCGATTCCTCAAGGATCTAGAACTAGAAATACCATTTGACCCAGCCATCCCATTACTGGGTATATACCCAAAGGATTATGAATCATGCTGCTATAAAGACACATGCACACGTATGTTTGTTGTGGCACTATTCACAATAGCAAGGACTTGGAACCAACCCAAATGTCCAACAATGATAGACTGGATTAAGAAAATGTGGCACATATATACCATGGAATACTATGCAGCCATAAAAAATGATGAGTTCATGTCCTTTGTAGGGACATGGATGAAATTGGAAATCATCATTCTCAGTAAACTATGGCAAGAACAAAAAACCAAACACTGCATATTCTCACTCATAGATGGGAATTGAACAATGAGAACACATGGACACAGGAAGGGGAATGTCACACTCTGAGGACTGTTGTGGGGTGGGGGGAGGGGGGAGGGATAGCATTGGGAGATATACCTAATGCTAGATGACGAGTTAGTGGGTGCAGCGCACCAGCATGGCACATGTATACATATGTAACTAACCTGCACATTGTGCACATGTACCCTAAAACTTAAAGTATAATAATAAATAAAAATAAAAATAAAAAAATACCCATGCCATCTGCTAATTAAGGGGGTTAAGGCAGTTTGTGAAAACAGGAGATTGGATATGTAAATGCTGATGTTTCTTTATCTTATGTAGCTCTGAAACCTTCAGAAGTATTTTTATTTTTTTTTCCTTTTTTTCCCATTTTGCTCAGGACCTATTGTGTCCCTCAAGGAAAGAGATGCCACAGTAAAGCCAATCTGAGGTCCTGGGGAGATCCTTTCTCTCCCTCCCCATTACAGAAGCCACACAGGCGAAGCCTAGTGTAACTGGGCAGAGCTGGGAGTCTTCAGAAGTATTTTTAAAGGTGAACATTCTCAGCCAAATGTTCTTTTTCTCCCCCCGAGTCCTGCCCTGTGGTAACCAATGTTCAGAAGGCGAGAATAGTGTCACCGTTTCTATTTCTGACAGTCCCTAGGTTCCCCAGCACAATGGAGAACAGCGGAGGAGTGCAGGACTGTTCTTTATTCTGCAGACCAACAAAAGCCATGATTTAATGAGATCAGCTGCACCCAGAGGACAGTTTAAGAACTGCCCTGGCTTCTCCCACTGCTCAGCTGAATTCCATCCGGGAGCAGCAGAGCAAGGCAACGCGCCCATGGCTCTGTGATCTGTTGAATTAAAGAGACGAAGAAAAGTCATCCCTTCCCTGACTCAAAAGCACATGAGTTCAAAAGAATATAGATGGGGTTTCTTCTGAGGTGAAATTTAAAAAGCTGAAGGATGGGGGAAGGGAAGGAGAAGGAAGAAGGCAGTTAACTGTTTGGGAACAGGAGAGGCATGAGGGGTGCAGAAGAGGGGAGCAGTCATCTACAGACTGGGCCTTCCAGCCATGGTCCCTGCTGGGGCTTCTGACATCTTCAGTCTGTAAGTGGATGTATTTTAAATAGAAACTGTTAATGAACCCAAAGGAAAAAAAACATACAATTAAAGGATCTTACAAGATGAAAACTCCAATAAGGCCATTGCATTCTTTTCAACATGCTCCTTGGAGGTAAAGATAAAAGGGCAGGATATCTTTGTTTTAAGTGTGCTATGAGAACTGACCATTGTCATTTAAACCAGATATTTCACACACTGTTTTTTGGTACCATACTTGTAAAAAATACATTTGTTTGCTAGTGAACCATGTCTTTAACCCTTTCAATTGTGTGTGCCCAGGATCAGGGCCATCTCAGGACTCAGCTGTGTTAGAGACACATTTAAAGAACAGAGACCCTGTGCATGAGAAGTCAAGCAGTTCTTTTTAAAAGGGGCTTCATTCCTCTGGTGTAGTCACACATCAGCTGAACATTCACTAAGTGCTTCCTCTGTGTCAGGCTCTGGGTGGTGGACTGGGGCTAGGCTACAGAAATAAAAGGTGGTAAACCCTGTTCTACAGGAATTTATATATCTCATTCCCAGTCTGGGGGTGATTTTGCCCTGCCCCAAACGCCTAATATTTGACAATGTCTAGAGACATTTTTGACTGTCACACTGGGAGGGTGCTGCTGCTGGCAGCTAGTGGGTAGAGACCAGGGGTGCTGCCAAGTATCCTGTGCACAGGACAGCCCCCACACAAAGAATTACCTAATCCAAATGTCAATAGTGCCAGCCTAATGGGAGATGGATGAGTGAACAGAAAAGATGGAAAGTGTGAAAAGTGAACAGACAGATACATGCATAGGTTTTATGGGAGCCCAAAGGAAGAGAGTCTTCAACTTTTAAAGTGAAACAAGCATGCATATATATATAATTTTATTCATAGAGATGGGATCTCACCATATTGACCAGGCTGACCTCAAACTCCTGGCCTCAAGCAATCCTCCCATCTTGGCCTCCCAAAGTGCTGGGATTACAGGTGTGAGCCACCACACCCAGCCTGCATTCAAAAAATTTTTATTTCTTGTTGTTTTAACTTTTATCAAAAAATACTTCAGGCTGGGCATAATGGCTCATGTCTGTAATCCCAGCCCTGTGGGAGGCCAAGGCAGGAAGAACCCTTGAGGCCAGGAGTTTGATACCAGTCTGGGCAACATAGCAAGACCCCATTTCTACTTAAAAAAAAAAACACTCTCCAATAACAATTCCTGATTTCTGGGAACAGCATTCATTAGAGCACCTCAAAAGCACAGTTGACTCTGCAGGAGCTGGCATCACCTAACTTGATTTGATATCAACTTCATGGCTAGGGCCATGCCAACTGATGATGGTGACTACAGCTTGAGTGTTAATGTCCAAATTTCTCAGTGTCACCCTTGGTCTGGAGTATTGGGAAATTCTTATCATCAGCTATTTCCTGAAATACTCAGTGATCATGAATATTTACCTGTAAGAATTTATTACACTGTTTTTTTCATCACAAATCAGGAGGACTGAAAAATCCATTACTAGCAAATATACCTGTTAGGCCAAACCAAACACACAACTCCTCAAGGGACAGTAAGAGCTTTCCTGAACTCCAAAGTCATCAGTCAACACCCACCCCTCCTCCAGGCCAGGTGCCTCTTACTTGACAGCCAAGAATTTTTTCTTCTCTTTGAATGGAAGGGGGAAATTACAAAGTCCTTTAACCTAAACATAGTCATGCTTTGCTAAATAATGAGGATGTATTATTAGAAATGCAAAATTGTGTGAACATCATAGAGTGTACTTATGCAAACCTAGATGGTATAACCTACTACACACCTAGCCTATTGCTCCTAGGCTACAGCATGTTACTGTACTGAATACTGTAGGCAATTGTAACACCATGGTAATTATTTGTGTATCTAAACATAGAAACGGTACAGTAAAAATACAGCATTATAATCTTATGAGACCACCACTGTTGTATATGTGATTCGCCATTGACCAAAACCTTATTATGTAGCACATGACTATATTTATATTTGCGAATAGCTTTTAGGAGTACAAACTAAATGGTATTGAATCTGGAGAAAGGTAAATGTAAGCACTGTCTTCTCCTCCCTCCAGTACATTGATTTTGCCTTCAGAGATGTACAGGTTTCCACAGGGAAACAGCTGACTTGGCTGATAGTGTTTAACCCTTCTAAATGTTGAAATGGATTGTGAGTACCTTCCCCATTCATCCCCTTCCTCCTTTCCAGACATCTGGTAGATCTCACCTCCTTTCCCTGTGACCCTGACTCTGAGGCATGGCTTCCTTCAGGCAGAAAAGGACCTGGCACCTGGGAAAGCCCAGCTACCTAAGTCAGGGTCCTCAGAAAAAGCAGCAAGTAAAAACGGGATGAAATGAGGCAGATGAGTCTTCTGGGCCACTCTGCTTACAGTTCAGTAAAAATGGATGATTTTTCAGTAAAGCAAAATCACCAATAGGACTTGTTTTATTTCCTTTCTTTCTCAAGTGTCTTTCTCTTGAAAGCAGCAAATGCATACTTGTTCCAGGATGAGAGAAAGAGCTAAGAGTGTTTTTAAAGTTGGAACCACTTTTAACAACCCATTCTTTAGTGAATTTTAATGGGATCATTTTAGGAGTTAGCTGATGACATGCCTTTCAAATACTAATAAGAACAGCCAACATTTATTGTGTACTTTTTTTCAAGCATTATGCTAAATGTTTTATTTCCAAAGAAGAAATGTAATTTTAAATGTAGTTGATGTTAGGCATTTTCCTCTTGATTGGCAGATCCACTAGCAATGGCTGGTTAGCATCCTTATTGGGGAGCATAGGAATTGGGGAGCGGGAACCATGGCAGTCTGAGGTCTAAATGTGGTCATAAGGTAATGCAGTAGAGTCTTACTCAGTTCCCAGAGTGCTTGGACAATTTTGGAGTGGCGTGTGATAGGCTCAGAAGACAGATAGTGGGCTTCTTGTTGCTAATGGCACAAGGAGGCTTGGGTGATTCATCAAAAACATAAATTAAATATGATTGTGTTGGTATCTTTTTTTTTTTTTTTTTTTGAGACAGGGTCTTGCTCTGTTGCCCAGGCTGGAGTGCAATGGCACCACCTTGGCTCACTACAGCCTTCGCCTCCTGTGTTCAAGCGATTTCCTGGGTCAGCCTCCCAAGTAGCTGGGATTACAGGCGCCTGCCATGACACCCAGCTAATTTTTGTATTTTTGTAGAGATAGGGTTTCACCATGTTGGCCAGGCTGGTCTCAAACTCCCGACCTCAAGTGATCTGCCTGCCTCAGCCTCCCAAAGTGCTGGGATTATAGATGTGAGCCACAGTGCCTGGCCAGATTTTGTTGGTATCTTAAATTAGAGAAGCAGAGAAGACCAGTTGTAGTAACTTCAGTTCTTCTGGCAACCACTTCATTCCCTGTAGTGGCACTGGCAATACTCCCACCTGGATCCCCTTGGATCTCCTTTATAGTTTCTCTATACTCCTCTCCCTGCCCACTAAGCCTCAGTGTGCTTCTATTCCCAGCAGCCCATATCTACACAGGGGACTGCCTTTGGGCTGCTGGAGACACTGCCTGTGTGCAAAGAGACTGAAGTGCCTGCTGGTTGTAGGACGGGCCAGTTCTTTTGCCTTAGGTCAGGACAACTCTGAGATGCAACTTCTACTCCAGAGCTCCCTGCAGGATCAGGCTGAAGCTCCTCTTTGTGTAAGATCATGTCCTTGCTTGGATTCTTCCCTTTCCCTTACTTTCCCCATTCCCTTACCAGCCTCCCTTGGGAGCATTCCCTAATAAGTCACATGCACACAAATCCTCATCTAGGGTCTGCTTCTGGGGAATCCAACCTAAGGTCCTTCCTGAGAATGTATTTGCTATAGTGGTAGTGGTGTGTGTGTGTATGTGTGTGTCCTTGCACTCTTCACGATAAGCTACAATTTCATCAGCTTCTTCTTCACATACATTCACCCTAGACAGGGCACCTCCATACCCTCTTACATTTTCTTCCAGGGAAGTCAGCTGCTCATCCAGTCTCACTTGGTCTGTCCCACGAGGAAACATCCCCTTCTGTCTGTCAGGAGGGACTTGTGGGGACTCCCAGGGCCCTGTAGATCCTGCTATCAACTCCTCTGTGGCATTGATGACTTTCAGGACTTCTGTGGAGATGTTGCAGAGAGAAACAGCAGAAAACTTCTGTTTGGTCCGATAACAGAAGGGGACAGAAGACAAGAACAGCACATTAACAATGACACAGAAATTCTATGTTATCATGACACTCATCATCATGAGGTTGATTCTGTAATTCCACACACAAACACCAATGTGCTGAAGAATGAGAAAATTAAACTAGACACAGCAGAAGAGAACTGAGGGGAGGCCTGATTTGACTTTGCCTAGTTTCCGTGACTTGTAATTATTTCAGATTCTTGGTGAGGGAAGGAGGAAGGAGTGCTAGAGTGGAAACTGTATGTCCTCTGCTCACTGCTGGTAGTTTAATATCTCTGACCTTATTTGCTGAATAATATTCTACTTCATCAGCAAAACTTCAGTCTCAGACTGAAGTGTGGTCCAGTGGGTAGCTTTCTGGACTGGCATTTAAGAGACCTGGGCTCCAGTTCAGGCTCTAAATTCACCCAGTTATGGGACCTTGGTCAAGTTATTTCTCATTTCTGGAACTCATTTTTGTCATCTGTACAATGAGAGTACTAGAAAGAATTTCTCTGTGGTTTCTTGATAGACAGTGTATTAACTCACACACCTATTTGCAAGCCCATTCTCTCTTGCTTGCTTCTACCATGGGGGTGAACAGGAAAATAATAAATTTTCCCACTTCCCTTGCAGCTAGGTGTAGTCATATGACACAATCTTGACTAGTGAGTCCACAGGGAAAGCCTGAGGAGTTTCTAGATAAGCTTTTGTTTTCCTAATCAGGGGAACTGGTGCATCTAATGCCCCTTTCTTCCACCCCCGCTTGTTTCTGCCTTAAACATAGACTTGCAGCTTATGAGCCAACAGAATTGAAGATGAATGCCAAACCTCCAAGTGAGATGGGGCAGAAAGACTGAAGGAGCTTGGACTCAGAGAGTACTGGATTGGGTGAACCACTGGGAGTCATCACCTGCCTCTGAATATCATGTTATGTGAAAAAAAGATCCCCTATCTGTTGAAGCCACTGTTGGCCAGGTTTTCTGTTATCTGTGGCTGAACGTGTTCCTGACTGACACAGGTCACTTCCAGCTTTTATGTTCATGGCTCAAAATTACAATCAACCCGGATTTGGGCCAATGTCATTAATGAAGCAGAGGCACAACAACCCCAAAGAATTATCTGCATTTTTGAGTTCATCTGAACATATAGCATCATGCAATAAGCTGGAGATCACTGTTGCTTGGCAGTCATGGTTTCCATCTGCAAACAATTTTGTTTATCTCATCACATCATTTGTAAATTAGAAGTTGAATACTGCTCACAGGCATATTTCGTGTGACCAGTAAAATGTTTGGTAAGATATGCCTTCCCAAGGTACCTATCTGACCCATATAATCTTGACCAAAATATTAATGATAGCTATGACTTGATTTTGCAAAATGTGTTCCTCCGAGTGAATTCTATTTTAGGTTTTGTCTCACTAGAGAAGGTTTCCGATGGCCCTCCCACTTCACTAGAGAAGCAAAGGGGCTAAATGACAAATTAGTGGCTGAGTCTGCAGTCCAGAAGCTGACTCTGGGCTTCTACACTGAGGCACATGGTCTCACACCTGTCAAGCCGTTCTGGGGTGAGGACACATGTGCCAGAGGGCTCCTCCTTAGCCTTAGCCTGTCTGTTCCACAATAGCTGCTTGACTGACCCAATAGCCATGTTTCTGTTGGTTCAGGGGGCTTTGCTACATACCAAAAAGGTAGAATCTGGGGTCCCAGGGGAACGAGATAGAGGGAAGGTGATGCAGACCCACTAGAATAAGGGCAATGTCCAAGAGAACAGCCAGAGCCAACTCTTCACCTTAGGAAAAATGTGCAGAGGATGTCCCCCACTTTTCAGGACCTTGTAGCTTGATGTGGCAGATTTTGGAGACAAATTGGGCTCAAAATAATTTTGGCAAGAACCAGCTACCACTTCTTAGGTCTGTTTTAGAAAGGGCAACATTGTATGCATGAGAGCAGATTTGTTACCCTTTTATTAGGAATAAAACGTGTTTAGAAAAATTGCCCCTTATTTGGTAGACACAGTGCCTTTGCAGATCTTTTGAAAAGAAAGATATATGACCAAGGGATTCAGAAAAAAAAGTTAGACCATAGCATGAGGGAAGGGAAAGTAAAAATTTACACAAATTTCCAAACAGCACAGTGCATTAAAGGTCCAAGGTATTAATGGAAAGGACTTAAGAGATGCTTAAACAGAAAGAGTGATCTGTATTCTGACTCCAACTGAACATACAATCAAAAGGGTAAGTTGGCCATCAATACTGTTTGACCATCATTGTTTTATTCCATCTATAAACAGCCTTGTTTATTCAGTCATGAGAGTTGCAAGCTCAAAGGCAAATATTACCCATGGTTTTTGGCCTGGAATACCTCCTGTGAGATATGCACTTCCCAGTTCTCTACATTCCCCACGGTTCATTCTACATTTTTATTGGGAACCTATGGTGTGCCAGCTCTGTTCCAGGTGCTGGGATAAAGCAGTGAACAAGAGGGATGTAGTTCCTGCCCTCACGCATGCCTTTGGCCCTACCCCGTCCACTTGTCACGTTGACTTACTGTCTTGGCCCCTGAAGGCATTTGCATCTTCCCTTAAGTCAGAGTGAGGAGGCCCAGGCAGCTGGTCTGAGGAGAGCGCCACAGCTTCACCTGGAACACCTGAGGTCTGCTTAAAGACCTGGACCATTTCAGAAGGGAACCAGCTTCCAGCTGGCAGAAGTGACTGAACGGGCTGGGCGTGGTGGCTCATGCCTGTAATCCCAGCACTTTGGGAGGCCAAGGCGGGTGGATCATCTGAGGTCAGGAGTTTGAGACCAGCCTGGCCAACACAGTGAAACCCTGTCTCTACTAAAATGCAAAAATTAGCCAGGTGTGGCGGCAGGCACCTGTAATCCCAGCTACTTGGGAGGCTGCAGCAGCAGAATTGCTTGAACCTGGGAGGTGGAGGTTGCAGTGAGCTGAGACCCGCCATTGCACTCCAGCCTGGGCAACAAGAGCGAAATTCCGCCTAAAAAAAACAAAAAAAAAAAAAAGAAGAAGTGACTGAACAAAAATTATATGAAAACTGGACAAGATCTCTTCATTGGTTGATGTCCCCATTTTGCTTTCCACTGGGAAAGGCAAACTGGAATCCACAGCAATTTCCCACCTGTAGGGAATCAAGTGTTTCTTGTCTGTTCCTTAGGAATGGGCTGTTTGCTTGCACCTGAGGGTGGGTGTGGACCATGCACCTACTGGAAGTTGAGATAACTTGGATTTCAATAGCTATATGACA
Organism: Homo sapiens; assembly: GCF_000001405.40. Taxonomy (NCBI): domain Eukaryota; kingdom Metazoa; phylum Chordata; class Mammalia; order Primates; family Hominidae; genus Homo; species Homo sapiens. The sequence continues at coordinate 40,230,579 of NC_000003.12, read as the reverse complement.
GGGGCAGGGCACTTAACCTCCCTGTTCCTTACTGTGCTCACTGGTCAGTGAAAGATCAGCTTTCCTACAGGGCTAACACTGACTTGTAATGTAAATGTCCTGTTCCCTGTCCAGTCTAGAGAAAAGTGAAAAGCACCTCCTACAACTATGTTAAAAAACTTATATTTAGCACTGGATGGGGGTTTGATCAGATGAAAAACTGGTGGAGATTCAGAGGTGGCTGACAGGGAGCCCTGTATGTGGGAGAAATGAAAAGCTAAAGGATCCTACCTATTTCTATTGCTTACAGCCCCAGAGGGATGAGCTGAATGGCACAAAGCACGAGTTGAGAGCCCAGACAGAGCATGCCATTGTGGTAGCTGACTTTCTCCAGATATTAATCATAAGGGAAATCAAATATGGGTTTTATGGTAGCAAATGAGGGAGAAGTGAAAGCATGGAGAGAGTCAGCTGACACAATAGGAGGCTTTGCAGAACAGGAAGGTGAGTCTCAAGACACTTGCAGCTAAGGGACCCAGATGATGGAATGAAAATGGCTGGTAAACCCATGTAACACAACCTTCTAGTGAGCAAAGAAATACAAATTAAATAACACATTTATTAGGTGCCAGATACATGCAAAATTCTCTTTTTTTAAAATGCCAAGTGTATGCCAATATGCCTTAGTGCAGGTAGCATGTGTTGAACTTTGAGCTGTTAACCCACCACAGGATGTGTATCTGTGCTCTGAGGCAGCCATGCTCTTGGTGTCCTGCTGACTGATGCTCACCTCTGAGAGCCCAGGTGTCCACTTCTAGGGTTCAGTCTGTGTCACAGCCCCATGCAGAACACCAAATCTACAAGGTCAGCTTCACAACCACCAGAGCTGAAACAGTCCACCACTTGGGGCACAGAAGATGAGGAGAAGCACACTGGTGTTGCAAGCCCACCACAGAGCCACAAGGACAGAGGAACAGGAAGGTAAGATCTGACTCCTCTCAGCCTGAGATGGAGTTTCCTCAATTGCTCATTAATGAGGTAGCGAAACTACTGTCAACCTCCGTGAAGACAGGCTCCCAGCCCAACTCACAAATGACACAGTGCTGAAGCAGGCCTTTACGACAGTCATTTACCGTGCCAAGGTTGCAGCCCTGCCTCAGTGGCCATTTCAGTGGTCCCAGTGAATATGACCAACTCGTGCCCTGCGCAATTCATCTCAACTCTATCGTTTTTTTCCTCTAGGGACTGTAGGCAGAGTAAGACTTGTATTTTTTTGTCTCAGGACCCAAATACACTTTACCTTAGCAATCTCTCTGTCTTGTGTTTATATGCTTTCTCTCCGTATAAAAATGTGTTGCTATAAACAAATTTCTACTCTATGTACTCTTCCCTATCAACTGTTTTTCAAAGACATGGAGAATGCAAGGTGTTGCCAGGGGAGAGCTGAGCCTGTAGAATTCTAAAGGAGAAAATATTTTCATTCTAAACAGTAGCTATATCTGCTCGTTAGCAATCTTTGTAAATTCTCCTGAGATTTTCCCAGTGTCATCATTCATTTCTAAGCTTTGTGTTGCACAGAAAATTGCAAATTCATTTCAAGCTGGAATAATCAGGAATGCTCTTTACCAGAATATCTTACTCTTGTGAATGTGTGAGCAGCAAGAGTGTGCTCTAATAATCGGATGTCTGGCTTCGTGGAGAGAGACCACTTTGGAATTAAAGAGCGGGGATTCCAGCCCCAGCTTGACCCTGGAGCATGTGTGTCTGTGTGTCTGTCTTAGCTGGGTTCAGAGAGTCAGCTTCTGGCTGTGTGTGATGAGCTGACCTGTGTGTGATATAAGTCTTGATATAATATAAGGTGGGCAGAAAGGCTTTGAGGATAAAAGGATGTGTACATGTGCCTGGAGCAGAAGAGAGATTTTCCTGTCTCCACCTCAGGGGCTGTTCCAACACCTATAACAAGAACAAGAGCAAAAAGGCAAAACAGGCAGAAGCTGAAGGGACACTGGTACTCACACTTTAGAGAGATAGGGAAGCGTACAGTATAATCCAGGTTCATGGTCAGCCAAGAAACAGGGGCAGTGGCGAGGGGACTGCCACTTTAGGGTCTTGTGAAGGGCCTCCTTACCCTTTAGGGATAGCAGGCACCTGGCCTAGGGCCCATCATTCCTTTAGGGGCCCATGAAAATATTTTAATTTCTTTTAAAATTATAAGAAAAAAATGAATCTTTGCACCAGGAACATGTTTTAATATATAATCTTAGTATATTTATGCCAATACAGTTGTAAAATATTATTTTTAAATATGTTTTATGGAGGAAAGGGCCCATAAATGCACAAGTGCCTGGTCCCAGCAAAGCCACACAGTGGCCCTTGTCTTGCTGATCTGGAGCCCCTCTGTGAAAAGGGGACAGCTGCGGCCTGGTGAGGCCTGTCCCTCAGGGCTCTGTCAGCTCTAGATATCCATGGGGGCCCTGAGTGGGCACCTCCAAGAGGGCTGTTCATGAATACATGGCAGATCCCTCCTCCAAGACTCCCCAAAATAACAGAGGGAGACAATTGGGGGTGCTGTGGTCTCCTACTGTGGACTGATCCTAATGAAACCTCCTTATTTGCACATACAGGCCCATAAGGCCAGGGAAATTCAGCTTACATTGTCTGTGTGACTTTGGGCAAATACTTAACCCCTCTGCACCTCCATTGTAAAATGGATATAACATCATCTAGCTCAAGAAGCTTTCAAGAAGATTAAATTAGAAGGCATGTGTCAGGTGTCCACCCAGTGTCTGGGTCCAGAGTTGTGCGCCTCTCCTCAAGCACCTCCCACCTGCTCTGCAGGCACACTTCCTGGCTGGAGATGGGCACAATGCTGGTGAGTGCCTGGTGGTTTAGCTGCCTCTCATTATGTACTGCAGTCTTGAAACATTTTTCTTTAACTATTTCGTATTTCAAAGAGTGCCTTTTACCATTATTCCAAAAGGTTAAACTTTGCTGCTCTTTGTTTCTTGTTTTTTCTTTTGCCAAATAATAATATTTTAAAAAGAAAAAAGCCTCTATAATCTATTATTGCCTGCCACTACAATTTCATAAAGATGGGATCATACCACCAAAAAGGGAGTAATAATATCAGAATACAGGATAGTCCAAGAAATCAGAGTAAGCAACCTACACTGGCACACACACACACATAGAGGGAGAGAGAGAGAGAGAGAGTACATTTCCATTATTCTGTTGTTTCCCGGTTTTTCATTCTGTTGTTTTCCCTTTACTGGGAGCAGACCAAACCATACACACTGATATGCAATGAAAACAAGGTATGTCATAGCCTCGAGGGGACCCTGAAAAAACCAGGCCCTCAAACATCATCAATGATTCCCTCCCATCACTAATTTAATTCCTTCTGGAAGCATCCACTCTATGCCAAGGCACTGCATTGGGCCCTGCAGGGGATGCAGAAACAAGTAATCCATGGTCCCTACCCTCAGAGAGCAGAGGGGGAAGCAGTCAGGAGACAACAGCAGGTAGCAGAAGGTAAGATCTGTCCTGCACTGTGAGCAACAGGCTGCGGACCTACAGAGAGAACAACCGGGTGCTGCTAGCATTTTACTTTGGGGTAAGGTTTGGAAGCACAAGAAAGCTGCTGAGTCAATGGCACTGCAGCCCAGGGCAGGCTGTGGGAGACAGGTAGGAAAAGGGAGGCAGAGGGGAGGTCTTACAGTGCCCCGAATGCCAGCCTCAGGAGTCTGGGGTTTGTACTGCTGGCAACGAGGTGCCACTGCAGGTTCTTGCTGCTGCTGTTAACAGTAACTCACTGAGTGCTCACTGTGTGCTAGGCTCTGGGATAAGTGCATCATTTGCCTTGCCTCATTTCACCCTCCTCACCACCCTAGGACGCAGATACTGTGATCACTCCAACTGATAGATGAGGAACTGAGGCTTAAGAGAGGTGACAAGGTTTTCCTTGAAGAAGCCGGGATTTGTATTAGGGTCTGCCTGGTTTTAAAGCCCAGGCTTTTAACATGCTGGCAGGAGAGACCTGTGCTTCAGAAAGGTAATTCTGACTGCCACATGAACAGATTGAGGGCTGGGGAGAACTGGAGGCAGAAAGTAAGTGTAGGAAAGAGTAACTGCAGCTCCAATCAAAGGTCGCAAGGACCTGAGGTGGGGCAGCCATAGTAGGGATAAAAGCATATAAGGTGCAATATTCTGGAAACAGCTGAGAGAACATGGTGGCTGCAGTGAAGAAGAGGGAGCTGGCAAGGTGCTGCTGTGCTTTCCAGCTGGGTGATCTGGAAGAAATTGATGCATTAAAGATTTAAATACCAGGAGAGAAGGAAGGGTTCACTAGGTTATTGAAATAAAGAAAAATATAACATTTCAGAGCTCCTTTTCTCATGCATCATGAAAGTCGGTGACTATCAAATGCCCAAGTGGAATAGCACCTGAGTCATTTGTTCAGTTTTTCTTTTAAATTCATTATTTTTGGTGTCAAGTTTCCTGAGGGGAGGGCTGAAGGGCTACATACGATCTTCATAATTGGCTGCAGTACAATCAAGAAGTTGGTGACAGTATGGGGCCCTCCAGTCCTCCTTTCAGCCCTGTGACTTACAAATGTTCCTTAGGGGGAACTATTAGGGACAGTGGACATCCAGGTAACAGGAAACGTTAACAGGGGTCATCTAAAGACATGTTTGAGCACAAAGGGGTGAAAAGAGAAATTACAGGGAGAGGTGAAAGACCTTTTAGCAGTTCAAGTTGCATAAAATAAATATGTGGCCATGGCTTCTCCCCGTGCTGAATGTTGTTCGCGAGAGACTCTTTGGGGAGGGAAGAGAAGAAGCAAGGAGGGAAGCACCTCATAGTTAATGTGGGTCCATCCTGTGCCAGGTTGATTCTAGGCTTCTCATTATTTTATTCAACCATGACAGCAACCTGACATGGTTGATATTTTAATCCCATCTTTAGAGACAAGAAAACTGTGGCTCAGTGAAGAAGATGTGGAGCTAGGACTTGAGACCAGATGGTGGTTTCCCAAACCCATGCTCCTCCGCACTTGTCACACCAGCACTTCTTCCATGTGCATAATTCCCTGGACCCAGTGGACTGTGGGAAGTGATGGTGAAACAGAATCTGAGTGCACAATCAGACCAGTGAACAACAGATCAGGAAGAGAGGAGTCTAACGACAGGGAGTCCTCAGGTCATTCTGCAGCCTCTACCAACTGACACCAACTAGAATAAGTGCATTGATTTGGAAAGCCAAAGACCAAGCCACACCACAGAGCTGGAGATCTGTCCAGCACAAGTGCCCATTCTAAGGCTTCCAGAGCCCACCTAGAACTGAGCTGCCAATGACCACAAGCGAGAAAGGATGTGCTCTATAAGAAAACCTGTTCCAAGTGGAATCCAGACTCCCAGTCCGCTCATCACTCCTCTGTGTCGTATTACAGATGCTGTCTTGGCTTTAAGAAATGCTTCCATCAAACTACCAGAGCAAGCAAGAAAGTTTGTCCAAATGCCTTGATTTCATGTATTTTTCTCCTTTTCAATGGTAGGAAAGAAACTCCATATGTCCTTCTAAATATTTGACAGAAATCTGCTAGAAAAATTCAATGCTAATATATTTCAGTTCTCATGAAACATAAGGCACTCCAGCAATGCCGCTAAAACCCGTCAAAATACATTCTCCATGAACAGACTCATGTCCCTGAAGAGTGACTTGATGCAAGAGGGTGGCACAGAACTGTGGAAAGAAATTGGAACATGAACTTAATAAATTAGCATATGTAATGCACTGAAACATTTACACATAACAGAGATTAGAGGAGAACTGACCTCTAGGAAGGTTTGGGTTCTTAAGTCATCCAGGTCTTGATGGCCAAGGCCATCTATAAAAGAAATATTTTCCTTTTTTCATGGTGACTAAAAAATAAATTTTAAAAGTATATTATTTGTAGTTTAGTTCCAATGATCTCCATGTTTCCCTGAGGTCATTTTCTTGTTCTTCTTTGATGGTACCTAGTATTGTCTGATGTTGGCCATATCAGGGCCTGGCAAAGGAAACTAAGCGGGGAAATGGGGGCATCACCTTTGACCAAACCTACTCTGGCAGGTGTAAAGCAGGCAGGAGGAGTTCCTTTCTTGGCCTAAGAGGTAATCATAGCCATTGATCTTTTTTTTTTTTTTTGCTTTTTTATACTGACTGTTCCTCAGACAATAGTTCCTAATATTGATTGGAAACATTTCTAATGACTGGTGGTAATCAGGGCATGTGCTTGGCTCTGAAGAAGTCCAGTGAGACCTGAAATCACTTTCCACATTTGCTTGGAAAGAAGGTGGCACATGGCAGCCAGGGTGATCTTCATAATGTAAGGTCCTGCTTGTCACTTGTCCACTTCAACCTTTCCAGGTGCTTTCTACCTCACCAGAATATAAACCGAAGCTTTCTGCATGGCCCACCTGGCTCTGCTTGCTCTAGCCCCTGCCCTCACCTCTCTCGCCGCTTTTCCCTTGGCCACATTGCTCTAGCCACCTTGGCTCTATCTGTCCCTTGGACTTGTCAAGGTCATCTCCACCTTAGGGACTTGCATGTGTTCCTCTGCCTGGAAAGCCCTTCCTTTAGATCTTTTTCCTGCTTGCCATTTGGGTCTCAGTTCAAGACCCTTGGTCAGAGAGTTCATGACTATCCAGGACTCTGCCCTCTGCCCTACGTCATCTTCTTAGCACTTATCACTATTGTGCATCTTCCCCTTCATGTGTCTACATGTTTACCACTGTCTCCTCCAACAGAAGGTAAGTTCCACGAGCTCAGGGAGCTTTTTTCTCTTATCCATACTGCATTGCACCTCCTTGAACAGCTCAATAATTGTTGAAGAAGTGGGGAATGAGCAGGGATTCAAACTCCAGAGCTTGGGCTACCACCTCTCACAAGAGAAGTTCAACATCTCTCTGTCTCCTTTTAAATATTGTCTCTTATCTATTGCTGGGCCTGCAAACCAGGAGGGTCCATTCATACCTTCATTGGGGTGAAAATTAAGAACCTGTCTTTTCTTACATCCCTATTCCCCTCCCAAAAGAACAAGCTAACTATTGTCCAAACACTATTTATTAAAAAGCTGTCTTTTTTTGACCTAGTGTGGAAAGTGAGTGGGAATCACGAGATTAATGGTGAGTTAAATTTAATATATTTTAGGCTGTTCTTCTGGACTATTCTGTTACATCTTATATTAGTAGCTCACAAATTTAATTACTGTACCTTTAAAAAATATGAGTAATATCTTAATAAATGGATCCTCTTCACACCTCTTTTATTTTTTCTAAACATTTCTAAACTATTTTTGACTATTCTATCAGATGGTTTTGATTTTTAGACTCTTTTTGAAAAGTTAAAAGATGTCTGGTTCAGATTTTGATTTGCATTGCATTAAACCTCTAACCTAATTTTGGAAGAATTCATCTTTACACCATCTTTCTTCCAGTGAACTGCTAGATTTCTTGGAGATCTGCAGTTTTAACTTTTTAAGTTTTAACTTCACATTTTTTGCTCTTATTATGGATGGAGTTAGTTTCCATTCTATGCCCCATCCCCTCAATGGTTTGAAATTCATATGTAGATTTTAGTTCAGGGAAGATTAATGGCTAAGCTACAAACCTCTGAAATGGGAAGTTCCACCGTAAATCTCAGAACCACTTGAACCATACTGTGTAATTATGCCAAATGATGTAGATTTATGAATAGATCTGGTAGGAATATTTTCTTTGAATAAAACGGATTTTTTATTTTGCATTTAACTGTGTTCAAGATTGCTATATTCTTGTACAGGTTCTTTATACATCAGGTAAATGTTCATGATCTGACCTCATCTATGCTTTCAGTGCTGCCTGGGAATTCCAATATTTCTCCACATTGTTTTCTTTGCATTTGATGCAGTAGCTATTTTAAACCCTCTCTACAATGTTGAACTTCCAATTCCACTATCCCCTCACTTTCAGAAGACACGTTTGCCTCAGAAAGACAGATGGGGAGGGGGTGGGGGGTAGGGGGACAGAGAGGTAATAAACATATGGAACATAAAACAAAATCTCCTCACCTTCCTGACATGAAATTTACCCACTTAATTGTGAGGTAGGAGGTGGGACTCAACTCTGGAGGCTGGGCTCAGACACTGGACTAAACTGAGGACTAGTTAAAACAGGGCCAGGATAGAAGCAGCTTTCCATAAGACACCCCACCAGTGTGCTATGTCAGTTTACCACTGCCACGGCAACACCCGGAGGTTACCACCCCTTTTCATAGCAACAATCTGACAAGTTGCCACCTTCATATAAATTTCTTCATAAACTGCCCCTTAACTTACATGTAATTAAAAGTATAATTACTATATTTATGTAAATATGACTGCAGAAGTGCCTCTGAGCTGCTGCTCTGGGCACACTGCCTATGGGGTAGCCTTGCTGTGCAAGGAGCAGTACCTCTGCTGCTGCTATACACTGCCGCTTCGATTATAGTTTCTGTTTAGCATCCTCCACTCACCCTTGAATTCTTTCCTGGGCAAAACCAAGAACCCTCTTGGGTTAAGCCCTAATTTTGGGGCTCACCTGCCCTGTATCACTTGTATCTGGACCAATCTATCTTTGCTGTTCCAATGCCTATGTCCCATCTGTTATCTGAACTCCATCTCCCCGTATCTCCAAGAATCCCTTATTGTTGGGCATTCAGGTTGTCATTTCCCTACAATAAAAACACAATGCTTGATGAACTACATTGTAATATACCCCTGGGTGCTTCTCCAGGTTTTTCTTTGGATAAATAATTGAAAGTACAATTGCCAGATCAAAGGGTATGCACACTTTGATTCCTTTGGATTACCAAGTTATCAGACTCTAATATGTGCTCCCACTATTTTATGGTGGCAGGCTGCCTGTTTTCCTGAACCCTTACCAACACTAAATGTCATTCTTTTCGTTTCTTGATACAGAGTCTCACTTTATCACCCAAGGTGGAGTGCAGTGGCACAATATCAGCTCACTGCAACCTCCATTTCCTGGGCTTAAGTGATCCTCCCACCTTAGCCTCCGGAGTAGCTGGGACCACAGGTGCTCACCACTATGGCTGGCTAATTTTTGTATTTTTTTGTAGAGAGGGGTCTTGCTACATCGCCCAAGCTGGTCTCAAACACCTGGGCCCAAGCGATATGCTTGCCTTGGCCTCCTAAAGTGTTGGCATTACAAGAGTGAACCAATTATCCTTCTTTTTAACCATCCAATTTATTAGGCAAAAGTGGCATCTCATTAATTTAATTTGCATTTTTACTGATTGAGCAAATGATAAACTCTCCCTTGTTCATGGCCATTTTCTCTGTGCTTCAATAGTGCCAGGCACACTGACACACTCAATAAACATTTGTTGAATTAAAAAAAATGAATGTGCTAACCATATGGCAAGTTCTGGGCAAGGTGTTATATTAAATAAAAATTGTAATACAATTAAAGTTGAATATCTTTTCATATGCTTATTGTCCATTTACATTTTCTCTTTTTTTTTTTTTTTTTTTTTTTTGGTGACTTGCCTGCTTTGTACATTACCCTATATCTGTTGGAGTTTGATATGGTTTGGGTCTGTGTCCCTGCCCAAATCTCATGTCAAATTGTAATCCCCAATATTGGAGGTGGGGCCTGGTGGAAAGTGATTGGATCGTGGGGGCAGATTTCCTCTTTGGTGCTGTTCTCATGATAGTGAGTGAGTTGTCTTGAGATCTGATTGTTTAAAAGTGTGTGGCACCTCCTCCCTCACTCTCTTCCTCCTGCTCCAGCCATGTAAGACATGCCTGCTTCCCCTTTGCCTTCTGCTATGATTGTAAGTTTCCTGAGGCCTCTTCAGCCATGCTTCCTGTAGAGCCTGCAGAACTGTGAGCCAATTAAACCTCTTTTCTTTATAAATTACCCAGTCTAAGGTTTTTTCTTTATAGCAGTGTGAGAATTAACTAATACAGAGTTATAAAGATCTTAATTCTTCACCCATTATATATTTAAGCACTATGTCTTCTTAACTATTCTTTTAATTTTATGGTTTTGATTAACATAAGTTCTTAATATTTATGCAGTCATATGGATTAAAGACTTACATGTTAGACCTAAAACCATAAAAACCCTAGAAGAAAACCTAGGCAATACCATTCAGGACATACGCATGAGCAAGGACTTCATGTCTAAAACACCAAAAGCAATGGCAACAAAAGACAAAATTGACAAATGGGATCTAATTAAACTAAACAGCTTCTGCACAGCAAAAGAAACTACCATCAGAGTGAACAGGCAACCTACAAAATGGGAGAAAATTTTTGCAACCTACTCGTCTGACAAAGGGCTAATATCCAGAATCTACAATGAACTCAAACAAATTTACAAGAAAAAAACAAACAACCCCATCAAAAAGTGGGCGAAGGATATGAACAGACACTTCTCAAAAGAAGACATTTATGCAGCCAAAAAACATATGAAAAAATGCTCATCATCACTGGCCATCAGAGAAATGCAAATCAAAACCACAATGAGATACCATCTCACACCAGTTAGAATGGCAATCATTAAAAAGTCAGGAAACAACAGGTGCTGGAGAGGATGTGGAGAAATAGGAACACTTTTACACTGTTGGTGGGACTGTAAACTAGTTCAACCATTGTGGAAGTCAGTGTGGCGATTCCTCAGGGATCTAGAACTAGAAATACCATTTGACCCAGCCATCCCATTACTGGGTATATACCCAAAGGATTATAAATCATGCTGCTATAAAGACACATGCACACATATGTTTATTGTGGCACTATTCACAATAGCAAAGACTTGGAACCAAGCCAAATGTCCAAAAACGATAGACTGGATTAAGAAAATGTGGCACATATACACCATGGAATACTATGCAGCCATAAAAAATGATGAGTTCATTTCCTTTGTAGGGACATGGATGAAGCTGGAAACCATCATTCTGAGCAAACTATCGCAAGGACAAAAAACCAAACACCGCATGTTCTCACTCATAGGTGGGAATTGAACAATGAGAACACATGGACACAGGAAGGGGAACATCACACTCTGGGGACTGTTGTGGGGTGGGGGATGGGGGAGGGATAGCATTAGGAGATATACCTAATGCTAAATGATGAGTTAATGGGTGCAGCACACCAACTTGGCACATGTATACATATGTAACAAACCTGCACGTTGTGCACATGTACCCTAAAACTTAAACTATGATAATAATAAAGTTTAAAAAATAAAATAAAACAAACAAAATATTTATGCAATCATATATTTCAGGCCTTTAAGGTTTCTGGCCTTTCTTGTCCTAATGTTATAAAATATTCATCTATAATTTATTCTAGTAATTGTGTAGCTTCTTTTACTTAACCTTTAAACTCCTGCCCATTGAGAATTTATTCTTGTATGTAGTATGATGTATGAATCTAATTTAGTTTTTTCTCAAATGATTAACCAGCATGTGCTACATAATTTGTTAATCTAATATTCCTTAAAGGATCTTTCTTTGATATTAAATGTACCATTGTCATGTCATATTAAATTTCAGCATTTTCTATTGTGTTTCATTAATCTGTTTGCTTATTCCAGTGTTAGCACCACTGCTATAATTACAGTTGGAGTTTTCTTGGCTATATTTTATGCACTTACTCTTCCAGATGAACTTTAGAATAACTTCATCAAGTTTGCAAAAAATCTCATTAAGATGATTGGAAATCTGTTAAATATATGTATTAATTTGGGGAAAACCAACTTCTATAAAAGTGTGAAGTTTTCCCATCTATACACAGAATATGTTTCCGCACTTATTCAGTCTTTATGTCTCCTAGCAAAACTAGTTAATTTTATTCAGATGAGTTTCATACATTTGTAGTTAAGTTATTCCAGGGCATTATGTATGTGTGTGTATGTATATATATATATATATATATATATATATATATATATATATATAAAATATATATATATGTGTGTGTGTGTGTGTGTAAATGTGTATGTGTGTATGTATATTACATACAGTAAAATTTAGCCTTTAAAGGCATATAGTTCTATGAATTTTGACAAAAGCATGCAGTTGTGTAGCTACCACCAAATCAAGATATAGAATATTTCCATCAGACCAAAAAATTCCCTTATGTCTCTTTATATCAATCTTCTCCTCAGCCCATTCTCTTGCAACCACTGATATGTGTTTTGTCCTTATAGTTTTGCCTTCTCCAGAATGTCATGTAAGTGGGAAGTATGTAACCTTTTGAGTCTTTTTTCCCGCAGCATAATGCTGTTAAGATTCATTGACATTGGTGCACTTATACTCGTTCACCAGCTGGTGAGCTGGTGGACAATTGTGTTGTTTCCAGTTTTTGGTGATCATGAATGTTTTTTGTGTGTGTCTGTGTGTGTGGACATAGGTCTTTATTAGAGAAATAAATACTTAGGAGTAGAATTGTTGGGTTATATGCCAAGTGTATGTTCAGTGCTGTGTGTACTTTTGCGGCTATTGCAAATATAATTTTTTCTTTATATTTTCTGAGTGATTATTGCTGTATATATGAAATTTTTGCTTATGTATTACTCTTTTGTGATAGGCCATCCTACCAAACTTATTTCTAATAATCTTTTCAGTTGATTTTATTATCTTAACTCAGGAATCTAAAGTCATCATAGTTTTGTTTTCTGCTATCTAATATTGGTAATTTTTATTTCCTATTGCACTGGAGAGAATGCCAGACCAATGTTGAATCATGAAAGTAGTAGAAGACATCTTTGTTTTCTTTCTGTCATTTAATAGTAATTTCTAAACTTGGGGTTTATGGATGGGCTTCATGCAATCTGTGACTTCCCAATTTGATGAAAATCAATTTCATTTTTTTATGCTTTATGGAGAGCGGGTTCACAATGTTCATCAAACTTGTAAAAAGGTCTGCAATCCCCAAAAGGCTACCAGTCACTGCTGTTGAGTTTTTATCTTCCTACTTTATCAGAAATGGTTGTTTATCAGCTGTTTGAAATTCATTCTTCATTCAGTATTTATGAGTATTTTATGAATTTCCTACCATGTCAAACATCAAGCTAAGAATTTAATAAAATAATCATGTTTTCTTCCTTTAGCCTGTAAATATAACAAAAATGTTAATAGATATCCTAAAATTAATATTATTACATTCTTAGACTACATCCTGTCTGGCTGTCATAAATTATTACTTTAATTCATAGTTAGAAACAATTTGCCAATATGTTGAGAATTTTTGATGTCTATTCACTCATGAATTAATTTGTAAATTTTTGGTGGTGTGTGATTTTTTGTGTGTGAGACTCAGAACTGGGATGCTTTCCATTTTTTTAATTGCTCAAGAACAGTTTTATTAGTATGAAGGTAATTAGCACCACGAACGTTTGATGGATTTTATTGTCAAAGATACCTGAGACTAGCTTCTTTCTGAGAAATAATTCCTTGACTACTTTGCCAATTTCTTCTGTGGTCTGTTCAGGTTTTGTAAACCTTCTAGAGTCAGTTTTGCTCATTTACTTCTTTAACAACAATACATATTTGCTAGATAACTACAAATATTTGTCTGTAATTTAAAACAAATCTTAAAGCCACACATGTTATTTTTTACACGTATGTATATGCTATTTGATTAACAAAATACACATTTATGTAAAAGCATTTACAAATTCATCTCTTTGTCATGTGTTTCTTTGATCAGTAGTAAAATGTGATGTTCATAGTGTTTTTGATATTTAAAATGAGTTGTCATTAAGAAAAAAAATCCAGGGATTCTGGTGCTTTGAAGTGGATTTTCTTCATCATGTTACAGAACTATCTTTCTATTACACTGAGAGGGTTTTCCCCCCAATGGAATATGTGTTGAATGTTTCCAAAAGACATTTTGGCATCAGTTGAGATTATGATGTGCTTTTAAAAAATAGTACTTACTAAATGAGTATAACAGTGGGGTTTCCTGCTATTCACTTTATTTTGCATTCTTGGAACAAAATATATGAGTTATGGTATGTGAATCTCTTAATGTTGTGGAATTTAGTTTGCTAGTATTTTCTTTAGGATTTTGGCATTTCCGTTTATAGGAGAAACGGGTGTACATGTTTTTCCTTCTTTAGTTTTTATATTTTCTACCCAGAGATGTTTTCCAAGAGCACAATCTTGCTTATTCTGCAAAGCTTCAGAGTCACAGTATCTATGCTTCCTCTTACCTCTCCCCAGCGTTTCTTACTTTTGGGCTTCTGTGGGGTGAGAGTTCTGAACCAGTGCCTTGCTTGCCAGGCCTTTCTACTTAAAACCTTTTGGAGTAACTCTGCCTTTCTTTCTTCAAACCATTTCTGTCCAGCATCTCATTCTACTGCTGTGGCTGGGGTGATATCCTTATCCTGGCCTTCCAGGTAATGCCTGCATTTTAGAGGCTTGAAGTATGTCTGCATTGGAGTTCTGGGCAATCTTTCCCAGTCCATCTTTGCCTAAAGAGGAAGATATTCTGCTTCTCTCTTTTGAAGATCCAAAAGAGAACCTAGAACTCTATCTTCCTGGCCTGGCAGGCCCTTCCCTAGGACACAGTTGTGGGAATGAAGAGTGCAGATGAGCATGAATGAAATAAAACCTCCTCACCTGTTCAAGCACTCTGGATAAGAGCTGTAGCTCTAAGTGGACAGCTAAAGCTTCTCTTTTTTCCTAGGGCAGCAGTTAAATAGACAGTTGGGAAAGAGGTGTTAATTCCTCAATAGGCATAAGGCCTATTGAAATCAGTGTAGTTTGGAAGTTATAAGTCAGTATCTAATACTATATTCACTCTAGCAGTAAGTGAAGATGAGGCACTCTTCTGAAATAAAATGCTCCCTGGGTTGTAGGGTGCTGTAGCCTCACATGAATGGTTAAGTTATTTTATGAACGTCAGACATATATAGACAACGATACTTGATTTTATGTTAACACCATGACATCAACAAATTTTTTTTCACAAGCACATTAAACTTGAGAAACCAGAGTCTCTGGGTTTTCTCAGACAACAGTCAATAAATCTGCTTCCTTCACCATTCACCAGGATTGGGTTTCCATGTGGCTTGGCTCTAGTAATTGGGGGGCAGCCATCAGAAGATGCACAAATTATTCTCTTGTTTAGGGGAGAAAGACATTTATTAGTTTAGAGAAGTCTCAGTACTTTGATGAAAATTATTCTATGAAATGATAAATAAAATTCAATTTTTTCAAAATTGAAAAAAATGAAAATTACTCTATGAAACTCTAAATGTAGTTTCACTCTTTAAAGTGAAACTATGAGTCAGTTTGAATCCCTGCAGAGATGTCTGCTGGTTGTTGACTCCCTTGTGAAAATAAAGCACAATGGCTCAGCTACTTGTGATAATTAATAAACAAAGACTCTTAATAAAAATGCTTTAAGGACACTAGATGTACAAATTTGACTATAGTGCAAGATTTTCCTAATCTAGGCCTTTAATAAATGCTCATGTTCCAAAAGATTGATACATAGGACATCTTTTTTCATCTACAGTATTGCAAATGATACTTATGTTAAGAAGCAAAAACCTATGTATTCTATCGCATATCTACAACTTTGGAATTTTGGAGCCAGAAGGGACCTTGGGGACTGCTGGTCCAGGCCTGGAAAAATTAGGGGGTTTGGGGAGACTTGGCCCCTGATGTAGTCTCCAAACTCAGGCCAGGAGTCCTTAGTCCTCTTTTGCATCCCCCTTTAGGAGGGCAGCAGCTGCGTCCCTAGAGGCAAAAAGAACCACTTTAGCCAGGACTTTCTTCCAGAACCATTGGCATGGCTGTTCAGTGGTTGGGGAGAAACGAGTGCTCATTCCCAGGCTTTGAAGACCATGTGGTTTGGAAGGCTGACCGCTGAGGTCTGGTGGAACCAAGTTATTACTTAAAGAAGAAACATGACCTTTTGGGAATCCAGTTTCCAAGAAGTTTTGATCTGGCTCCAAGCTCGTTCTTCAGCTGGTTAAATTCAGGTTGCAGTGCCCATCCTTAAGTAATCACTGGGCCCCAGCATCCAGCCAAAGGAAGACATTTAATCCAACTGTAGGGATATGTTTGCATACAGCAAAGGTTTGAATCACATCAGGAAAAAGTATGTTTCTAAAATGGTTCTTCTGCTGCTGGACAGGATTCTGTAGCTCCAATTAGATGGGATGTTATACTGAGGACATTGAGCTGCCACTGATGTCACTGTGTCTACGGGCATATCCACATTCCTCTGCTTTGGCTCCCAAACAGCAGGGACAGTGATGGAGGCCCTGGCTGAGCTCCCCCTCTGTGTGAGGCAAGCCTCCTTTTGGTGAGATGAGGCCTATCAGTAGCCAATTTGGTGGTTAGACTTCCTCACTGCTTATTCACAATACCAAAGTAAGTATTTGCGATTTATGGATGACACTTTTCTTCTGTTTGTCTTAGTCTAGGCTCCCCCAGAAGATGACCCTGAGACAAAAATTGGGGTGCACATGGCTTATGTGGGAGGCAATCCCAGGAAACAGTGGCAGAGGAGTGGGGAAGTGGGACAGGAAAGGGAACAGAGTCTGTAGAGAAGACTGCCGTATCATGTAGTTTATCAAGTAGTTTATCACTGTGGGTGCCTCCAGCTGAGGCAGTCAGTGCATGGCTCAAGCCTCAGAGTCACCATCCCAACCGAAGCAAAGCAAAGGAGCTGGGATATTTACACCCTTCCCATCAGTCACTAGTTAGTGCCTCACTCCCGCTCCTGGGAGTGGTATTTCTCTGGCACTTCCAGCTAGTCTTCTGTGTAGGAAGAGGAGCTCTTGCTACTCAGAGAAGGTCCTCAGGTAGTTGGACTTTGGGCTAGTGTGCACTACCATGGTTAAGAAACAAGGGTGGCGCAGTGGCGCTTCTGGAATAGTCACATTACCGTAGATCTACTCCCCAAAGAGTGTGTGTGTGTGTCTGTGTGTGTGTGTGTGTGTTGCTCAGACTAGTGGTGTTGGGGTCATGGGGACATCACAGTTAACTCTGATCCTGAAGATGGTAACCTAGGGGTCTGATGTAGTGATTTCCACACTTACACTCTGCATAGCATCAAGGAGCACCAAATGTAGTTACAGACCCACAGCATGACACTGCAAGTGTTGATGGGGATCAGCACTAAGCTGTTCCTTCAGTACCAGCAGATGGATGTTATTTCATGACAGTGAAGCTTATTTTTCTAAAGCTACAATAATTAAGATTTGCTGGGCTCCTGCTATATGCTAAATCCTACACTACATAATTCATTCCTCACAACCCTATAAGGGGTTATGATTATCCCCATTTTACAAATGAGGCCAAGATGTGTTTATTCAATCAACAATGAAAACCTGGACTGGGTCCTAGGGATCAATTAAAAAGCAAGACAGACATGAGCCTGTTGACAGGCTGTAAGCAAGTGCAGGAACTGTAGGGCAGCCTGGCCACTGAGTGGAGAAAGAATTAGAAGGGCCAAGAAGGGCCTGCAGGGTCAGGAGACCAGTTAGGAGGTGAGGTAGAGTAAGCAGGCAAGAAATGAATTGTCAGGTTCTAAGTAGTAGCAGTGAGGTAAGCCATTAACCAATGCCACAGAGTTTGCAAACTGCATGGTTTTGTTTTTCTTTTTCCTTTTATTTATATATTTATTTTTGAGACAGGGTCTCACTCTGTCATTGCCCAGGCTGGAGTGCTGTGGTGCAATCATGGGTCACTGCAGCCTCAACCTCCTGGGTTCAAGTCATCTCAGCCTCTCGAGTAACTGGGACCACAGACATTAACCACCATGCTTGGCTAATTTTTTTGTTTTTATTTACTTATATATTTTTTGAGACAGGGTCTCACTCTGTCACCCAGGCTGGAGTCCAGTGATGAGCCTCAACCTCGTGGGCCCAAGTGATCCTCCCACCTCAGCCTCTTACATAGCTGAGACTACAGGTGCACGCCACCAAGCCTGGCTAATTTTTTAGTAGAGATGGGTTTTTGCCGTGTTGCCTAGGCTGGTCTGAAAATCCTAGGCTCAAGCGATCTGCCTGCCTTGGCCTCCCAAAGTGCTGGGATTATGGGCATGAGCCACTGCGCCTGGGCGATTATGCTTCAAACTCAGTCTAATCCTAAAATATATCTCAAAACTTTTCTGTTTTTAAATAATATTCAATACTTAACCCTATATTTCTGTTTTTCTTTAACTACAGTAGTACCTGCCTGATGGGGAAACCATATATTATATAGTTATATATATATGTGGCTGAGCCCCTGAACCCTCCAACATATATATATAGTCTATATGGCGCTCTCTCTCTATATATATACGTGTATATATATATATGTGTGTGTGTGTGTGTGTGTATATATATATATACACACACGTATATATATGTATATACACATACACGTATATATATGTATATATATATACACGTATATATATGTATATATATATACACGTATATATATGTATATATATATACACACACACATATATATATATGGCTATATGGACTTTTACATGCAAAAGAATATGTTTGAATATTTAATTCATTGACTCATGGAAGACTAGGAAGGCAAGACTTGAACTTTGAAAAGCTGACACATTCGGGAATCTGAATAAAGCCAACTCTCTTAATTTCCTGCCTAATTAGGGCAGGGGCAGGATGGGGGCGCTTGTCCAAGTCCCCAGGAAGTCCCCCCAGTAGCTCCTCCTTTCTCTGCTGACACTCTGCCCAGGGGAGAATAGCGTACATTGGTGACTGCCTCCAGGAGGTTGCTCCTTGCAGAATGATGAAGGGTGAGGTTGCATGACTCACAGCCTGGCATGCCACTGGTACAGTGAGAGTTTTTAGAGCCTTGGGACCATAGGCAGCAAAGCCAGTGGGAGATAAAGCCATTGTAAGAAAGAATGTGATATTCTCCAGTTACCATCTGGCTCTAAGCTCCAGCGTACAAATCTGACTGTAATGCAGCATCAGTTCAAGTAACAGAGAGGATCAGAGCCCTTACCATTTGCAATAGGTTGGAGTCCATATCCCAGTGAGGGGCTCCTCGTGGAGAACAAGCTCCACTCTCCAACTCACAGACAAGCCAGGGAAAGATTTATGGGTGAGGACTTGATGGTTATGGAGGGTGGGATGGGAAAAGTGAAATACAGAGTCTGAGGTGTTGGAGGGTTCAGGGGCTCAGCCACGGGTAATGGTCTTCACTTCATCCTCCACAGGACCCCAGCTCGGCTGCTGGGCAGATGAAGGCAGCTCCTTCACTCATGCATGTGCATTACCAGCAACTTCTTAGTTTACACAGTATATACTTGGGACACAGAAAACACCTGGGAGGTTTTTCTCTAACAGAATCATCACTCTGAAGATAAAATAGAATCTCTGGCTCATTGTAAAGGAAGGGGCCTGTGATTTAAGGCCAAGCAGGTTTGTGATGCAGCCTTAGCTCTGAAACTTACCAGATGTGAGCCCTGGGTAAGGACCTCAATGACTCAGGTTCAGTTTCCTCTTCTGCAAAAATGGGCTGCTTCTATTTCAAAGGGTTATTTAAGGACCTAATGAACATGTGTACAGGCACACGCACAGAGGAGACACAGAGGAGACACTCAACAAATGTTAGTGTGTTCCCTTCCATTGGAGGCTGGCAGGGATATTCTGACTCTAAAGTGGCAAGTCTAGCATAAATGTGCTTTGAGAAGCTGTAGAGGAAACCCCAATGCTGGAGGACAGCAGGCAGAGCACTGACAATGGGGAGGGAGTGTGGGATTCTTTTATGCCAGAGGTTGAGTTTATCTTCTGTGGTTTTCCAACTGTGTCCTTTGGAACTCAGGGGCCTACTGGGGGTAGGAAAAGGGGAGGAGGAGTGTGGGTCTGAAAATCAAGCGGTTAGGGCTTTGGGGACCCTGAGACAAGAATAATTTTTTTCTGTGTGAAACACTGGGATTCCATATAAAGATTGTTTGAAAAAGGATTCCGACGCTAAAACAACCAAATCGAAATCTGAAAACTGCAGAGAGAAACAATCCAGAAGGCCACTTTGAACACAGAGGCTCCATAGCATGGAGCAGAGCTTCATCACTGATTAAAAGAGGGGTTGGCTAGATGACCTTAATCCATGGGCAAAATTCTTCATGTACCAGCAGATGGATGTATCTGCTCAGGGAGAGGGTGGAGCAGGAAATAATACTGATTTTTACCAGTGAGAGGGATAAGGGGCACTAAATCATAGACTCAAAGCCAAGGGGCTGTCTTGATGAAAGATAGTGGAAGGTAAGAGTTCTTGGGAAACTTCCATGATGCTGTTTTCCTGATTGTACCCCCCAGTGCAAGTTAAGAAGGGTTCTCTTAGGCTCTCCCAAATGCACAGGGATGGGCATTTTAGAGAGAGCTCTTTGGGGACCCAGCAGCTTTCTGCACCAATATAGGATCTTTCTCCAACACCCCACTGCAGAAGCTTGAGCTGTCTGCAGGTGGCTTCACAGCCCTTACCTTCTTCAGCTCTTCCTGGACACTCTGGCTGTTGTCTTCAGAGGACAGACTTTCCTTCTGGTTCTCAGATTCTGTCTTGGGCTCAGACTCCTGATCCTCCCCTGAAGAAGTCTCCTTTTCACTCATTTTCATTGCTAACTCGTACAGCCTGTTTCTCCGTTTCTCCTCTGTGGTGTCTGTGAGAGTCTGGGGATCCCGAGCCTCATTGCTGATGTCTGTCTCTGATAAATCATCCGACACCTAAATGAAAGCCAGAATCATGAGATGAGGAGCCCTCTGCTACAGCCATGTTGCTTCTTGTTCCCAATAACCCCTGAGTAAAGGAACATAGGAACATATAGTCTAGGAAAGTAACAGCTTTCTTACCTGGTCTGCTTTCTCTTCAGATGGACTTTTAGTTTTACCTTTACTTTCTCAAATGCATGAATTTGAGAAGGTAATCCTCTTTACTCAAAAAAGTGTTTGAATTCTTTTTTTTTTTCATTCACAGACTACTCTCTGAGCTCCTACCATGGGCAGCACTGTGCTGGTGCAAAGGATGCTTGGAGAACCTGACCAGCCCTTGCCTGGGCCAGCCCTGTAATGAATGAGACACACTAAAACTTTCCATATTCACTTTTAAAAATTGATACCTAATAATTGTACATATTTATAGGATACATGTGATATCTGATACATGCCTACATTGTGTAATGATCAAATCAGGATAATTAAGATATCCATCACTTCAAACATTTATCATTTCTTTGTGTTGAGAACATTCCAAATATACAATAAATTATTATTTTTAGAGACAGGGTCTCATTGTGTTGCCCAGGCTGGAGTGCAGTAGCTATTCACAGACATAATCCCATCACTGATTAGCATGGGAGCTTGGAGCTGCTTTGTTTCCAGTCTGGGCTAGTTCACCCCTCCTCAGGCAATCTGGTGGTCTCCCGCTCCCGGGAGGTCACCATATTGACGCCAAACTTAGTGCAGACACCCAACCAGCACAGCACATTACAGCCCAGAGCTCCTAGGCTCAAGCGATTCTCTTTGCCTTAGTCTTCCAAGTAGCTGGGACTACAGACACATGCCACCATGCGCAGCCCAAATAAACAATAAATTATGTTAACTACAGTTCTCTTACTGTGCTATCTAACATAAGAACTCATTCCTTCTATCTGACTGTATTTTTGTAACCAGTAACCAATAGGGTGGGAATGGAGAGGAAGAGGCATTGGCTAATGAGTACTAACTTTTCATGGTGGTTCAATGCAGAGAAGATGATGTTTGTGGCTGGGATGTGGGGAAGGGAAGGGATTCTCACAGCCCATAAATAAGCACTTGATGGGAGGGGTTGAGGATTAGGGAAAACTTCCCTGCGGAAGGGACTCTGAGTTGAGATTCAAAGTTAACAGTCAACCAGCTAAAAGGAAGAGAGGGAAGAACAATATTCTAGGCAAAGGGCCAAGATTTTGAGATGGTACAAGGACCTTGCACATATGTAAGGAATATTGTTTGACATTCCCTTAATAATTATATCTCCTGCTCCAACTCTCCACTTGCTGAATATCTCCTAAACTCCTTCTGTGAGTAAACCCTTTACCAGGCTTGGGGAACTCCAGGAAGACATAGAGAGTGTGACTCTTACTCTATTCTTGGCCTTCAGTTAGACAGATGTGTGTTGAAGTGTTCATATGTACATAATATGGCATACCATCGGGGTCACTGGACCCAATTTTACTTTTTGAGTTTCCTCTTGGAGTTGTTTTATGTATTTGTACGGTTTGATATTTTATAACTTTTATTCTCTTAGAGGGCTTCTGAAGAACAAGAAGAGAACTTACTTATGTTTTAAATAAAATATAACTCATTACAATTACCATATGGGTTCACTTGACCTTTTTATAAATCTAAGATACATCATGGGATCTTTGTGATCTTATTTTTCCTATCTTTTGAAACATTTTGCTATTTCATCATCCAGGGAATTATTTCTCATCATTACTCACCAATTATTCCCAATTATGCTAAAGAAAGATGAAAAAATAAATAGAATAATGAAATTGCCTAGAAGGATGATTCAATAGTGACATAAATCATCACTATTTTGAATCTGCTTTTAGCTTTCACTGCATACAATTGAAAATTCCAAAAACTGACAGAGAACAACATTTCACAATCACTAGATGACTCAAAAGATGAATTCAAAGAGGACAGCAGGTCTCTAGATTCTAACAATAATGGTGAAATTGGTTATATTATTGAAATCTCAGACTAAGAGTCTTCAGATGACAGTGTCCTAGGTGAATTTTCTCAAGCTCAAGAATTGATGAGTAAATATTATCAACAATATTAGTAAGGATGAAAAAGAAGTATGGTCTTTTCATCCAGTTACTCATTCAGCAGGAAGGACTTCATCACACAACATTTTGCAACAATAATCTGGATATCTTGCTTTTTTAAAAAGATATGTGACATGTTCTTTCATACTTTGTTTGTGTATCAATTTTACTTGAGACAGTTTGTAATTGGATAAATTCTAAAGGGAGACATCTATCCAAAGGTGATTAGAAGAAAACAGATGACATAGAAATGAAAAATATCACTGAATAATTAAGAGAAAAACATCTATTGGAAGTGACTATTTTTTTTTCTGGTCCTGAGTGAAAATCAGTGATGAGGGACTCATGTGAAGTAACCTGTGCTCCTAGCATGTTTGAGAAAGGGGAATTCCTTTGCCTGGGATGTGCAGGTGGTCCACAGGAAGAATGACCTCTGAGCAGGTTCTCAAAATATGAGGGACATTTTAATATGTCGTCATGGGACAGGCATTCTTGATGTAGAAGCAGCAAGACCAATAGGACCCAGGGTGCATGAAGCTGCTTGCATAGTTTGAGGGATAAGGTTCAGAAGTGGAGAGAGTGGGGAGCCAGGTGGTATGGAAAAATCAGGCCTGGGTCAGTCTGCAGAGCGTTAAACACCAGTCTAAGGAATAGGACTTTAACTATCAAATAGATTTTCTGCTACTGTTGTAGTATGCACTAAATTATGCAGGAAGTCAGCAACTAGTTACAAACTCAGCCATGGTGACCTTCTCTTATCATCTCTACACATGGAACTGTCAATTTATCTTAACTCTAGTTTACTTTTATTAATATTAAGCTTTGGCTCAATTATTGCTTGAATATACAGACAATGAAAGACTAATTTACAAGGCTAAAATAGTTAACCCAAAAGATGAAACCTGCTTAACATGATTTGTCCACGTTTCATGTCTATTTATCACATGAGAAATTATGAAGAATTGCTGTGATTCAGTCTACATCCAGCAAACACATGTTGAGCACCTACTATGTGCTGAGCACTGTGCTTTACTGGGGCTCAAAGGTGAGAGTGACACTGTTCCTGCCCTACTGGAGTTGACGGTGTGGTGGAGAGAGGAACATTGAACCAGACAATTGTAACACACTGGGGAACAGAATAACCACATGTAAGGTTTTGATGAGACTCAGAGGAAGGGCCCTCATCTGGTTGGTTGAGGTGGATATTGTCAGGAAGGGGAATTAGAATAGATAACTGAGCAAATCTTAAAGAATGGAATCCTAAAGATTATCAAGACATACAAGTTTTATTGGAGCAGCAAGAATCATAATGCTAAGTGATGGTTCTTGAGTTCACAGAAAGACAAATCGTATGCACACAGATCTGATGCCCAGATGATACCATGAGCATAACTGGAAGCACCATTATTAAAAGCCACAAGAACTTCAAAAATAACAGTATTATTTGGCCATATAATATTCATCAAGTAGATTAACAAATATTTACATCTCCAGAGAAAAATAGGTATTTTTAGCCTGCAAAGGGTTAAGCAATCCCTGCCCTATGTTATCAACTCACACATATTTCCCCCCATGAGCTGATTTTAATTTTCATGATAGCTGAGACAATAAATGCTAAGTTGGGATCTTGGCTGATATGGAGTCCATGGATGGGCCTCTGTGGACCCCTGATATTGTTCACAAACTTTGGTATGCACGCACACTTTTCTAGGATGAGCATTATTAGTTTTCATTAGATTTTCACAGGGGTCCATGCCTCCAAACGGCTAAGAAATACTGATAAGAATAAATCTACTTCCTAGTAAGACAACAATAGAGGGGTACGTGTTGATTGAACAGGAAATGGGAAGCTTACAGTTGAATTCAGAGAAAGGAGCAGTAAGGAGGTTTGTGTTTAAAGCCAGTTGGGAACCAGAATTTAGAGAAAATAAGGGTGCTGCTGAGTCTTCAGCCAAAAAAAAAATGCTCTTCTACTTCAAAGGGACCCTGATTATCACAACAACTTCACTGAAACACCAAACATACTCACTGTGTTGGACAGTGAGGGACATAAGCAGATCACAGAGAAGATTATGAACTCAGTGGAGAATCCTGAGGAGCTTTTGCAGGGAGGGTGGGAGGCGGTGGGAAAGAATGAAATTCCTTATGGGCAAACTGGATAACTATGAGCAATGTCTGTATCTGGGTACAAAACATTTTAAGTAATCTGAAAATCAGAGTTGCTTGCCCACTGGTGTGGTGTCTCAAACTCCCCACCTTATAAATCGATATTTGTACGTGTAATGGGACCATTATTTTGAAAACAAGAAAGCAGTGCTTTTCATTTCCCATTAAAACTGCATTCCCTTGTGTCCTCATTTTCTTAGGCTAAACCATAAGCATTTTACGCCAGGGAAGGTGAATGTAGATCCAGAACCAAAAGATCATTGATCAGTTCACTCCATTAGCTCTTTAGGGTAACAAAAGGCTCAAAAGACAGATTTTGTGAACATGGACAGAGGGTTTCTAGAGATGAATCTGTTCAAAAGACGAATTTCACTTCTCCTTCTATTGAAATCCAGAGAGAAGCAGCCTTGCAGGATGCCTGTGACCTCTGACCCCCCACCTCATGATGATATGGGGCAGCAGAATCAGAGTGCAATCACCCCTGATGAGAGGCTTCCAAGGGAGGCCGAAGGGGGGCTCCAGGGTCCTTCCTGGCACCTGTGTGGCATAGAGGGCACCCAGAAGCAGGGTCATAGAAGATTGCTGGTGACATTGTAATAAAGTAGCTGTCCTGGGATTGGACAGCCAGGGACAGGTAGCTGACATGTGTGAGAGCCACTCTGGTGCCCGTGGAAGGGGTGCTGGCTTCTATTGGAGCAGGACAGGGAACAGACCAAGGTTCCCAAGTCTTAGACATTGGCAGCAGATGCCAGTGAGGCAGAGAAATGACCTGACGAGCAGGGTCCCCATCACTGCAGAGTCCTGCAAGGACCCAGAGGACACCATCTAGCTCTAAGATGCCCTGCAGCCATGAGGACCCTACAAGCTCCCCAATATGCTCTCCAAGACAGTGAAGGCAGAGAAAGTGGAGGGTTTGGAGGACTGATTATTTACCTAGGAAAGGCGGGTTTAAATGGAAAGAAAAAGGAAAATAATTTAAATCACAAGAGGCCAAGTTTTCTTTGAATCGGTTGATTTACATTCCTAGCTACTCAGAATGGGGAGGCTAATGGAGAAGTTTAAGGCAGTTACTAAGGAACAAAACGTTGCCTCTTCCTTGCACACTTAAATGTAGTGTGTGGCCAGGCGTGGTGGTTCAGGCCTGTAATCCCAGCACTTTGGGAGGCTGAGGCGGGTGGATCATTTGAGGTCAGGAGTTTGAGGCCAGCCTGGCCAAAATGGCAAAACCCTGTCTCTACTAAAAATACAAAAATTAGCTGGATGTGCTCACTTGAACCCAGGAGATGGAGGTTGAAGTGAGCTGAGCTCGTACCACTGCACTCCAGCCTGGGTGACAGAGTGAGACTCTGTCTCAAAAAAAAAAAATATATATATATTTATATATAATATATAAATATATAATATAATATTTATATATTATATAATATATAAATATTATATTATATATTTATATATTATATAATATATTATATAATACTCTATATTTATATATTATATAATATATTATATAATATATAAATATATTATATAATATTTATTATATATAAATATATTATATATAATATATAATATATATAATATATATTATATATAATATATAATATATATAATATATATTATATATAATATATATAATGTATATAATATATAATATATATAATATATATTATATTATATTTATATAAATAATATATATTTATATAAATAAATATATATAAATATATAAATATATAAATATATATAAAAATATAAATAAATAAATAAATATATATAAATATATAAATATAAATATATATAAATAAATAAATATATAAATAAATAAATATATAAAAATATATAAATATATATAAATATATATAAAATATAAATATATATAAATATATAAAAATATATAAAATATAAAAATATAAATATATATAAAAATATAAAAATATATAAATATATATATATTTATATGGAACTTGGAGACCCTGGCTAAACAGAAAGTCATATCTTTAAACACTTAACGATAGAATACTCCTAAGATAAGCCAATATAGTTTCTTAAACAAGAGTCTTCTAATATGTTTTCAGTGGTGTGCAAGTTCTTTACAATAACCTTACATTTTGGTTTTCATCTCATTGATCACCTAAAAAAGAGGTATGTTCTGGATTACCTGGGCCTCAGCCCCACAGCTGGGTGCTGCCATGTGTGTAAGCTCTCCATTCTTATATCCGCATTTATATTTAGGGTGGTGCCAACATTTTTCTTAAATTGACAGTATTTAAAGTTTAATGCATATTTTCTCAAACTGGAGGTCTTCTAAAAATTCTTGAGGAATTTATTGAATTCTTCAGCTTAAGAAACACAAGGATAGAAATAAATGGAGAAGAGCCAGGCGCAGTGACTCACACCTGTAATCCCAGCACTTTGGGAGGCTGAGGTGGGCAGATTATGAGGTCAAGAGATCAAGACCATCCTGGCCAGCATGGTGAAACCCTGTCTTTACTAAAAATATAAAAAAATTAGCTGGGTGTGGTTGTATGCACCTGTAATCCCAGCTACTCTGGAGGCTGAGGCAGGAGAATCGCTTGAACCTGGGAGGTGGAGATTGCAGTGAGCCGACATTGCACCACTGCACTCCAGCCTGGCGACAGAGCAAAACTCAGTCTCAAATAAATAAATAAATAAATAAATAAATAAATAAATAAATAAGTAAATGGAGGTGAGGTGATGGGGATATGAGTGGTGGGGGAAGAAGGTACGAGACATTTCTCACTGCTGAGCACACTGTTTGGGTGCACACTCTACAGGGCACTGTGCACGGGATGTTGCATTCAAACATCCCAGCAGTTCTGGAACTCTGTATTGATGAAGACAAAGGCTGAGTGCACTGCCCAAGGTCACACTAGTGGATGGTTGAGCTGAAGGTGACCTGACCCTGAAGGCCAAGCTCTTCTCTTACACCAAAACAAGACTGGATGCTCCAAATTAAACCGTGCTCACTAAAAGGAAAACAGCAGAGCCACAAAGCAGGGGGAGAACCCAAGAGGCAAGGGGTTTAACCTCTTTTTTCACAAAAGGGCTTAAAGGAGTGAGAAGATAATTTTTCTAGAATTCTTTCTGGAGATGAATACCCTGAGATTTCCTTAGAACACTGTGTTTACCTCAGTAACCCCAGTGATCTGCGCACATTGAAATCCAGCCTACCGTAATTAAAAACATTTTTTTCTCCTATTTAGCCTCATCATCTTCCTTATAAAAGCAACCCCAGTCTGAGAAAAAGTTTTTCATAGAGGCTATCTTTCACCTGCCAGGTTGTTTCAGGAGGCAAAGGGCAGGCTAGGCTCTGGGCTTTCTCCACCTTTTAAAAAAGAGTCCAGATAAAGGATAACTTTCAACAGTCACATGTTAACATTTGTTGAATATATCCTTATGTCCTGGTGGCTCTCCTCATTCCTGTTGATGAAAGATACTGAACCTGACCTAAAAAACAAAGTTTCTGCAGCTTGCTTTTAGATTTTATTTTAGTAGACTTCAGAGAAAAGCTCCAGCTTATAGGTTAAACGACTCTAGGGCACTCAGTGTGGCAAATGTACATAGTTTTCCTTGCCAATCCTTTGGCACAGCTGTTCAGAGGGTGGAGGCAAGTGGATGAGCCGTGGGGCTGCTGGACTCTGCTGCTGATCTGTCTCTCCCAGAGGACTTGGAACGTTTCTGTCCCTGGTGTCTAAAGGTAGAAGTTTTCCCTTTTCCAATGCATTGCTGTTCACCTAAAACTAGTTTTATTCACATGCTGTGAATAAGGCATTTGTTTTCCTCATAATTGGTGTGATAACAGCACCCAGACACATACACAAATATACACCAAACCCTTGGTCAGTGTCACACAGTGGAAATGGAAAGACACCATCTGGAATCTCATAGAAATTAATATTATAATACATTTCCTATTGCCTCAAAGAGAGTCTCTCAAGGTTCTCTCATGGAGAACCCATCATGTGGAAGGACCTGCCTGGTTGGTGGAATTGCACAGAAGGTATGGGGACTAACTACCTGGTGATGAATTTGGTGAAGGATGTTATGAAATCTTAGCACCAGGATGTCATCTGGAAGGCTTATTTTTTTAGCTTTTATTATTACAGATCAGTTGCCTTGGTATATAGATTCCATGATTTCTGAGTCCTTCATATTACATTGATTTAAAAAACAAGTCTGAATCTAACCTGGAGCACATCTCCCACTCTAGGAACCAAAACCTCCTGACTTGGTATCCACCCCTCCTCTGTGTGTTTTCTCATTACTAATCTCCTATCTGATGGAATTAGACTATGCTATTTGTTGAAAGGGCAACCACTTATTCCCCAGAATTATGGCAATTCCATATAGAATATCTGGAAAATTGCTAGCCTGGGCTTTTCAGGTGAATGTTTACATGAGGAATGAACAAATTTAACCAATTTATGCCTGAGTTTGCAATTTTTTTGAATTTTTGCAATCAGACCTTGGCGATGACCTTGAGCAGTCAGATAAATAACTCCCACATGCTTAGCGTTCCAATAATGGAACATTAGGCATAATTAAGACACAATATTTTCATACTGGCCACAACTGTTCTGTCGCTTTGCAGAGAAATCTGTTAGGAATAAAGCAGCACTAACAGTGGGTTTCACTTTCGTTTTTTCTTTGACTCAGGATTGTGATAGGCATAGACTAAGTTATAGGATCCATGGATTTTGGTGGTGATTCAGAACCTGGGCCTTAATGCCAGTGTGAGAGTCAGGGTCAGCAGGAGGATTTCCTGGCAATCACGTGATGACACGCAGGGCAGGGGTTGGGGTGAAGGGACTGAGTGTGCTCTAGACCCCTTTCTCTGCATTGGCTCTGAATGACTTGCTATCCATTTGAATGAGCTGGGCTTGGGTCCCTGCCATATGGAATAGAGAACTCAACATTTTCTTTCATGGAATTGACATGGTTTTATTGCTACATACAAGTAAAAGCCATAGTTGATAGTTAGCCCTGCTATTTAATATCTACCTAAAAGAAGGCCCCAAATAATTTAACTATTGCTACAATAAAGTGATCATTTTCAGTGGATAATCCTTAATATCCAACAGACTCCTATTTAAAAATCCTATATAGAGAGGCTCCAGACAGGCTCCCAATACTCCCCAAGATTGAATATAAAACTTTGTTGGATTTATGCACATTTTTTTCCTCCCTAGAGAGAAGACCTAGAGCAAGCTTATTCAACCCGTGCCCCATGTGGCCCAAGAGGACTTTGAATTGAGCCCAACACAAATTCATAAACTTTCTTAAAACATAACAAAATTTTTTTTTGCGATTTTTCTTTTAGCTCATCAGCTATCGTTAGCATATTATGTGTGACCCAAGACAATTCTTCTTCTTCCACTGTGGCCCAGGGAAGCCAAAAGATTGGATACCCTGACCTAGTGTACCCATTAGGTCCTCAAAAGGGCCTATGATAAAAAGAAAATGTAAGAGGCACCATTTTTCAGCAAATGTCTCATTTTCTAGACATGTTCTCTGCAACGAGTTTATCTTGGAAGGCACTTCTAGCAATTCTTTTTCTCCAGGGGAATCAGTTGACAGACATGTGACTAAGATTTTTCTTCTGAGGGGTATTTGGTCACACCTGCTCTAAAGTCCTTCCAGGCTATTGTTTGTGCTTGCTGGGCTGCTGTGGACGTGGAGGTAAGTGGCGAGGAATGGGGGAGCAACTGTGCCTCAGAGCAGCTCTGCTTTCAGCCATATTATGATTTGTCTTCTCTTTATTTTTATTTTTGTGGGAGATACAACCTTTGGTACAAGTGAAAGTGCACTCTGCTGCCTTCCCTTTAGATTTCATTTAAGGGAATCCTCTATGCCTAAAAAGATTTGAAAATCAGGGTGGAGAATTGAAGGGCAGAGGGGAATGATTACCCTTTCGTCTGTGTACGGGAAATAATTCCAATACAGTTCTGAGTAGATTTTAAGGCCTTGCCTGGGGATATTGTCTTGGTACACTTCAGAGGCAGGCGAACCTTCTGGAGCCCCAGTGTTCTCAGGGGAGTGTCACTACTACCTCCAACTCAGCTTACTGCCAACATGCATGCCTCACAAGCACTTGTCAGAGAGCATCCCCTCGAATGCAGAGCTCCACAACACTCACAAAACAGGGAGGGGAGCTGTGGGGAGGCAGCCTTCCACTGCTCTCCATATGCCCACACTTAATCCTGGAGCAGCCCGGACAGCAGAGGTCAGTGCATTTTGGCCCCTCATCAGCCTGACTTAATTGAACAGTGCCTGCTGTGAAGGATTGGCCAACATTGAGTGACATTATGAGAAGCAACCCCCAGAGTGTGAATCCATGGGAGTAGTTTAGAGCAGGGGCTGCTGTGGTCTCCATCCTCTCCACAAGGATCCACAGGATGAGTTTCTCTTGGATTTCAGCTCCGAAAGCAGCATCCTTTAAGGAATGGATTTATTGTTCTACTAGAGCTTCCATGACTTCAGGAGCTGCTCATGTCACTCTCCTTTTATTGTCCTCTAGTAACTCAGAGACAAATTTTTGGTATCTCTTGCCTAAGATTCATTCCATCAATTTTGTGAACTATCATTACTCCTGGCTTCATCTTATCTTTCCTACTCTGGTTTTCCCTTTGTCCTCCTTTTCATCGTTATGTTTTTATTTTATTTTCTCCTGTTCATATTTATGTAAGCCACTTTAAATTATTTCTGGAGCAAGGCATACACCTATTAAATAAATGAATATTTACAGATGGTTAGTTATAAAGAACTGGTAGTTTCTCACTATGGCAAGACTCTTACCATATTTTTAAAGAATAATTAGAACCTAGAATGCTAGGCAGGAGAAAGTTTACCCCAAGAAAACAAGTTTCACTAATGAGTATAACCAAAAATGAAACATTGGAGGAAATTAAAATAACAGCCTCCTGTGATCCTGAAGTCTCAATCAACAAAAAATCAGCAGGTTTCCATTTCAAAATGGTATCTGGCAAACATCTTTCACACAAAATTTCCACCAAAACTGTGTGGGAAGATACAGAAAAAGATGAAAACCCACAACACTAAAAGGCAATCGAAGTCTGTTTGTTGCCAGTAAATGAATGGCGAAATTTTTTTTATTAAATATAAGGCTCACGAGTGCATCTGGAGATCCATTCACTCTCTACCTTTTCTAAGTAGTCACAATAATTGTTGACCCTCCTCCCAGTATTCTCTCAACCTCCAATCTTGGTCCAGAAATATTAAGATAAATGCTCACCATAAAACAAAGCAAAACAAACACCAAACAAACAAAAACACAACAGTTGAGCCTTCTATTGTGGCAGTGGGACTTTTTAAGCATCCGAGGAGAAGCTCACTTCCAACTGCCCTCGGTGCTTCCCTGTTTTATAGCTACTTTGAAAATGTATTTAGTCTAAAATATTTAGGTGGGTAGGAGGAAGAACTAGCCATGGTACCATGTTGCATCCTGGGAGGTGTAGTGATAAAGCGTAAGCCCTGGGGTAGAGACTACAAAAACCATGCAAAGTGTGTGATGGTGTCTGTTCTTTCTAATTCATTCATTCATTATCTCTGTATTCAATACTGTGGCTAGGTTCTTAGCCATCTGATCAGAGAAGCATAATGCGAGGCAGTAAGTATATAACAAAAATCCCCTATCTTAAGCTAGCAGAGTGGAAATTATTTGTGGGCATTAGATATTGGCAAACAATGAGAGTGGGAATAGCATTATCCTCATCTAAGAACTGCTAACAGGAAAAGTTAATGTGGAACCCATGGAAAAATACTGCAGAGAGAAGGAAACAAGTTAGCCTGAAGGCATCATGTGAATTTTACTAACAACCAGGACACAGTGTCTGATAGCAGTTTTGCATTCTCATTAGAGAGTAATAATACAGATTTTCAATTAAGAGGTGTAAAAAGCTATAAGAGTTCAGCACTTACACTAAAAGACTACAGGATAAGGTGAAATGGGGAGATAAGACAAAAGACTGCAGAAAAACTGAAAACACAGAAGCAGACATAGACCTGCATTTGAAGTCTAGACTTACAGAATTACACTTGCATTAATTCTGCAACAGCAGAATTAATATTCAAAAGAGATGGGGTTTTAGCCCATCTATGTCCATCAGGGGGTTGGGTTTAGGAGGACAGAAGAGTGTGTTCAGCGGTTTATGTTATGGATTGCATAGAGCAGGGGGTCCCCAACTCAGGGGCCATGGACTGGTACTGGTCATTGGTCTGTTAGGAACCAGCCTGTGCAGCAGGAGGTGGGCAGCAGGTGAGCCAGCATTACCACCTGAGTTCCACCTCCTGTCAGATCGGGGTGGCATTAGATTCTCAGAGTAGCGCGAACCCTATTGTGAACTGCACATGTGAGGGACGAGACTTGTGCACTCGTTATGAGAATCTAACTAATGCCTGATGACCTGAGGTGGAACAGTTTCATCCCGAAACCATCCCTCACCTCCCACGACCTGCCGCAATCCATAGAAAAACTGTCTTCCACAAAACTGGTCCCTGGTGCCAAAAAGGCTGGGGACCCCTGGCATAGAGGCTCAGCGTGCAAAGGTATGTGTCAAGTGAGTGAGGCCAGGGATAAGGTAGAGAATGTGAGAAAGGACTCCTGCTTTCAGCTGGCTTTGTCTGCTGCTAATCCTGGCCCATGAGGTGAAGCATCTAGCAGAGAGTGAGATGACAGATGTACTTTTGCATCTCCTAACATGAGTCCCTCACAAGACTCTAAAAAGATAGGAATTAAGAAAACTACAGGACAATGAAGACAACAGTAAATAAGGGTGGGAAATTAGAGAAATGAAGGGAAATGAATGTGACCTTCAAGAGACAGGACCTTGTCTTGTTAATGCCCAGAACAATGCATACATACACATGCAGTTTTGTCTCCAAAAAACAGAGAACATGTGTTCCTTCTAAACACACATAAAACATTCACAAAAACTGATCATTTATTAAATCATAAAGGCAGTCTCAACAAATTCCCAACATTAGCAATTATGTAAGCCATATTCATTATTCATAATGCATACTAAAAATTAGTGACAAAACCAAAACAAAATGCAAAAACAAAGCAAAGTGTTATCCATCTCACTAACTTAATTTGATTAAAATGCGAATTACATTGGAAATGATCAATTACTTGGAAAAGTTTGACAATGGATTGCATATCAAGGCTAGTGGGGTGGAAACAAAACTGAATTTGAGGGAAAATTCATTAGCTATATTGGAAATATATATGAAATATTTTACATATCAGAATATATAGAAAAACATGTATGAAAACAAGAAAGTAAAAAGAAGACATTAATAAATATAAAAGTAGAAATTAACAGACTAGGAAGCAAAAATAAAAAATCCCTGGGATTAATGAATGAAAGTAACAGCTGGTTCTTCAAAGACACCAGTAAAAAAAAAGACTGGTAAGTTCAAGTAAGAAAAGAGGGAATGATAGAGAATGAGAATGAGAGCAAGAGAGAGAAAAAAAATCTATAAACTAGAGGATGCATAACTATAGTGCAGAGAAATTTTTTTTAAAACGTGATGAGAATATTAGGTATAATATCAATACATTTGAAAATCTAGATTAAATAGATGATTGCCTGTGAAAATGTAAATTACTAAAGTGGATTTAAGAAGAGTTACAAAATCTAAATAGTCTAACAACCAAAGAAGAAATCTATAAAGAAAGTAAAAGATCTTAAAAGGTGAATTCTCCCAAACTTTCAGAAAATTATTATGTCATATAAAGTGTTCTAAAAATAATATAAAATAGGGAACCCTTGCCATGTTCTTAGTATCACCTGATACCAAACTGAAGGAGATAGCATCAAAATGGAAACCAACAAGTGGAATCTGCTTTTTATTAAAAAAAAACCATAATCAAGTAAAATTTATGCAACAAATGAAAAGATTATTCAAAATTGAGAAATCTATTAATGTGATTTACAACATTAACAGATTATAGAAGAAAAAGCTGGCCAGGCACAGTGGCTCATGCCTGTAATCCCAGCACTTTGGGAGGCCAAGGTGGGAGGATTGCTTAAGCTCAGGAGTTCAAGACCAGCCTGGGCAATCTGGCAAGACCCCATTTCTACAGAAAAATAAAAAGAAATTAGCTGGGCATGGTGATGAACTCCTATAGTCCCAGCTACTTGGGAAGCTGAGGCTGGAGGGTCTCTTGAGCACAGAAGGTCAAGGCTGCAGTGAGCCGTTGTGCCACTGCACTCCAGCATGGGTGACAGAACAAAATACTGTCTCAAAAATAACGTAAAATGAAATAAAAATAAAAAAGAAAAAGTCTATGATCATCTACTGCCAAAAAGCAGTCACGTTCCTGATTTAAATTGTTTAGTAAGTTAGGAATAGATAATTTATCATTTTGATAGTATCTAATAAACTTAGAGCAAGCATCCCACTTAATAGTGAAACACTGGAAGCAGGTCACTAAGGGTAGCAGCAAGACAAAGGCAAGGTGCCAGATGTCATTGCTATGTCACAGTGTAGCATAATTAGTCACCAATGCAATAAAAAAAGAAAGAGAAATAAGTATACATTATAGGAAAAGATAAGTGTCATTACTTGTTGACAATATGATTATCTATCTGGAATAGCTAAGATGATCACCCAAAATACTACTGGAACTGAGAAGAGAATCCATTAGGGAACTAAGTTATAAAATGTAAACATGAAATTAACAGTTTCTATACACCAGTGAAAAGCAACTAGAATATGTAATAAATAAAATCTCATTTACAATATCAACACAATGTATAAGATAATTAAAAATTACTTGACAAGAAGAGTATAAGAGCTTTGAAAAAAATCTATAAAACTTCACTGAAAGTAAATAAGTGGGAATAAATACCACATTATTGATAGGAAAGGCTTAATATTACAGAGATATCAATTATTCTGAAGTAGATACATACATTTAACGCAATTCCAATCAAAACTTAAAAAGGCTTCTTTGCAACTTGAGCAGATTTTAACAAATCATTTAAGTGAAGGACTGAGAAAAGCCAAAATGCTTTTAGAAAATGATATCATCATTTTCTAAAAATCCACAACAGTGAAGAGAAGACCATCCACCAGATTGCAACATATATTATAGAGTTATTATAATTAAAATAAAATAGTATTTGTAAGGGAATCGGGCTTCTAGATCAATGGAACAAAATAGAAAGTAAAGAAATAAAACAGGCTTATAGAAATAAAAGGTTAAAATATACTAAAGGGGCATCTGAAACCAGCGGATAAATGATAGATTATTTAATAATAATTTTGTGACAAATGCTTAATTTGAAGGTTAGAGCTTATCACATATCACCCAGAAGGATAAAGTACAGACGGTCTAAGGGGCTAAACTGAAAATAGAAAACTACGAAGGATTAGGAAGAAATTGGAAAAAAAATCCTTAACCCTTGCAAATTTAAGGCCTTAAGACACCAAATACAAAAATAATAA
The DNA here is from genome assembly GCF_000001405.40 of Homo sapiens. Taxonomy (NCBI): domain Eukaryota; kingdom Metazoa; phylum Chordata; class Mammalia; order Primates; family Hominidae; genus Homo; species Homo sapiens. Next base: position 40,194,107 of record NC_000003.12, on the reverse strand, counting down.
AGGAAATAACTGATAGTAACCAAAAATAATTGATAAATTATTATGAACAAAAATTTTTGTATGTAAAATATACTTAGGGCAAAAGAGACAAGGAGAGAATAGTTTCACGTGTAACCATCAAAGATCTGAAATCTATTATATAATTAGAAAATAAAACTAATTCCTAAAAATCAGTAAGAAAAAGACAAATAGTCCAATAAAATAACAGATAAAAAAAGTATAAATGTAAATTGCATATCAAGGCTAGCGGGATGGATGAAAGAAGAAAAGTGTAAATAGCTTTAAACACAGGAAAAATTGCTCAATTTCAGTAGTAATTATGAAAGTGTTAGCCAAAGAGGATTTTTTTCTTCACATAAAATTGGCAAAAATTTAGCAGACTGACAACACTATTGTTGACAACATGAGAGAACATACTCACACACTGTTATGGCTATGTAAATTGCTCTGAAGTTTTGGGAGCTTAATTTGGCAAGTCTATTTTAAAATTAAAGACCCATATACTCCTCCAGTCAGCAGTTCCACTTCTCATACTTGTATAAAGAGGTTTATGCTACAATACTCTCTGCGGTATTGTTTATAAAATCAAAACATTGAAAAAGTCTTTAAATATCCTATTATCCGCAGTACTGCTTATAAAATCAAGATATTGAAAAAGTCTTTAAATACCCATCATTATGGAACAGTGGTGAACCAAGGGGGTTAAGGAGTTAGGTGTTGGAAGCCACTGAACCAGGCAGGAAGAGTATGTTATCACTAGCATTGCTTAGAATTGTCTGGACATGGTGCAAGGTGAAAATAAGACTGACTTTTGTTGGATCTATTATTGTTTTAACATTCTCCACAGACAATGCATCCCCTATTGCACACCCTGGATAGACTTCTACAATCCCCACAGTCCCCCCTTGATACACCATCTCAATGTAATCTTTTGCAGGTTGAATGCCTAGGTCTGTGTGCCTTGTAACCTTGGGTCCTCCGGTTTTTGGGTGTGCACTGTGAAAAAAAAGTACCCACTTGTTACTGTTGCACCTTCAGTTCTTATTGTTTCAAAAAGTTCCCGGAAAAAGCTCAGTCCAGGAAAAACAAAAACTGGTTGGATCCCAGAGATGCCTGAGTTGGAGATGAGCTTTGGTGAACTTTCCTCATTACCATACTACAGGCCCCTCCCAGGGAGGAGCTTATTCTGCATTTTCTATACAGGTTACTATGTAGAAGCATGATGGGCAACTGCACCAGTGCTATTTTGTCTCCACCTCTATATACAATGACTCAGCTAACCAGCCCAAGAAAAGCCCTGTTTTCACCATTGTTTGGGGAGGCGCTGCTTTGAGGAGCTATCCCCAGCGTCCTTCTTACTTGTTGCAGGTAACAAAATCCTCTCCTTAATCCTCCTTGGTTGTGGTCATTGGACTGTTTTTGAACTCACCTGTTGTTGTGGGTAACATGGTGACACCTCGGTGACACCTCTATCACTTACTGTTAGGAGAAAGCAGTGGAAGCATATGGACAGCATGTTGCCAATTTTGCTAAAACACATTCACTGAACTATATTTCTAAATGTACTTTATGTATGAATGCACAAGATCTGCATGGATTCACACCAAATGCACTTGCAGTCATTTTGGTGGAGATGACAGGGATTTAGGGTTGTGGTCAAGGGGAATTGCATCTGTATGTTTTAAGTATTTTTTACATTATACTATATTCATTTATTTATATAATTAAAAAGTAAATAACTTAAATAAATATAAATATATATATGACATATATATATATGACATATATATATATATATGAAGAAAACTAACTGCCGCAGTAAATGAAATCAGAGGGAGAATTAGAAAGGTGAGGGCCTGTTGCAGTGGCTCATGCCTGTAATCCTGCACTTTGGGAGGTTGAGTAGAAGGATCGTTTGAGCCCAGGAGCTTGAGACCAGCCTGGGCAACACAGTGAGACTCTGCATTAAAAATAATGATAATAATAATTAACCAAAAAAAAAAACCCATCAGGGTTTTGATGTCTCTGGAAGTGCAGCACCATCCCCACCTAGTGGAGAGGAGTGGGTACTGCCACTAGCTCAAGGTCACTCCCCAGGAGGCAGAGGCAGTGCCTCTTCTCTATCAATGCCTTGCAAGGATTAGCAGAAGACAAATTTCAAGCCATTTCAGAATAAATAGAAAGCTAGTTGAGGTGGAGACGTGACATTTTACACCTGCAAGTGAATCATGCAGACAAACCCTCAAGAGTATCCTTTGAGGCAAATCATTCCATGTTTCTGGACAACAGTCTCCACTTGAGCTAGACAATAATGATTCACACTTGAACCAAAGTTTTTAATTTTATTCTAAGACCATAACAATCCCATGAGACAGATTTTTAATGATCTTCTGTTTTACAGAGGAGAAAACGAAGCTTGGACTAAATAAAATACCTTTTCTAGGCAATATGTTAGCAGGTCAATCAGGACTGATACCAAATTCTATGACTTGAGGACCTGAGTCCTCAATTGTCTTCATGGGGGCCTCAGGACCAGGGATGTGGCTGAGGCATTCATAGAAGATCTTGTAGAAGACACTGGTGAAATCTTGGACCATATCTTTGGACCTACGTGAGTTGTCTGCAGCCATAGGGGACACTATCTGGCCAAACTAAGAGTATAGGGCATGGCAGCTGGGCTCCACAAGGTTTGGTATTGAGTTGACAGTGATGTGCAGGTCTTCACCAGAAGAGGTGGGGGCAAGGGCAAGGGCATAGCACAATCAAAGTCACAGGGCTGGGAATGAGCAGGGTGTATTTAGAGAATATAAAGTTAGTCTGGTTGGGAGCCCATGAATTATCTGAAATTGTAAGCAAAAGCAAAATTGTGAGTATGTTTGTGCATGTGTGAGTGTGCATGTGTGAGTATGTGTGTGTATACAAGTGCATTTTTAAAGGGAGAAAATTCATGGCTTTAATCACATTTTTCTTGAACTAAACCATGTGGGAAGAACTACTGAGGATCCAGAGAAGGGGTCTGATGTAGACTAAAGAATCACAGAATATTGAAATAATGTTTACTGAGACCTAGTGTCACATCTCAGACAGAGCTTAGCTCTTTATAAACATCTCTTTCACTTGTCATGAACACCTTTTGAGGTGGGTTCTAATATCATCTTCATTTTACAGATGAGGAAACTGAGAACTAGAGAGATGCCTTGCCCAAGGCCACACAGTTGGATCTGAACCCAGGCAGTCTGACTCTAGATCCCTCACCCTAAACCCAAGGCCAGTGGCCCTCAAACTTGAGTGCACAGTAGAATCACCAGGAGGGCTTGTTAAAATAGACACGGCTGGGTCCCATGCCCAGAATCTCCAATTTGGCAGATTTCTAATGAGTTTCCTGGTGGTGCTGATGCTGCTGGTCTGGGGGCCACACTCACAAACCACACTTTGAATTCTAGGCTGTCATCTCCAAAGAGGACGTGGAGTCCCAAAGAGTTGATGTGACCTGTCTAGAGGCACTCAGCTACTTAGCTGCAAAACCAAGATGAGAATCTGGGTCTGCGGATTCCAAACCCAGGACTCTATGCCACTTGTGCTTGGAGTAGGGCACATCCTACCTAAAGAGTGTGTGTGCATTTGCACGCATGCACTTCCATTACCTGATGTGTGTCTAGATCCCGGAGCTGGGCGCTGGGGGAAGATGGTTCTTTGCTTGGCTCTTCTGAGCCCAGTCGGGCTCTTCTCCACCTCCTGGCCCGCCGGTCTGTGGTGTGGGGGGCCTCCTCCGGCTCGCTGCTGTCCGAGGTCTCCCTGCTGGCCAACTGGGGGTTGAAGTTCACGTCCAGCTCTCCATGCAAGCGCATCTTCTCAGCTGCAGGGTTCCTGGGGGCCTTCCTCTGCAACCAGGACAGTCTGGCCTGGTGCCCAACTTCTCGGGAAGAGCCTGCGGAGGAGGTCTCCGAGTCAGAGCACATGGCCTCAGGGTTGGGGGAGAGTGCAGAGGATGGGGAGGCAGCTATGGGGCCTTGGTCAGAGCTCTGGGCCTGTGTGGGCTGAGGCTGGGGGTTCCTGGGCAGGGCCCGGGACCTGGGACACAGCTTGCTCAAGGCCTCACTCCAGTCAAAGTCTTCCTCGCTATCGGAGCCCATCTCATCGTAGGCAGATGCCACACTGGAGGCCACCTCCAGGGCCTGAAACGTCCCGCTCTTAGGTTTGGCCAGTAGTCGGGTGGGGGGTGGAGCGCCATCCTTCAGGGCCACCCAGTTCCCGTCGGGGCTCTGCAAAACTGGGGCCAGGTCTGTGGATGGAGAGGATAGAGAAAGCAGAGAGGGGCTGTTATCACTTTAATGCAAGATGAAGTTGCCACTTGTTACCTCCCCAAGAGTGGCTTGTGGGGCTGTTGGAGAGCAGTTGCCTTTAGGAAGCCCAGGAAGGCAAACCCAATTGGTGGGCAGAGTTCAAAGTTCCCCAAGGAATCTCTTGAAAGCTCAAAGGGTCCCAGTGCTTCACAGATGCAGAGAAACTCAGAGATCTGGCTCCTATTTCAGTCTACCAGGGTTGATACCATCTCAGTCTCCTCAGCACTGTCCCACTCCTGCCCTAGGCTTGCCTGGAAGGGGAGGGGAGAGGGCTGCAGTTGGCAGTACCAGCTTCTGGCTCTTTGACCTTGGGCTACAATTTTGTCTCCTGGATCCTTAGTTTCCCCTCACTGATGGGAAACAATTCCACCACCTGCCCTGGCAGACCTCAGAGGTTAACACATCTGCTCTTGGCTCTTTTATAGATCCTACTTCGTAATAGGCTCCTGAGATAGGCACATAGGTCTATTTTTAACTCAAGGAACATGCCTCACTCTGGAAAGGACTTGAGGCCAAAAAACTTTGGTATTTCCAATGTCATTTTATGGATGAGGAAATGAAGATGAGCGAAGTTAAGTAACTGTTAAAGGTCACAGAGCTGCTAACTTTTAGAGTGAGGACGAGGTGCATCCTCTACCTGACTCCAAGGCAGCTCTGGGCTATAGATTGTGCCACGGAAGTCCTTGGCCAGCTGCAGAGCACCATGCAAGGACAGCTGGAGCAGTTCTCAGGCTGTGACTATGGTCTGGAGTGGTCTAAACTGGGCTCAGGTCTGCCTGGAGCATGGTCCCAAGGATTGATCTGCATGCTGGGGGTGGATTGGTAAAAGTTGTTTTGTCTTGTTTAAGGTGAATAGGAAAATGCTTTCTTCCCACGTGTCTGTGGGGTGGGAGTAAGATGAAATGCTGCTCCGTTAGCTATTCGTACTTGGCCCAGGACTGAGGTCTCAGGCACAGCAGTTGCCAACAGGAGCTGTCTTTTTTTTTTGAGACAGAGTTTCACTCTTGTTGCCCAGGCTGCAGTGCAATGGCACGATCTCGACTCACTGCAACCTTCACCTCCCAGGTTCAAGTGATTCTCCTGCCTCAGCCTCCTGAGTAGCTGGGATTACAGGTGCACACCACCACACCTGGCTACTTATGCATTTTTAGTAGAGGCGGGGTTTAACCATGTTGGTCAGGCTGCTCTCGAACTCCTGACCTCAGGTGATCCACCCGCCTCAGCCTCCCAAAGTGCTGGGATTACAGGCGTGAGCCACAGCACCCAGTCTTTTTTTTTTTTTTTTCCTTTTAACCAGGACTGTTGCAGGGTTGCCTGGGGGCAGTGATGAGGACCCCAGGGCTTTGAAGAAACCATTCCCCAGTTTGTGTGTGGACATCTGCTTTGGGGCTTAAGGCCTGTAGCAGCCACAGCCCTGCTGCAGTAGGACTCTGAAGCAGGGTCTTACTTTATGCTAGTTAAAACACACAGGTTTTCTACCAGTTAAACTGCTACTGCTCCACATAATGAAAGGAAAGTTATCAGTATTTCACAGTGCTGCCCACAGAGCATTGTACCTGCTAAGCCTGTTTCAGAACCACAGCCTTAGGGGAATTCAGATGCTGGTGGAACATATGTTTTCAACAGCAACCCAGTTCCACTTCCACTGCCTGACTGCAGCTCAGACTGGCAGGACATCGAGTTATTTTTATTTTGAGAGTCAGGAAGTGGGGCTTTCACTGACGAGGAGGACGCTGGTCCCTGGCAGTGGGCTGATACAAGCAGGGTCCTCCAAGAAGCCTGAGACCACACACCTGCCTTTCTCTGCTGCTCTTGCCTTCAGTGTCCCTCTCCACCACTTCCATGTAGTAAAGCCCTAGTGACTCTACAACACCTCATCCCACTGGTGGGAATGGCCTTTTCCTGGAGGACATTCTCATCTCCCTGCTTATATCATGGCCTCTCCTCTGAGCTCTCCTGGTGTGAGGGCCTGGTTGGCTCATTCCACGTTCTTCCATGTGTTCTACCTGTCACACACCTGCTGAGTATGAGGACAAGGTCCCTGAGGCAGGGCCTGGATCTCAGGCATCTCTTTATCCTTACAAGAAAATTAGCCTGCTGTGTCCCAGAGCCAGTTTGTGCAGTGGAAAGACCAGTGGTCTCGAAGCCAGAGGTCCGGGAGGAAGCCCCACTCAGCCACCTGGCAGCTATGTGATCCTCTGTGCCTCGGTTCTCTGACTGGTGAAAAAGGGCATAGCTAAAACCTCACTGGGTTGTCAGAGGACTGCACGAGGGGATGCTTGTGAGTGTGTTACACATGCCTGCTCAGGGAGGAAATTAATTCCTGATGGCTCCTTTCCCCTTGTCTATAAATGAAGGAGGCTGCTTTAGTATAGGGCAAAGAACAAGAGCTTTGGATTAAAGCAGATGCAGGGCTGATCCCCAGCTACTGAATTTACTAGCGGGTGACCTTGGTTAGAGAACACCTCTGGGCCTACTTCCTTGTCCAACAGTGGGGTCAGTGTGACCCACCTTTGGCTGTCACTAGAATTAATATGAGATAATGCATATAAAGCATCAATCCTAGTGCCTGCTATACTTAGGGCCCTGAGCTATTTTTAGCTTATATCTGTTGAATCAGATTTAGCATTAGTACTTAACACCTGGTTATGAATTAACACCCATGCACTCCATATGTATGCATACAGAAAATATATATGTATCTGATAGTCACTATTCAGTATGACATATTAATATCTATACAGCAACACTATTTTCATTGACAATGGAGCTATTCAGAAGAGTGGCTTGCTAGCATTATTATTACCATTTATTATTGGGTTCTACCTGTGGTGGTGGTAATAGCAGGTCTTTTGAGAAAAGTATTTCTATTTTGCTGGCATTCTCCTAATGCTGTGTCTGGGGATTGTCAGTCAGGTGGTAAGGGTTTCTCAGGAATGCTCAGGTTCTCAGTGAAGCTATGCATGGCTAGTAAGTAGTTATATTGATTTTTACTGCAGCAGGCTCTGTGTGTGCCCCACCCCAAACCTTGGCCCTCACGACTTCAGTGTATGCCAGCTGGACTTCCAATTGGCAGCACTTGCAAGTCTTTACTTGAGGCTTGCTCTGGCTACTAGAGCCTGTGTTGCCTGCCCCAGGGGCAGAGTGGAAGTACCCAGGATTCATCGCCTCCTGGGAGCAGCCCTCAACCAATGAGTAGGGGAGCTGGTGGCTAAGTATCCCCCCTCTTTTGCTTGCCAGGCAGGTGAGTCTTCTACACTGGCTCCCAGAGTCCCCAGTGGGGTCAAGCTCCAGCCACCCACAGTGGCCATCTGCTCAGTAACAAGTCATTTATTGCCTGATTTTCTTTCCTTGTCTCACATTTCTACTCCCCTCCCTGTGTGTTTTCTGGGCTCACCTCCCAAATAAACTATAGGTCTTCAGATCCTCATATTAGGTTCTGCTTCTGGTGGGAGTCAAACCAAGACGCCCACATGATGCAAAGTGGACTCCGAGCATGGCTGTGGAGCACTCACTCTGAGAAGAAAGGAAAAGTCCTCTGGGCCTTCTAATCTGTCACTGAGGCTGCTCTCTGGACCATCTTTCAAGACTTGACTTATACATCACTCCTCAATTGCATATGCTTGGCCTTCCTTCCTTGAGACGCTGGCTATTCTGTTCTCTGAGCTTTGCCAAAAAGCTTTCATTTCTTAACACTCAAACTATATTATAGTTTATTTTCTTGGTTGTCTACCCTACCCCTCAATCCTGATCATGGGCTCCTTGAGGGCAGAGCCACGTCTTCTTCACTGCTATGCCCCAAGCCCCTGGCCAACTTTGCGTCTCATCCTGGGCACATGAATACTACTTGTTAATGAATACAGGCACCAAAGGCTATAGGGGCGACGGGGCTCATTGAGCAGCTCTCAATGAGCCCTGCTGTCTACAGCTTCTCCTGGGGCCCTGGGAGGAATCCAAAGGAGGCGACCCTTGATAATGCCACTCAGGGCTGGCTCTAGGGTTGACCATGTTATAAATGTGGTCCCCTACATGGTGAGGTGGCATTTGACCCATTGCCAGCTCTCCTTCTCCTGCTTTTTTACAACCCTAGGTTGCCTCATGCCTCTTTGGAAGCTAGAAGTTGACCAAATTTTCCCTCAGCAAACTTTTACTTCTTAGCAAAAACACAGATGGCTCCCTGAATACCCAGACATGTGAAAACTTTGGTGGTTGTTGAGCAGCATTATCAAAGCTGCACCTGTGCTCCAATACCACAGTCTCCCGGTCCATCAGGAACACCCCTCGGGGATCCTGCTCCCTCTTCCTCTTTCTCCAAATTCCTGCTCTTCCATTATTGTGCAGACAACTAACTCTCACTGAGTGATCCCAGAGCAGTGACAATTCCCCGATCTTTATTTCCCCAACACTGAACACACGCAGCATATACAGCAGATGCCTAATCAAGGTTTATAAAGTGAAAATGCATTTGGGGGAAACCCATTAACTGCTATAAGCAGCGTCAAGACTGAAAGCGGAGTTACTGTGGTTTACCCAAACCGCAGTGCCCCTAAGACTGACCCCAACTGTGCACGAACAGGCTCCTGAATCAACCCTTCTCCTGAGGCATAAACACAACTGCCAAATATAGCCCAGTGGGCATTCACTTTCTAAGATGACCTCCACCTTCGGAACGCTTCTATTTGATGTTTCTGCCCAACTGAGATTGAGCAATGCCTGTAGGAATAATTTGCTTCCTGCTAAACATTTCAGACATCCCTCAAGACCTCTGAGGCTGGCATGGACAGTTTAGCATGTCAAGGGCTAAAAATTCCTCAGAAAACCAGAAGTTTTCCACCCAAGTCCTTTTTAAAAAATTTTAAATCTTTATCCTGAGAGATGCATAGAGTTTTGAGCAGAATGTGAAATCTTTTTTTGGGTGTGTGATGCTGTGGAACTAAGTTTTATGTTTATATACAATTGAAAAATTACCTATGGGTGCCTAATTTTACAGAAAATTATGTACAAAATCATGTTTTGAAAACAAAATTCCTTTGCAAATTTATTATGAATGCTCATAATCCAGTTGGAAACTATTTTGTGAAATAGAGCATCTTGTAGTTGTTTTTATAATATCCTACACATTTATCACTTTGCAAGTCTGAATTTTTGTTTGTTTTTTGTTTGTTTGTTTTTATGGTAGAGAGACACTTATAATGCAGTAGTTGAAAACCTGCAAATTGGAGTCATGCTGTTTGGATTTGAGGACCAGCTCTGCCTACATTGGCTGTGGGGTCTTGAACAAGTCACTTAACTTCCCTGTCCATCAATGTTCTTATCTGCAAAACAAAATAATGACAGTGTCTGGTAATGCTGTTGGAGGAAAAAATAAAATAGTGCCTACATATGGACTCTGTATTTTTTTTATTATACTTTAAGTGACTCTGTATGTTTTAAAGTGATTTTAGAAAGCTAGATATTGTGTATTGAAGTTCTATTATGTGGTATTCTCATGTACTCTATGGAATCTAACAGTCCATTTTCTGTGTGCATTTGCAATCCATAGAGAAAGAGAGAGAAGTGAGAAAATGAGGAAGAAGAGAGAGAGCGAGAATATGAATGAATGAATATGAATAGACTGGGAGGGCAGAGGGAGGAAAGAAAGGCATATCTAGAAAAGAAAAATGCACTTAAAAAGCAAAAGCAAACACCATATACATAAGTAAAGAAACGATCACATGCTGCAGAATTTCTGCAATGTCATGGCACTGCAGTTTCTACTAATAGGTACTAAAAGGTTAATATAAAAATAATCTCTTTTGGTAAATCTTTAGAATGACAGTTAAAAATATTTAATGTTTTCTGATTCTTTGCACTGTCGTAACAATGGATTTTGTTTCTATAGTTGTTGGTTAAATCTTTTCCCTTTTAGAGTAGAAATAATAGCACAATCTTTAAAAGCTTATTACTAGGATGGCTATGCTGCTGTTAATCTTTTTTGTTGTTTTCATTATTCAGGAAAGGGGTCTAAATCTGATACGACATGGGATGAGAATACTGTTAATGCTTTCTTCATGTGAAGACAAATATGCCTGGCCTCCTGACACAGTGTGTGTATGCAGGAAATAGGAAGAGAGGAGTAGACCTGTGCAGGGGTTGGGGGAAGTTTTAGTCTGACATTCATGTAGACCAGGAGGCCCCCTGAGCACAGGGGCTTCATGGCCCTCGGCCGTCACCCACAGTGATGGGTCCAAGCAACTTACAGTCTTCTGATGTGAGACTTTAGGAAAATGACTCAGTTCATTTGAGCCCCTTCATTTTGAGGGATTACGTGACTCAACAGCTTTATAAAGGACCACATTCCATACATGTTGAAGAGTCTCTAAAGAGGCAAGCTGACTTGCCCCATGTAGAGGCAGGACATTCTAGGGGGAGGAATCAGGAAGAGCAGAGGTGCAAGCAAACATCAATGCCTTCCTCAGGATGTCCCTCAGGCAGGGATAGACAACTGCCCACCAAAGACTCTTTCATGGCCCAGCCGTGTTACTGGTATGCATCTGCCCAGCCAGGATGCCATTTCTCCGGGCCTGCATTGAGGTGGGGCCACGTGACCAGTTCCTGTCCACAGGTTGGGAGTGAAAGTGGCGTGAGCTCTCCGTGCTGAGATAGTTAAGAAGCAGGTACCTGCCTTTTCCATGCTGCCTTCCTCCATCTGCTGTCTGAATATGGATAAGCCCATAAAAGACTCAGAGGCCCTGGAGGATGATAGAGCCACAAGGTGGGAACCTTGTACTTTGGCCTCTGAAGGCTTCCCACAGGCCAGGGGTACTTGTACTGCACTGTTGTGTGATGAAAAAGAAAATGATTGTATTAAGCCGCTTAGATATTCAGTTTACTTGTTATAGTGGCATATGCTACCCTAACTAATTTATCCAGTTTCAGAAAGGACATCCTTAAAACCAGCCCTAAGGACCCAAATTTGCTGGGACCCAAATCCCTTTGAAAGTTGAAATGCCATGAGAGGTTGGTTTAATGCTCCTGGCCCACATAAGACACATTCTCCTAGTCCACATAGAACAGGCAGCTGAAGTGGGGTGTGCAGTGGAGTGATGTGAACACACTTGTCCAGGAGCCCCCAATCTGTCCCACAGGTCTCAGCACAGAGCATAGAATATGATGACACCCTAAGAGCCTTCATTCTGCCAGAGCAGCTAGGAAAACTGCCTGGGTGGAGAACATGACCACATTATATATTGTGTGTTGTGCTGGAGGCCTCATGACTTGGTAGCCCAGAGGGACACACACCAGTTCAGACTTATGGGAAGAAGAGCAGAGTGGCCATGCAATAGCCAAGATGTCTCCAAACCACACTTTTGAAACCCACAGACCAACTAGATACTGCTTAAAACAGTTACTTGTTTCATCCAGCCTGTCCACACTCTTCCAGCTGGGCAGAGCAGACTCTGCTCTCGGGTGTTGGCCTTGGTCCCTTGGCTGCCTCGATGGAGCCTCCACTGGAGGGGTCTTCAGGGCTTCTTCTCCAGTGATTGAGAAGGCAGACTGGGACCTCTGTGGAAAGGAAAGAGGGGAAGGGGTGAGCTCATAAGGTACAGTGCCTGGGAGGTGTGCCTTCACCTTTTGGGGGCAGACATTGTCCAGCATGGAGAAAACATGTTTAATGGTAATGGCTCTTTTCACGTGAGCCTTAAAAGCTGCAAATCAGTATATAAGGCCAGGTAAATGTTTATTCCCTTGCAAGTCAGCCAGGCCTAGTAGAAAGAATGAGATGTAGTGTAATTTTACGGGGCCAGCTCTCATACGGCTCTTTCTTATCCACCACTCTTGCGGCCAATATTTCTCAGGGCCAACTGTGTGTGATGAGTTGCTCTCGGGCATGCAAAGTGGAAAGCATGTTCTCCTCAAAGACCTCCAAACCTGAAGAGATCCCAGAGCAAGGTATGATCCATCCACAGCACAGGACTATTACAACATATTCCCATGTAGCTCCTAAATTAAAGGAAGGAAAACAAACTCTAACCTAAGGATAAGTGGCAGAAATGGAAATTCAAGTGACTGACAGGAACAAACTTGAATTGCATTATAGATATATAATGCATTATATATATATATGTTGTATTGTGAAGCTCAAATGTTGTATAGAGAATTTTATCAAATAGAAAGAGACTAAAGTTTTTCTTTGCCATTTAATGAAGGAATTATATTTTACTGGTTGTTTATTTTGCTGTTTTTACATTGGTAATCTTAAGAAGGAAAGGGTATATTCACAAAGCCACTGAAAGCATCTATGATTACAGTATTAAACAAAGTACTGATCCAAAACTCAGACCCCCTTTGCAGTGGGCTTCCACCTGCTGGTTGATGTCAGCACCAGCAGCCCCTACTCCCTTCTGTCCCAGTGCAAAGTGTGCTCATTTCCTCACCTTTCTCTCTCCCACAGGTACCTAGCCTAGGAGACAAAGGCAAGCTCTTTCAGAGAAGAGCTGTGGGCAGGGCCATGGGGTGCTTTGGAGCTGGACCCAGGAGTCAGCCGTGCCTGGGCTCCGTGACCACCTCGGCTACACTACCTTGGCCAAGTGACTTAATTCCTTGAGAGTCGTGGAAACTTAATCTTGCCCTGCACTCACAGTAAACTGTATGATAATGGTAGCTTAAAAAAAAAAGGTATGAGAGAATAACAAAGAAAGAAAGACAGCAAAAATGAGCACAGGATACTTGGGTGACAACACTGAGCTTTAAGATTAGAGGTTGGAAGAGGAAGATGCACTCAATGGCCTTGCCTCCTAAGGACTCTGGACCAGTCTGAGGAAAGACACAGAGATAGATGAGGATCAAAACCCAGCATCCCCATCATCACAGGCCAGGCTAGGGCCCAGGACCCCTCACATACAGGGCGTCTGGTTCACTCTGTTGGAGAGTGGTAATGCAGGCCAGTTCAGATTCAGAGTCGTAGGAAACCTCTACTTTCCCCACGAAACCTTGGGGTGATCTAGGAGAAAGGTGGGCTTACAGAACAAATATGGAACCCCCTAAGCTGTGAACCAAGTGTTACAACCTGCTCCTATCCCTTCAAATATAGAAGAGAGAGCATGATGGGCCTCCAGACCTGCCTTTCGATGCAATGGTCATAGGTTAACGCAACCCAGAGGTGATGAGCTCTCCTTGCCTTATCAGTTCCTCAAGACACTGTGCGTCGATAAGGTTCAGTTCAAGCAGGCCATGGCCTGTGGGAAATCTACCAATTGCCCCCTTCCCCAACTGGGCTGGTGGTCATGGGCTTCTTCTGTACTTATGTTTTACTGCACTCTTGCAAACATCTCTCTTCTGGCCTGGGGCCCCCACTAGACTGTGGAGCAACTGAGGGTAATGTTCTTTTAGCAGTGACATCTGTAGCCCCTGGCACAGTAACTAGTACAGAATTGGAAATCAATGAATGTTTGCTATCGAGTGAATGGTTACAAAATGAGTTTTTCAAAGTGCCTAATTTTTTTTTTCCAATTTCTTACACAAAATTATGGAGTAAGAGAAAGAAATAAAAAGGATCCCACTGTCATCTACACTTACATCCTGGAGAGCAAGGTTTTACTTGGAGGAGAGCCAAGCTAACACACATGTAAAGTGGCTTTTGGCTGAGTGTCATCTCCTTCATTCTGAGGGCACAGCAAGCACTGACCCTGTCTCGAGTGTCCAGAGCAGTTTGGATGATGCAGCTTGACAACACCCGAGGTTTTCACAGGGCTAGGTATTCAGAGCCATTCTGCGATTCTGCTAAATATCTGACAGAAAATGAGCAGCTTTCAGAGAGGATAGAGATTGAGGATGGTGGTCAACTGGCAAGTGAAGTTATTAAAAATGAAGGAAAACATCATTCTATGGCAAACCTCCATGTATCAAGAGGGACACGCCCTTGGCCCTGGTGTACCTTGGGATTGGCTAGGTTGCTCCTCCTGTGTGATCACACAGCTCTGTCCACACTGTTATCGTTGTGCACTGACTTGCTGTGTCTTCCACACACAATGAACTCCATGAGGGCAGGGATGGCCTTTTGTTTGTGATCCTTGGTTGCATGTTTGTGACTGAATTTATAGGCTGTAAGACACAGTGCTGGCCCTTATGAAGCTGACAGCCTAGTTGCCAGATGCAGTATTATTGCAGCCTCACAGAAGCCATTTACTGTATCTGGCCTTTAAAAAAAATCTACAAGCTTCTCACTGTAAATCACTGAATACAAGTTTAAAAAGGGGAAACAATACTTAATATTTCATTTTTGCAGTGGCTCAGACTTGTGTGTATATGTGGTGGCTGGGGTCCTTTTTTATGGGACGGAAATTCTCCCCCATTCTCTGCAAAAGCCAAGACTAACAAATGAAAAGTCCCTCTCTGGTCCCAACAGCAGAGAGTAGGGAATGCCAGGCTATAAAAATAGTCTATTTCAGGCAAATCAGTGTTCCACACTAGAAAAAAGCTACACCCTGACAACCACAAAAGGCCCAGCAGAGCTGTCTCCAACAGGTCCTAGGACACTGGTGGCCTACAGTCTCCAGCCAGGGTGGAAAAAGACAGTTCTGAGACCCAGGTGTGGTTCTGCCACAAATTCATTACAAGCAACACACGCCCAGCAGAGGGCACCACAACAATGCTTTTACTCACCAGCTAGTTCAGCCAGAGAGGAGTAATTTATTTGTTTATTATACTGGCTTATAACGCTGGCTGAGCCCTCTGTGCCCACTTTTCTTTCCTACGCACAGACTCTGCTTGTCTTACTTATTCTAGGGTACACAGAAGACGCAGGGCTGGTGACTGGAAGAGCTGGTCTGAGTTAGAGTGTTTGAACATCTATGCAAGGGGGCTGCAGGGGGAGTCCATGGATCCAGGAATGTTAGCACATCAGCAATCCCTTGCATTGATGAACTTGAGAATTTGGGCCTTCAGATAGGCCCTTCCTCTTTACTCCTTGGGCATTAACTTATGGGTGATACCTTAGGTAGTGGGTAAATGCCAGCTCCTCCTCTTGCTATGTGGGATCTTGGAAAAACTTAAACTGTTCTAAGCCTCAGTTTCCTCATGTTAAGGGATCAGTATCATGCATAGCGCAGAGAAAGCACTCAATAAATATTAGCCAAATAAGAGCATTTATTAAGTATTACCACTGAGCCGGTGTAACTGTTCTCTCACTCAACTTGATTGAGTGCACATGAGTAAACAGAGTCAGGATTGAATAACTTGCCCAAAGCATATGGATGGCCAAGGGTAAGGCAAGGGTTGAGCTCGGGTCTGACTGATTCCAATTCGATGCTCCTCCATGCTCTCTTGGTGTGTGCCTGACAGCCTTTGCTGCAAGCCTGGCAACAATGCACTCCTGGTTAATGTGCCCCAGCCCAGCAGGACTTGCCACGTGAACCAACTGGTCCCGAAGCTTTGGGCAAAACACCCAGTGTGATCATCAGTTACTTTTGTTACAGCATTCTTTGCAGTAGCTGCATCTCCTGTGTGGGCAGCAGCAATGTGTTCTACTTATATCCCTTGGAACCATAGATTGTTGCTATGATTGCTATGATTATCATCATCATCAACAGGACAGGCTCCCTGTGGCACCAACCGCAGCTTTAAAACAGTCTTTGCTCTCAAAGAGCCCACAGTAAAAAACAGGGAAAGAATGTTTTTAGTATCAAAGATTTGAGGGCAAATCAAGAAGAGTGGTCATATGTATACGTAACTGAGACACAGCTTTGCTTTGTGTTTTTAGGGTCAGATGTAAGTATTAAATTCAATCCTATAATTATAGCAATGACAAAAAGTACTTTAATTCTATACTATGGCCATTCAAAAGAGAGAAGGAACGTGAGGAAGGAAACAACAGAGACAAAGGGAAAAGGCTGAGAAAATAGGAAGGGACAAAAGACAGGAGAACAGAGAAAGCCAGACAGAGATTCACCTTAGTCACTGGGCACACAGTAAGTGTCTGGTCCCTGGTGTCATCATCATTATTACCAATAAGATCACGATATTATTAGAGAGGCCTTTTTATATGCATGCACCCAAAGAGGCATGAAATGAGTTATAACACCCACACTGGTGCCTTCTAGGATATTGCGTCTTAAGGCTTTGAAAGCCAGGTCGCACTGACCCCCATACTGGCAGAGAGCGCACAATGAGGGAGGAAATTAAAAATGGAGCATTCGCACTGAACCTTCTTCCAAGAGAATAGATGAGAAATCCCATCTGGATGGGGATGAATTAAGTTTGGGTTTTGCAGTCAAGCCTAAGCAGTGGTGCTGATGGGGATTGGGGATTCTGCATGGTTATTTCTTAAGCCAAAGGTGTCTGGGTCATTGGAGAACTGAAAAAGGGGAGGCCCTATCAGGAGGCCACAGGTTTAGGGCCCTCCACAGCCTGTAGGTCAGGATTCTGTCTCAGGATATAATGATACCATCCTTAAGCCTGGCATCCTGTCAGCATTACCCAGGAGCTTCTGGTCATATGGAAGCCCTGGCTCCACTCCAGACCCCTTGCATCAAGACCCTTAAAGCAGGGCTTGGGCAGGTGATGCAGATGAGTGTCCAGGGTGAGAACAGCTTGAGGAAAGGTGGGAGAGCTATGTTCTCTGAAGTACCCAAGAACTGAAACTCGGCCCATTGGTTCGTGTCCAGGTTCTGGCCAGCGTCCATGTGTATTTCTGACATTTTTTTTTTTTTTTAGACAGGGTCTTGCTCTGTTGCCCAGGCTAGAGTGCAGTGGTGCAATCATAGCTCACTGCAGCCTTGACCTCCTGGGCTCAAAGGATCCTCCCACTTCATTTTCCCCAGGCATGCAACACCATGCCCAGCTAATTTTCTTTTCTTTTCTTTTTTTTTTTTTTTTTGAGATGGAGTTTGCTCTTGTTGCCCAGGCTGCAGTGCAATGGTGTGATCTCGGCTCATTGCAACCTCTGCCTCCTGGGTTCAAGCAATTCTCCTGCCTCGGCCTCCCTAGTAGCTGGGATTACAGGTGCCCACCACCACACCCAGCTAATTTTTTGTATTTTTAGTAGAGACAGGGTTTCACTATGTTGGTCAGGCTGGTCTTGAACTCCCGATCTCAGGTGATCCACCCACCTTGGCCTCCCAAAGTGCTGCGATTACAGGCGTGAGCACCTGGGCACCTGGGTGCCCAGCCCACCCAACTAATTTTTATTTTTATTTTTTGTAGAGATGGGGTCTCACTGTATTGCCTAGGCTGGTCTCGAATTTCTAGCCTCAAATGATCCTCCCACCTCAGCCTCCCAAAGTGCTAGGATTACAGGCATGAGCCACCATACCTGGCCTTGTATTTCTGCTTTTATGCTGTTTGTTCATGTCTTCTTCTTTATCTAAATCCCTAGACCAGTGCTGTGCAAATACAACTTGATGGATGATGGAAATGTTCTACATCTGCACCATCCAACATAGTCACCACTAGGCACTGGTGCTACTGAGCACTTGAAATGTGGCCAGTGTGACCAAAGAACTAGATTTTTAGTTTTATTTAATTTAAATTAAAATAGTCACTTGTAGCTTACGGCCACCATACTGAACAGTGCAGCCTCAGAACCTCAGCTGAAAGGGACCTTGGAGATCACTGAGCTACTGATCTCATTTTATAGAGGAAGAAGCTTGACCAACAGTTTTGGAGCAGGAAAGAGATACTCAAATTCTGGCCCCACTTATTACTACCTTCATCTATGAAACTGGTCTAATAATATGTCCTTATGTTGTGGCCAGGAGTAAAAGAAATCACATGTGATGTACAAACATAATGCATGGTCCTCAAGCAATGGTTGTTCCTCACATTCTTTGCCTCAGCAGCAGCTGCACATCCCCAGGGGGCATTACTAGCATTGTATTCCATATGAATGGGGGTTCCCAGAGGTGTGCCATACAGTGGCTTTGGCCAGGGTCAGTCCCTTTTGGGTCCTAACTCTTGGACCTGAAATTAACTATTGGACTTAAGTCCTAGACCAGTGGTCTGAAATTTGGGTTCACTCTCCTGGCACAGGCTTTTTCATCACAGGGCATTAGGGCCAGGTAAAGGAGTGGCTTAGCCTACATGAATGTGCCCAGCCATGCTGTATACAGCATTTGAGAAAGCTGACCCTGTCTACCATATGTGTCACCCCTGGGGGGCACCAGGCTGGCCCTGCTATGGTGCTGGTGAGAGGGTTCCTGCCCAAGGGAAGTCAGGCCAGTGCCATCGGGGGGCAAGACATGGGGAACCACACCCAATGGGAGTCTGAGAATGGGAAAGGAGGGCAGCAGGATGTAGACAAGGACAAAAGGAGGGAGGGAGGAAGAGAAGTGGGAATAAGTTCAGGGGAGGGTCCAGGTCATTTCCTGTCATTGCTGTTGGGGTATCTGTGGCTCATCTTCCTGAGTTGGCCAGCGTGGGCTCTGTGGGTCACCTCAGCTTGTCCTGTTACATGTAGATGGCTGAAGCCCAATGGGGACAGATGAGTATCTGTTTCACCACTTCAAGCATTGGTGGTGTTCAGGCTAGGACTTAGTATAGGCCTTTCTAAACAATCCAACGAATCAAGACTCAATGCATTCTTATCACCACATTTGGGACAGTGGAAGCTCTCCATCCCAATAACATTTATCTTTATTTTTTTATTTTTATTTTATTATTTTTGAGACAGAGACTTGCTCTGTCACCCAGGCTGGAATGCAGTGGCGCAATCTCCACCTCCCAGGTTCATGCCATTCTCCTGCCTCAGCCTCCAGTAGCTGGGACTACAGGCACCCACCACCATGCCCGGCTAATTTTTTGTGTTTTTAATAGAGATGGGGTTTCACCATGTTAGCCAGGATGGTCTCGATCTCCTGACCACGTGATCCATTTGCCTTGACCTCCCAAAGCACTGGGATTACAGGCGTGAGCCACCACACCCGGCCTCCAATAACATTTTTTAAAAGCTCTAATCACAGTGCTTGTCTTTTAACCAAGTCAGGAGCTAAAAATGGTTATCTATGAGGGTATGAATCCCAGTGTTTTTGCTAGGACCTTAATTAGTACACTCTTCCTCCTCCACAGGTATCCCGGAAGCCTGAAGGGAAAGGTTCAAGTCCAGGCTTCCATTAAAACCCCACTAATAGACTTGTTCTGCCATCAATCAGCCACAGACCTGTACTGCAAGATGCCTACTACACACCCAGTGCTGAGCTGTGGAAAATCCAGAACACACGTGACCACAGACAATCATGAAGGCGCTGATAATAGCAGCTTCTCAAAGGGAAAATTGTGTCCGGGACCCGCTGGGTACATAACAGATTTCTCTTTATTCTCAGATTCAGGCTTCTTTGCTTGGGGCAGCTCCCCAGGAGTATAAGTATGAATGGGGGGGAAGATAGAGCATATACTTCTTCCTTCCTGATATTGTTGACAAAAGTATGCTGTTTACATATTGAAAATCATGGGATGGTGTGAACTCACAGGGAGAGGACAGGAGGGAGCCTCCTTGATCAAATGTCTAAGATAAAAATGAAGGTTGCAGTAACAAAGAGCCAGCTGATAACCTTGTTCCTCCTGTAAGGTGCCTGCACCCCTGCCAGGCATATGATCTGGGTGGTTACACTGTTAAGCCAGGAGAGGTGCTCACCCAAGGGTATGTGTCAGTATCCTTGATGGTGTTTCCCAAACTACAGCCACACGGTTCTCTCCCAACTCCTTCCCTAAAAGGTAGATTCAAGCCGGGGGAAGGTGGACATATCTTGTGAAGTGTTGAATATGGAAATTCAAAACATATGTTACATTCAGGGAGGGGCTTCCATTAGGCCCTATTTTTATATAAAAATCTAGAAATAAATAATATTCTTCTATTTGCTTCAAAAAAACAAAGAAATGCTTAAGTTCTCTTTACATTGATGTCAAAGCATAGCCATGAGTTATGCTGTGCAGGAGGCAGGTGTTTGGCAAGACAGATTTTTTTCTGACAAAACAAATAAAATCCTGAGAGGTATTTGTTTTAGTAAACCAAAGGGAAATCCTATGAGACTCTGGCTTGTGCCTCTAAATGTCTTCCTCAGTGAAAACAGCCCATGGTCATGCCTGTGTCCTGGGTGGACTGAGTTCGTTCCAGTGAGCTGATGAGCCAGGCGGGAGATTCCCCTTGGGAAGGGTCATGGTTGTTTATTTGAAGCTGCTTTCAGCCAGTACTTGGCCGAGGAGTGTGGATGAATGAAACGCCTCTGTTGTCCTGCTGCTGAAACGGGAACACTATTGCCTGTCATCACTGTTGTGCCCACTGTTTTGGCTTATGATACAAGAGCCCACTGTCCTACATCTCTAATGATACACAGAGCATCTCTGGTCTCTAGGAGGTGGGAGGGACACTACTTCCAGCTTTAACCATATGCATGACAAGGAGATCCAGTGACCATCTGGTGGGGAAGCAGGCATTCCATCTCCGGAGCTTCCCAAGGAAACAGGAGACAATGGAGTGCAGGAAATGCTCAGAACCAGGAAACCTGCAACCACTTAGTTCCAGTGGCTTGGGGTAGCTAGGATTCCGTTTATTCCTTTGTAAAATGGGGATAATGCAGGGTGCTCTCATGTGGAGCTAAGGAAACAATATGTGAAAGCCCGTTGCATATAAAATTTATATAAAGAAAAGGTATTGGTCCTGTGTTATTACTATAGATACCTGACCATCACTCCATTATTAACATTACTGTTTAAGCTTTTTGTGATGACCCCCTTCCCATACCTCTCTGTTCACGGGATTTACATGAGAATTTTAGTTACTGTGCAGAACTGCAGTCACCTGATGCCAACAGGAAAAATCAGAAAAGGTCTGTTTCTGGGGGGTGAGGTCTCTTTAGTGCAAGGGAAAATGAGACAGGGTCAGAGAAAGAGCTTTCAGCTTCTGATAAAGGAAGAATGAGACAGCCCCAAGATGCAGTGAGTGGATGGAAATGTTCTAGTGGGTGAGTTGATATCTTAGAAGAGAAGCAAGCTGATGCCATCTGGCTGTGTGGGGGAAGGAAGGGGAGAGGGCACTGGTGAGGACCCATAGTGGGGTTGGGCTGGTGGCAGCAGGTGGTCTGGGAATTGGAGCAGGCAGATAAGTGATATGCCAACAGCTCTGCTCTCTGGGCCTGGAGCCTTGCTGACCAAAACACAGTGAAGTACAGCTCATAACTCACAGGGGATACCTTGAAGATACAGTCACCTTTATTTTGAAACGTGGAAATAAGGTAATAATAGAGCAATAGCTATGTCCACGTCTCATTTAGTCACCTGCCACTGTTGCCACTGTGCCCCTTACCCCATTTTCTAGCCACACAACCACTATTCTATTTCTTGAACATGCCAAGTTCCTTCCCGCTTAGAGCCTCCATGCATGCCATTCCCCCTGTAGCAGTGCCCTTCCTCTTACTGCTCCCAGACCTCTCATCTTTCAAGTCTTGGTTTCAGGTCATCTCCTAAAAATGGTTTTCCCTGACAGCTCCCTAACCGAGCGTCTACCTGTCCCCAGCACTCCCTCCCCTCTATCCCCTTGATGCCAATTACTGAAATATATACCCCTGTGTTTTTGTTGTTGTTATTTACTTGTTTATGGCATGTTTCACCATTAGATGGTGGAGTCTGCTGTATCTGCGGAGACCACTGTCTCTGTAGCACTGATATGGTCTGGCTGTGTCCCCACCCCAACCTTGTCTTGAATTGTGGCTTCCATAATTCCCACGTTGTGGGAGAGACCTGGTGGAAGGTAATTGAATCATGGGGGCGGGTCTTTCCCATATGAGATCTGATGGTTTTATAAGGGGGAGTTCCCCTGCACACGCTCTCTTGCCTGCCACTACTTAAGATGTGACTTTGCTCCTCCTTCACTTTCCACCATGATTGTGTGGCCTCCCCAGCCATGTGGAACCGTGAGTCAAACCTCTTTACTTTATAAATTACCCTCTATTGGGTATGTCTTTATTAGCAGCATGAGAACAAACCAATACAAGCACCTAGCACAGTGCCTTGCACATAGTGGAAGCTCAATAAAGACTGTGTTGGCTGCACAAGGAATCCTTGGAGCCATCCTTTAGGGCAGGTCTTATTATTTCCACTTTACAGACACGAAACTAAACAGTTGTTCAAGGTCTCATATCTAGTCAAGGGCAAGTCCAGAATCCTACCCCAGGAGTGGCAGAGACAGAGCCCAAGCTCTCTGTTCTTGCCTCTGACTCATTGACTCATGGTTGAGTCTGGGGTGCTGTGGGAATTTCTACTTTCTGGATCTCCCCAAGACTTGACACTTTGAGTTTGCAGAAAATACTTCAGAAAGACCCCAAATGCAAGGTGATGTCATGCCTGCAGCCTGAGCCCAGGAACTGCAGCTCTGATTTTGTGACCAGTCTGAGTGACAGGCTATTTGAAGGGCTTTTGCTCCCCTGCTCCATCCAGTAGGATCCTTTTCCACTCTCTGCTGGAAAGGCCCCTTGTCTGAATTCCAAATCCATTTCTATTCTCAATCTTTCAACTCAGCACCCAATTATGAACTGTCTCCTATTACCTCTTTTTTACCAGCCTTACCCGTGTCCCCTCCTGCCTTGCTAACCAGATTATAAAGCTCTGGACGGTGGGCATGGCGTCTTCTACTTGTTTGGTTCTCCTTGGTGCTGAGCATATGCATGACAGCAGCAGTAAAACAAGCTGACAGCACGTTGACAAGGAAAGGTTCTGCTGATAAATCAATGAAGTTTCATCTCTGATAAAGCCATAAAGATACTCCTTGTAACCGTTGTGCATCTGGCAGTTGGCGAGGACAAAGGAGTTTATGTAGGTGACCTATGCTGATCCCTTGTGGACTGCAAGTCGACCATGTGCTACTTTGCATGCCCTCGTTTTAATCTGCTCATGCAGGGATGAATGCCACTAGACCCCTAGTGGGGATGGGGTAAGCCCCTGGCCTTGCCTTTCCCATGCCTGACTTTCCAGTTTTGAAGTGCACCTGTGTGCTGCCCTGTCCCAGACTGTGAGCACCTATATCTAGCAGAACCAGAGCCCTACTGGCCAGTCCCTCAGTTTCTTGCAGAACCTGCCCCACCCAGCTCCTTCCCCAGCACTTTGCATATCCTCAACTGGGCTTACTCAAACCAGTAACAAAGGATGTGACAGACTCAGCAACTCTACTGCAGACAGGAACAGCACCAAACCCTTGGTTGTGGAAAGACCACTGAGCTCTGTGACTCAAGGTGACAGACAGAAAGGTTGGCTCCACACTGTGACTTCCTGTGTCCAGATGTGACCATTTTGGTGGTTGAAACAGCAGTGGTAATTTTCTCGCTGTCACTTTTCAGTTTCAGTAAAGCAAGCAATCTAGGTTATAAGAGTACACATGGTCCTTATAAAGCTATTTTCCCCCACTGGACTCAGTATAATTCTTTTCAGAATGAAAAAAAAATGCAGCCTATCAGCATTTGTATTTTTCCTAAATTGGTCTCTGTGTAAAATCTATCTCTATAATTATCAATAGACCATTTGTGTTTTTCTCTCCTCTCTTACCCTTCCTGGCCCCCGACTCACACTCACTTTCTCTTTCAATTTCGCTCCCCATCCTTCTGAAATTTTTACCCTGGCCAGTGGCCACCTGATTCAACTACAGAGGGTTAAATGTGTGCCCCAGACCTGCACGTGTGGAGGGTAGACCAGCACTGCTTGGGGACTCACCCAGAGGGCAGCGGGAGCACGGTAGCCTCCAGGGGATGCTGAGGTCCCCTCATCTGCCACCTTTGTGCTGCAACTCTGGGGATGTGGCCATCCTGGCTCTTCTTCCACTTGCTGCTCACTTTTGCTCTTCTGTTTTCGTATAATCTGGGGAGGGGAGGACAAAAAAGGGGCAAGTTATTGGAGAGGCCTCCTGATGCTATGTGGAGTAACTGGGACCATCTTTGGAATTTTTTTCAGCCACTTATAAGCTTAATTTCAACAGAACACCAGGCTGTTTCAGATCTGCGCTATGAGAAACCAGCACAATTATAGCCTTGAGCATTCTAAGCATTTTACAGTTTACAAATAATCCTTTTATGATGTTAACAGCTTCTCTATTTATTAAGTGCCTAGCATGTGTCAGACCTCATGTTAGGTATTGTGTAGGCTTTACCTCACTTAATTCTGGAAGGTACATATTCTAATTCTTTCCATTTTATAGATGAGGAAACAGGCTCAGAGAGACTAAGTTATTGGATAAGGCTACACAGCTCATAAATGGTGGAGCTGGATCTCAAACCCAGAGCCTCTGGTTGTAAGTCCTGAATTTAGGAAGCATCTGGAAGCCCTATCAAGGGTGTAGA
Organism: Homo sapiens; assembly: GCF_000001405.40. Taxonomy (NCBI): domain Eukaryota; kingdom Metazoa; phylum Chordata; class Mammalia; order Primates; family Hominidae; genus Homo; species Homo sapiens. The sequence continues at coordinate 40,169,470 of NC_000003.12, read as the reverse complement.
CACCAAGAGTCACCAGAATGGCTCCAAATCCAGCTCGTTTGCACAGTCATTTGGATTTAGTGAGTCCATCCGTACCAAGGTCTCTGGGCTTTCAACTTCCTATAGGCAGGAAGCAGTCAAGAAATGTGCTAAGCCACCAAGATGGGCATATTCTCCAATGTTCCTTTAGGCCAGACAGGAGGATGAAAAGGAAGGCTGAGAGCCCAGAGAACAATCAACTGAGGTGCCATCTCCCATGGCAGGGTGGGGACCCAGCCATGTTGCCCAGCAGGATTTCAGAATTGCTGAGGACCAGTGACTGCCGGTGCCTCCCATTCTTCCCCTCTGCAGGTGGGTAGGGCCAGTGCTGCCTCCCTGTCCCTCTTCCAACATTGCATGTTGGGTATATGGGGGGAGATCATTTGTTTGCTTAGTTTACAGATCTCCAGCTAAAAAGGAGCTAAAATTGGATCAAATGTACTTTGAACTGTGATTGGATGAGACATTTGGGGGTCTTTGGGTGTGGTGAGTCTACTTGGCATACGGAAGGGATGTGAATTATCGTGACCAAAAGGGAAGACTGAAGTTTTTCAACACTTCCTGCATACGGCACTTTCTAGTGTGACTCTGCAGACCCTCCCAGTATAGGGAGAATCTACGTCCCAGCCCTTGGCTTTGGGCTCGATGTGTGACTTGCTCTGGCCAATGAGATGAGAGGGGGGAGTCAGTAACCATAAGCTAGAGCTAAGCCTTGGCCTTAACAAGCACTGTGTGCTTCCTCTTGCTGGCTTGTGCTCCTGTCATGGCCACAGGCAGCTGATGTGCCCTCAGTTGGGCCCCAGAGTGAACATGCTGCACCTGACTTTGTCCCAACCCATAGCTTGAAGTGCAGCTACTGCAGATGTGTGAGCAATAAATAAATTGTGGTATAACAAAACATATATACAGATAGTCCTTGATTTAAGATTTTTGGACTTTACGATGGTGGGAAAGCGGTGTGTGTTCAGTGCAGCATTCCATAAATTATATGAGCTAATAAACACTGTTATAAAATAGGCTTTGAGTTCGATGATTCTGCCCAGTTATAGGCTAATGCAAGTTCTGAGTACATTTACGATAGGCTAGGCTAAGCTATGATATATTAAGAGTAGGTTAGGTGTATTGAATGCATTTTGACTTATGATACTTTCAACTTAGGATGCGGTTACTATCTGGACTTAACCCCATCCACTGTAAGCTCAGGAGCATCTGTATTTGGTCTTTGTCCCCAGTTCCTGGCACAGTTTCAAAAACCTTTGCAATTATTTGAGTGATAGGAGTGTCTGTTACACTAACAAGGTGATTCAAGGTGAGGTCCTTAGATAACTTCAGGATGGGGGCAGGTTGCCAGAAAAACCAACTACAGTACATGATTAGAGGGCTGGGAGCAGAAAGACTAGAGAGTGCATTCAATCAGGTAATCAATCATTTAATCAATCCTGCCTACATACTGAAACCTGGCTAAAAACTCTGATACAACAAGGCACAGAAACCTTCCTTGTTGGTGCATACATCGATGTGTTGGGGGAGTGATGTTCACAGAGAGAGCATGGAAGCTCTGTACACCCTGTCCCCAGACCCTGCTGCTCTGTGTGTCTCTTCATCTGGCCGTTCACCTGTACCCTTTATATTAAACCGGTAATGGTAAGTAAAGCACTTTCCTGAGTTCTGTGAGTTCTAGCAAATAATTGAATTGAGGGTCCACGGTCATGGAAACTCCCAAATTTGCAGCAGGCTAGGGAGAAGTGTGGTGGCTTTGGGATACCTGAAACTTGTGGCTGGTGTCTGAAGTAGGGGCAGTCTTGTGGGACTGGGCCCTTAACTTGTGGGGTCTGCACTAACTCCAGGAAGAAGTTAGTATCAGAATGGAATTTCACTTCTCAGTTGGTGTTGGAGAATTGGCTGTGGAAGACAGAAAGATCCTTGTCAAAAGCCACAGAGTTTTGGGGTGTTTGGTTTCTCAGAAGTAATTGACAGGTACACCATGCAAGGGACAGCGTAGGGCATGGAGCTAGCAGCAGTGACTGCAAAGCAAGCAAGCAGTGCGATGCATTCCCTCTGCATGGGTCCCCAGGGCACAAAAGTCTAAAGTGAGAAGGCACAGAAGATACAGTGCTAGAGACACTCCCCATGTTTCACCTGCTACTTGCCAGAGTCCCTGCACCAGGCCCAGCCAGGAAACTGCAGCCATCCCACTGCCAGGACCCACCTACCTTCTGCAGGATTGTCGTGGCCAGTTCCTCAGTTAGCTCCTCCTTGTGGTCCCGCAGGTAACTGGCCTCATTTTGCTTGTCCTGAGGAGGGAAGAGAATGGCTGTGTGCTGTGGGTGGATTTGGGGTGACTTGGCAGTCACTTTGCCAGGAGAGTCCTGACCACAAAAGCAGAGGGAGGGCCTTGCTCTAGTCAGAGCTGCTGGGACATTGATTTCCTGACAACCTGCACTTTCTCCTGGCAGCAAGGACCCCAACCCACACCTCCCCCCACAGAGAGGAGCAGGAGGGGCCCTACCAGGCTGTCCCCATATGCCTCTGCTTTGGAAATTGCTTCCTCAATGGCCTCTTCAGCCACCCGTAGGGCCACAGCCAAGGTGTCCATCACACTATGTCCTAGACAGGAAACAGAACAAAGAGCATTTCTAAAAGGGAATGATGAGTAAAACGATTGTTCAAGCTCTTCTGCTTAAATTCTTCAGGGGCTCTGGGATAAGTTCTAAGCTGTTTACCATGGCACACAAAGCCCTCGCCCTTCCCACCTGCCTCACACTGCCTCCCATGCATCATTCACATCCCATGCCCCAGTTGCAACAAATTGTTTGATTCTTTCATGCCTGCAATCTCATTCCTCCTCCCTCCTAGACTCTTGCTCCATAACTGAGCTGGTTCCCACGGACCCCAAGGCTTGGCCCAAAAATTCCTCCTCTAACAAATCTTCTCGGATCCCTTCAGCCCCGCCCTTGGCTGGAGGTCTGTCCCAGGTTCTGGGCTTGCTTTCATCATCCAAAAAGGCTCCATACCCCCGGCCCCTTCCCACAGGTCATTTTCACAGAGCAAGAATTGATCATATTCATTGTTGTATCCTAACATGAAGCACTGGTCTAAGCACACAGAATGGCTTAAAGGTGACTGAACAAAAGGGCTTCATATAAGGAAATAATGGTTCTTTATCTACTTTCTCAGATAAAGATTATGCTTTATTTTGTTCATATAATGTATATTGTGATGATGGGGAAAATGTTATTAAATGTACTAAGGACAATGGGCTGTGCATATGACTTAATGCAAATATAAACTCTATGGTATAATTTTTTGGACTATCAACCAGTATTAACAACACTGGCCAACCTCAGAGCTCAGCCACATGGCAGGCACCAAGCCCAGAGTTTCACATGATCACAGTTAATTCTGACAAAAATCCAGTGGTAAGTAGGTGCCATATAGGTACTATTTTACAGATGGTAAATTTGAAGCACAGAGTGGTTAAATAACTCACCCAAGGTACACAGCAAGACAATAAGAAGGCAAAGATTTGAATCCAGCTGGATTCCAATTCCTCTGAATTTGAATTTGGATTCCATTCCAAATTCCTTCTAATCCAAAGCCCTTGATTTTAACCACAAAACTGAGATGAATACAAGCTAACGTGATTAAAAAATATAGTGCTACCATACTTTTAGTGAACTTTTTTTTTTTTTTTTTAAGATATGGCAACAAATGAGAGAAAATAAAGGACTTCCCCAGGTGACAAAGTTCTTTTTGGAGCTAAGTGCTGGGAAAAGTTCTGTTTCCCTTGAGATCCTAGATTTTAGCTTCTTACTTGTGAGAATTTCTATCATCCTTCTCTTAGTTTTCCCCAGAAGTCCAAGTCACATCATGTGCAGGAATGTAGGTCAGCAAGGGCTAGGTACCTGGGTCTCCTTGTCCCCAATTTCAACCTCCTGTTTCCATTTATAATCTCCTACTCATATATTATTTAACACATGCAAATCTCCTGTAAGCTGTTGAAAATTCTTTGTGGAATGAGACAGGGTGTGAATATATCAATTCATTAATTACTCAATTAAAAAATAATTCAAGCTTCTTAGGCTCTTAAGGACAAAAATGTAGACAGAAAGTATCATTTGGCAAACATAATAAAGCCTCTAAACAATCCACTTAAGGTCAAAGTGATCTAGCTAGCTGATGAGTATGTCACAAGCCAGCTATGACAGTCATGATAGAGCCACGTAGGGGCAACCCAGCCCAGGGCTCTGCACACCACCAGGTTGCACAGTCTTTCCAATGTTTTGATAACTAGAGCCTATGCGATATAAGTTGTCATCACACTAAGAGCTCCCTGGTGGTAGACACTGTATCTCCCCTCTCTCTTCTTCAAGATAGCCACCGATGTATTTTTCACAGAAAAGATCTACAAATTTTTGTTGAATCAAACAAATGTTTACTGAGTACCGTTTGTGTGCTAGGCTCTGTGATGGCCCCAGTGATAACCTGATGGACAAACTGAGTCCATGCTCTCATGTACCTTCCAAGATATTGGGTGATTAGACACATAAGTAACCCCTAAGAGATATGCATAACTATCTGTGTGATAGAGATATCTGTGTGGATCCCTGGAAGGTAGGCACCTGGAGCTGTAACTAGGAAGGCTTTGGATGCTATGATTATAATTCTTGGATGAAAGTGATGTGGAACACTGGGTAAAAAGTGAAGGTTCAGGTCAGTGTTTCAGAGAGAAAGGTTGGCAAGGGTAGGAGGGAAGATTAAGAAGGCAAGGTGGCCAAAGTTCAGAAGACCAGCTAGATGGTGGGATGGTCAATGTGTCAACGTGGCTAGGCTATAGTACCCAGTTATTTAATCAAACACTAGTCCAGGTGTTGCCATGAAGGTATTCTTTAGATGTGGTTAACATCTACAGTCAGTTGACTTCATGTAAGGGTTGCCCTCCACAATGTGGGTGTGTCTCATTCAATCCACTGAAAGGCCTTAAGAGCAAAAACTGAAGTTTCCTAGAGGAGAAATTCAGCCTGAAGGCTGAAGCACCAACTCTTGCCTGAGTTTTCAACCTGCTGGCCTACCCTGTATGTTGGGGCTTGCCAGTCCCCTGAAAGGAATATATATATGTGCATGTACATACATATATACTTAGTGTATTGGAGAACACTGCTGATACAGATGGCCACTGAAATTAACACTAATCCGGAGAGTTTTGAGCAGAGAGGTATGCAGGATATGGGCTGTGGAATGGAAAGAAAAGTGTAAGATTGAAAACAGAGCTGACAGGTACTTGGGTAGCTGTGGGGAAATGAGGAGAGGGACTGAAGGAAACATCTCTCACTGGTGGACCTCAGTGGCTAAAGAGCTTGACTAGGACAAGTTGGGGTTAAGAACCCTATAAGATCTTCAGGTGCTAATGGCCAAGCATTAGAAATCTGAGTGTAGAACTCTGGGATGAGATCAAGGCTGGGCATTTCCGGCTCAGCAGCAAATGGAGGTGCACTTGAGGTCATACAATGGTGTGTGGTAACCTATGGAGAAGCTGCAGGTAGTAAGGATAATACAGGACACAATTTTCATGAGAAGTCATCTGTATTAGGGTTCTTCAGAGAAACAGAACCAATAGGATATATATAGATATAAAATAGGAGATCTATTATGGGAACTGGCTCATGTGATTAAGGAGGCCGAGAAGTTCCATGATATACTGTGTGCAAGCTGGAGACCCATAAGAGCAGTGGTATAATTCAGTCCAAATGTGAAGGGCTGTGGAATAGGGGAGCTGCTGGTTTAAGTCCTGAGTCTGAAGGCCCAAGAATCAGAAGCTCTGATGTCTGAGGGCAGGTGAAGATGGATGTCCCAGCTCCAGAAGAGGGAGAGTGAATTCACCCTTCCTCTGCCTTTTTGTTCTATCTGGGCTTTCAATGGATTGGATGACACCTACTCATACTGATGAGGGCGGATCTTCTTTTCTCAGTCTATGATTCAAATGCTGTTCTCTTCCAGAAATGCCTTCACAGACAAACCCAGAAATAAGGTTTTACCAGCTATCTGGGCATCCCTTAGCCCAAGTCAAGTTGACACATAAAATTAACTATCACAGCCCCCAAAGAGAGAATAGAGAGTACAGATAAGCTGTGGAGGTCACAGGAGGAAGGCAATTGAGGGGGCACTGATTATCAATGTCCAGTACTTTAGACAAAGAATTGAAATGATAAAATTTTATTTGAAATTAGAAGTTTGTTTTGCTTTTAACCACTGCTCTAAGGGGACAATTATATTGGTATAAAAAAGTAAAAGTTAATCAGTAAATGACACATTCTTTAAAGGAATATTTTAATATGAGATGCACAAGTGAGTGGATTGATTGATATGTTCCAACTCCAGAAGAATATTTACTAGTTGACTGTAAAGTATCCATGGTTGGGTAACGAATGCTGTTCTCTTGGCCACATTTTGGATATACTCACCTATTTTGATGATGGATTCATACAATTGGCAATAATAAGTGACCCAGGGAGACTCACACACAGTAGTAGATAGTTGCATCTGGGGTAACAATGCATCTGGGGGACCCTGGCAGTACCTGTACCTGTAGGTGTTTCTATTACTCCAACTTCCCAGTAGCTGTAAACTCTTAAGCAACTTTACCTTCTGACTGCCTATAAAATGTTGAATCACTGCCAGAAATGCTTCCTTCATTCTCCAGGTTTGACTCAAAAAGGCTTCCTCCTGGCAGGGTAGGGGTGGGAGAAGAGAATGAATATGATTATCAAAGGTCTTCAGTGAACCCTGATGCACTGTGTCACTGAACTGGCAGACCACTATTACACACTTGGGTTGTTAGCCTTGCAAATAGGTTTAGGGACTCATGAGGTCCCACAATAATGCTAACAGTTTTGACCCATTGCTTTTTTCTTCTCACACTGATTCCTGGTGCAGCATTGCTGCCAACCCCAACCTTCTTCCCAAACCTTCTTTGCAGGCAATATGGAGTCAAAGACAGAACAAAAGACTAAAGTCTGAGAGATGTAAGGTCAATTCCTGGACCTGCAAATTACTAGTTGTGTGGCTTGGCATGGCTGCATCTGGAATTTATTCATTCATCCAGCAAATAGTCTATGAGCACCAGTAGGTGTCTGGCTTTGGCCTAGGTATTAGGGGTACACTGATGAGCAAAGCTAAACCTGCCCCCACCCCACCCTGACAAGCATGAGACTCTCATGTGGGAAATTCATTAATCAAATACTTATATAAATATATATATATAAAATTATAGATAGGTTAAGTGCTTTGATGGGATGGTTCACAGCACAGTGAAAGTGTTCAGCAGGGAAGGCGGACCTAAGCAGTGAAGAATCAGCCAAGAGGTGTAGGGAGTGGGAGAACATACAAGGCACAGGAAGCAGCTTGCACAGAGACCAGTCCTGGGAGAAAAGGTGTATCTGAAGGCCTAAATGAGAGGCAGCGTGGCAGGGCTGCAGAGAGGAAAAGCAGCTCTGGTGAGGTGACCTGGGGACACAGGCCATGCAGTTCATGGTGACCACATCAGTGTTTGGATCTTTATCCCAACAGCCATGTGAAGCCCTTAAAGGTTTCACAGAGATGACCTGGTAAGATCTGTGCCTCTAAAAGTGCACTGTGGCTACTGCGTAGAGAATAGCTTGGAAGGGGGAGGTGAGTGTAGAGTGAGGAAGGGCAGGCAATGGAAGCCCTGAATGCAGCTCACTTTTTAAAGTTGACCTGCGGTGAGAAAGAGGATGGCAGGACAATGAGTGGAGGAAAATGCAGTCGAGGAGGGGTTTAGAAAACAGGAGAGACTTGGGTGTGTTTATAAATCCCAGTAAAGACAGAGATTGAATAAGCAAGAAGTGACCTTGAGACTTTTCTGGAAGGTGAGAGGGATAAGATGCAAGACCAAGGGGAGGGGGAGGCAACAGAGAAGGGAGACAGTGCTCCCTCTGCAGCTGCACACCAGGGCAAGTCTCTGCCTGGCATGCCCTGTAGGCCATAGGAAGGAAGATTTGAGGTTGCCTGCTGAGAGGATGGGGAGGGTCGTGGGAAACATAAGGACAGGGGAGATGTGAAAAAGTCTTTGGAAGACTGACCTCACCAGAGGACAAGCCCTGGTTTTGCATGACTTTAAATCTTCTAGTACAACACCTCTCTTTCTGTTTCCTTTTAAATTTGGAGGTGGGAGCATTGGTGTCATTTAGTATGATGTGATGTTTTTTCAAGGGCAGAAAGGGACTGAATTGTTCTGGAAAGCATGGGCTAAGCAGCTAGATGACATGAAGCCACTATTTTTCATGAGTTGGCAGAAACTCTAATTTCATGTGGCTCAGCATTTTTAAAAGACCACATTTGTCCAACAAATCCCAGATGAAGCAACAGACCTTTTCAAGAATCATGTCAAAATTAGATATAGAGGGGAGGGAGGAGCCAAGATGGTCGAATAGGAACAGCTCCGGTCTACAGCTCCCAGCGTGAGCGACGCAGAAGACGGGTGATTTCTACATTTCCATCTGAGGTACCAGGTTCATCTCACTAGGGAGTGCCAGACAGTGGGCACAGGTCAGTGGGTGTGCGCACCGTGTGCGAACCGAAGCAGGGCAAGGCATTGCCTCACTCAGGAAGCGCAAGGGGCCAGGGAGTTCCCTTTCCTAGTCAAAGAAAGGGGTGGCACCTGGAAAGACGGCACCTGGAAAATCGGGTCACTCCCACCCGAATACTGCGCTTTTCCGACAGGCTTAAAAAATGGCGCACTAGGAGATTATATCCCGCACCTGGCTCGGAGGGTCCTACGCCCACGGAGTCTCGCTGATTGCTAGCACAGCAGTCTGAGATCAAACTGCAAGGTGGCAGCGAGGCTGGGGGAGGGGCGCCCGCCATTGCCCAGGCTTACTTAGGTAAACAAAGCAGCCAGGAAACTCGAACTGGGTGGAGCCCACCACAGCTCAAGGAGGCCTGCCTGCCTCTGTAGGCTCCACCTCTGGGGGCAGGGCACAGACAAACAAAAAGACAGCAGTAACCTCTGCAGACTTAAATGTCCCTGTCTGACAGCTTTGAAGACAGCAGTGGTTCTCCCAGCACGCAGCTGGAGATCTGAGAACAGGCAGACTGCCTCCTCAAGTGGGTCCCTGACCCCTGATCCCCGAGCAGCCTAACTGGGAGGCACCCCCCAGTAGGGGCAGACTGACACCTCACACAGCTGGGTACTCCAACAGACCTGCAGCTGAGGGTCCTGTCTGTTAGAAGGAAAACTAACAAACAGAAAGGATATCCACACCAAAAACCCATCTCTACATCACCATCATCAAAGACCAAAAGTAGATAAAACCACAAAGATGGGGAAAAACAGAGCAGAAAAACTGGAAACTCTAAAAAGCAGAGCGCCTCTCCTCCTCCAAAGGAACACAGTTCCTCACCAGCAACGGAACAAAGCTGGACGGAGAATGACTTTGACGACCTGAGAGAAGAAGGCTTCAGATGATCAAATTACTCCGAACTACAGGAGGACATTCAAACCAAAGGCAAAGAAGTTGAAAACTTTGAAAAAAATTTAGAAGAATGTATAACTAGAATAACTAACACAGAGAAGTGCTTAAAGGAGCTGGTGGAGCTGAAAACCAAGGCTCGAGAACTACGTGAAGAATGCAGAAGCCTCAGGAGCCGATGCGATCAACTGGAAGAAAGGGTATCAGTGATGGAAGATGAAATGAATGAAATGAAGTGAGAAGGGAAGTTTAGAGAAAAAAGAATGAAAAGAAATGAGCAAAGCCTCCAAGAAATATGGGACTATGTGAAAAGACCAAATCTACGTCTGATTGGTGTACCTGAAAGTGACGGGGAGAATGGAACCAAGTTGGAAAACACTCTGCAGGATATTATCCAGGAGAACTTCCCCAATCTAGCAAGGCAGGCCAACATTCAGATTCAGGAAATACAGAGAATGCCACAAAGATACTCCTCGAGAAGAGCAACTCCAAGACACATAATTGTCAGATTCACCAAACTTGAAATGAAGGAAAAAATGTTAAGGGCAGCCAGAGAGAAAGGTCCAGTTACCCTCAAAGGGAAGCCCATCAGACTAACAGCGGATCTCTTTGCAGAAACTCTACAAGCCAGAAGAGAGTGGGGGCCAATATTCAACATTCTTAAAGAAAAGAATTTTCAACCCAGAATTTCATATCCAGCCAAACTAAGCTTCATAAGTGAAGGAGAAATAAAATACTTTACAGACAAGCAAATGCTGAGAGATTTTGTCACCACCAGGCCTGCCCTAAAAGAGCTCCTGAAGGAAGCACTAAACATGGAAAGGAACAACCGATACCAGCCATTGCAAAATCATGCCAAAATGTAAAGACCATCGAGACTAGGAAGAAACTGCATCAACTAACGAGCAAAATAACCAGCTAACATCATAATGACAGGATCAAATTCACATATAACAATATTAACTTTAAATGTAAACGGACTAAATGCTCCAATTAAAAGACACAGACTGGCAAATTGGATAGAGTCAAGACCCATCAGTGTGCTGTATTCAGGAAACCCATCTCACGTGCAGAGACACACATAGGCTCAAAATAAAAGGATGGAGGAAGATCTACCAAGCAAATGGAAAACAAAATAAGGCAGGGGTTGCAATGCTAGTCTCTGATAAAACATACTTTAAACCAACAAAGATCAAAAGAGACAAAGAAGGCCATTACATAATGGTAAAGGGATCAATTCAACAAGAAGAGCTAAGTATCCTAAATATCTATGCACCCAATACAGGAGCACCCAGATTCATAAAGCAAGTCCTGAGTGACCTACAAAGAGACTTAGACTCCCAAACAATAATAATGGGAGACTTTAACACCCCACTGTCAACATTAGACAGATCAACGAGACAGGAAGTCAACAAGGATACCCAGGAATTGAACTCAGCTCTGCACCAAGCACACCTAATAGACATCTACAGAACTCTCCACCCCAAATCAACAGAATATACATTTTTTTCAGCACCACACCACACCTATTCCAAAATTGACCACATACTTGGAAGTAAAGCTCTCCTCAGCAAATGTAAAAGAACAGAAATTATAACAAACAGTCTCTCAGACCACAGCGCAATCAAACTAGAACTCAGGATTAAGAATCTCACTCAAAACCGCTCAACTACATGGAAACTGAACAACCTGCTCCTGAATGACTACTGGGTACATAACGAAATAAAGGCAGAAATAAATATGTTCTTTGAAACCAACGAGAACAGAGACACAACATACCGGAATCTCTGGGACGCATTCAAAGCAGTGTGTAGAGGGAAATTTATAGCACTAAATGCCCACAAGAGAAAGCAGGAAAGATCCAAAATGGACACCCTAACATCACAATTAAAAGAACTAGAAAAGCAAGAGCAAACACATTCAAAAGCTAGCAGAAGGCAAGAAATAACTAAGATCAGAGCAGAACTGAAGGAAATAGAGACACAAAAAACCCTTCAAAAAATAAATGAATCCAGGAGCTGGTTTTTTGAAAGGATCAACAAAACTGATAAATCGCTAGCAAGACTAATAAAGAAAAAGAGAGAGAAGAATCAAATAGACGCAATAAAAAATGATAAAGGGGATATCACCACCGATCCCACAGAAATACAAACTACCATCAGAGAATACTACAAACACCTCTACGCAAATAAACTAGAAAATCTAGAAGAAATGGATAAATTCCTCGACAAATACACTCTCCCAAGACTAAACCAGGAAGAAGTTGAATCTCTGAATAGACCAATAACAGGATCTGAAATTGTGGCAATAATCAATAGCTTACCAACCAAAAAGAGTCCAGGACCAGATGGATTCACAGCCAAATTCTACCAGAGGTACAAGGAGGAACTGGTACCATTCCTTCTGAAACTATTCCAATCAATAGAAAAAGAGGGAATCCTCCCTAACTCATTTTATGAGGCCAGCATCATCCTGATACCAAAGCCGGGCAGAGACGCAACCAAAAAAGAGAATTTTAGACCAATATCCTTGATGAACATTGATGCAAAAATCCTCAATAAAATACTGGCAAACCGAATCCAGCAGCACATCAAAAAGCTTATCCACCATGATCAAGTGGGCTTCATCCCTGGGATGCAAGGCTGGTTCAATATACGCAAATCAATAAATGTAATCCAGCATATAAACAGAACCAAAGACAAAAACCACATGATTATCTCAATAGATGCAGAAAAAGCCTTTGACAAAATTCAACAACGCTTCATGCTAAAAACTCTCAATAAATTAGGTATTGATGGGACGTATTTCAAAATAATAAGAGCTATCTATGACAAACCCACAGCCAATATCATACTGAATGGGCAAAAACTGGAAGCATTCCCTTTGAAAACTGGCACAAGACAGGGATGCCCTCTCTCACCACTCCTATTCAACATAGTGTTGGAAGTTCTGGCCAGAGCAATTAGCCAGGAGAAGGAAATAAAGGGTATTCAATTAGTAAAAGAGGAAGTCAAATTGTCCCTGTTTGCAGATGACATGATTGTATATCTAGAAAACCCCATTGTCTCAGCCCAAAATCTCCTTAAGCTGATAAGCAACTTCAGCAAAGTCTTCAGGATACAAAATCAATGTACAAAAATCACAAGCATTCTTATACACCAACAACAGACAAACAGAGAGCCAAATCATCAGTGAACTCCCATTCACAATTGCTTCAAAGAGAATAAAATACCTAGGAATCCAACTTACAAGGGATGTGAAGGACCTCTTCAAGGAGAACTACAAACCACTGCTCAAGGAAATAAAAGAGGATACAAACAAATGGAAGAACATTCCATGCTCATGGGTAGGAAGAATCAATATCGTGAAAATGGCCATACTGCCCAAGGTAATTTACAGATTCAATGCCATCCCCATCAAGCTACCAATTACTTTCTTCACAGAATTGGAAAAAACTACTTTAAAGTTCATATGGCACCAAAAAAGAGCCCACATCGCCAAGTCAATCCTAAGCCAAAAGAGCAAAGCTGGAGGCATCACACTACCTGACTTCAAACTATACTACAAGGCTACAGTAACCAAACAAGCATGGTACTGGTACCAAAACAGAAATATAGATCAATGGAACAGAACAGAGCCCTCAGAAATAATGCCGCATATCTACAACTATCTGATCTTTCACAAACCTGAGAAAAACAAGCAATAGGGAAAGGATTCCCTATTTAATAAATGGTGCTGGGAAAACTGGCTAGCCATATGTAGAAAGCTGAAACTGGATCCCTTCCTTACACCTTATACAAAAATTAATTCAAGATGGATTAAAGACTTAAATGTTAGACCTAAAACCATAAAAACCCTAGAAGAAAACCTAGGCAATACCATTCAGGACATAGGCATGGGCAAGGACTTCATGTCTAAAACACCAAAAGCAATGGCAACAAAAGACAAAATTGACAAATGGGATATAATTAAATGAAAGAGCTTCTGCACAGCAAAAGAAACTACCATCAGAGTGAACAGGCAACCTACAAAATGGGAGAAAATTTTTGCAACCTACTCATCTGACAAAGGGCTAATATCCAGAATCTACAATGAACTCAAACAAATTTACAAGAAAAAAACAAACAACCCCATCAAAAAGTGGTCAAAGGACATGAACAGACACTTCTCAAAAGAAGACATTTATGCAGCCAAAAAACACATGAAAAAATGCTCGCCATCACTGGCCATCAGAGAAATGCAAATCAAAACCACAGTGAGATACCATCTCACACCAGTTAGAATGGCAATCATTAAAAAGTCAGGAAACAACAGGTGCTGGAGAGGATGTGGAGAAATAGGAACACTTTTACACTGTTGGTGGGACTGTAAACTAGTTCAACCATTGTGGAAGTCAGTGTGGCAATTCCTCAGGGATCTAGAACTAGAAATACCATTTGACCCAGCCATCCCATTACTGGGTATATACCCAATGGACTATAAATCATGTTGCTATAAAGACACATGCACACGTATGTTTAGTGCGGCATTATTCACAATAGCAAAGACTTGGAACCAACCCAAATGTCCAACAATGATAGACTGGATTAAGAAAATGTGGCACATATACACCATGGAATACTATGCAGCCATAAAAAATGATGAGTTCATGTCCTTTGTAGGGACATGGATGAAATTGGAAATCATCATTCTCAGTAAACTATGGCAGGAACAAAAAACCAAACACCACATATTCTCACTCATAGGTGGGAATTGAACAATGAGAACACATGGACACAGGAAGGGGAACATCACACTCTGGGGACTGTTGTGGGGTGGGGGGAGGGTGGAGGGATAGCGTTAGGAGATATACCTAATGCTAGATGACGAGTTAGTGGGTGCAGCGCACCAGCATGGCACATGTATACATATGTAACTAACCTGCACATTGTGTACATGTACCCTAAAACTTAAAGTATAATAATAATAAAAAAATAATAAAAATAAAAACAAAATTAGATATAGAATGATAATAAAAGCAAGGTTTATTTTTCCCATTTATTTATCTAACACTAAATAAAGCATATATTATTTATCCAATTGTCTGAAGATTAAGTATATTAATAATGGCAACTTTTACCTTTTTCATGTAGTGCTTCTTTTAGGATAACTGTTAAAAATGTCATATTGTGTTCTCTGTTCTCATAAATGGCAGCTGAACAGTGACAACACATGGACACAGCAGGGGGAACAATGCATCCTGGGGCTTGTCAAGGCAGGGGGAGGGTGAACATCAGGATAAATAGCTAATACATGTGGGGCTTATACCTAGGTGATGGGTTGATAGGTGCAGAAAACCACCATGGCACACATTTACTTATGTAACAAACCTGCACGTCCTGCAGATGTATCCCAGAACTTAAAATAAAATTAAATTTAAAAAAAAGTCATGCTGGGTCTATTAGAGAAGCCATGTGAGCACTCGTTACCTTTGGACATTATTTTATTTATAAATGTACTTACTTATCTGACTTCTCCACTAGAGTTTTGGCTCTGAAATGGCAGGGTCTTGCTCATTTCATCACCCCCAACTCTTAAGCCAGATGGGCACATAGTAGGTGTTCAGTAAATATTTACTGAATAAATGAATACATCTTAGATTTGTCTGATAAAACAAGTTTTCTTTTAGGCCTAATCTGGTCAGCTGCTGTGAGCTGCAGGAGAAGGAGAAAGGTTCGCTTGGGAGCACTGCTGAGGAACTGATGGCAGTACGAGGTGTGTATGTGATGGGTGATACGTGAGACTGTGTGAATTGAAGGAATCTTCAATGAATTTTTTTTTTTTTTTGAGACGGAATCTCACTCTATTGCCAGGCTGGAGTGCAGTGGTGCAATCTCGGCTCACTGCAACCTCCGCCTCCCAGGTTCAAGCGATTCCTCTGCCTCAGCCTCCCAAGTAGCTGGGAGTACAGGTGAGTGCCACCATGCCCAGCTAATTTTTTGTATTTTAGTAGAGATGGGGTTTCACCATGTTGGCCAGGATATTCTCGATCTCCTGACCTTGTGATCTGCCTGCCTCAGCCTCCGAAAGTGCTGGGATTACAGGCGAGAGCCACTGTGCCCGGCCTGAATTGAGTGTTTTTATGGCAAACTACAGTGATCCGCATAGTGAAGACGTTCTGTAGGTGAAAGGAGTTTTACACTGAGAGTCCTGGAGCATAGCACATGCCTTGTGCACTGCAGATTTTGCATATCATGTTCTGACAATCAACATTCTGAAAATAAGTACCATTAGATAGAGCTGGAAGAACACTGCTGAACTAATTACTCTGAGTTCTAGCTGAGGACCTTGTTCTCAGTCTTGGCTGTACCTTGGAATAATACAGGCAGCTTTTAAAAATATGTATACTGGATCCCACCTCCAAAAATTCAGCAGTAATTAATGGGGGGTGGACAATGATTTGGGGTATTGGAAGGTTTTTTTTCAAAGCGCCCTTGGCGATTCTAATGTGTAGTCATGAATTGAGGATGGCAGATGACAAACCTACAAAGGGTATTGGGTGACAGGCAAAAGCTAATGAAGGACTCTTGAGTCTTCTCACACAACCAGGAGGCTACTTAGGCCCTGGAAGATTTCTCTATACTTGAAGTCTAACTAAATTTCCTGTGTAGCTTGTAGAATAGATCTCGTTGTTTTATGACCATGGCTTTATATGTTTGAGTACCATCTCATAAATTGTCTCCTGTCTGCTTGTCTTCATGTTTCTCCAAAAGAAATCTCGACTTAAATGGAGATACAAATAGTATTAAAGCAACTGATTCCCATATTTCTATGAAGTGTCTTGGTATCCATAAAATGCTTTTTTTTTGGACAGGGTCTTGCTCTGTCACCCAGGCTGGAGTGCAGTGGCACAATCATGGCTCACTGCAGCCTCAACCTCCTGGGCTCAAGTGATCTTCCCACCTCAGTCTCCCAAGTAGCTCAAAGGACAGGTGCATGCCACCACATCTGACTAATTTTTTTTTTTTTTTGGTAGAGACAGGATTGTGCTATGCTGCCCAGGCTGGTCTTGAACTCCTGGTCTCAAGTGACCCTCCTGACTCAGCCTCCCAAAGTATTGGGATTCCAAGCATAAGCCACCATGCCTGGCCCCACAAAATGCTTTTAAGGTTGAACTAGTACAATAATGAGGATATAAGATGTGCCAGGCCTTGAGCCACGCTTTGAGAACACAGATAAACAAGCTACCACCTGCATATCACAGTCTGGCAGGAGAGGCAGCTGTGTAATCCTGAATGCAATGTGATATGTGATAAGTGCTGTGACTGAGACTCAGATGAATAAAGTGGTGAATCACAGAGGGCCCAGCACCTAAAGCTGCTTCAATCAGGGCAGATATTTATTCTTAGCAAAGAATTCTCCTTTGAAAGTGATCCTTGTAAATTTCAAAGCCCTGCACTAGCCCACTTGGGATTCATGCCTGCTTTCTCCACTTGTGGAGACTTAGAGAGAAGGGGAAAGAAATAAAAATTCTGCTCTATTCTACAGGGTTTTCCACATGTTTTCTTTATTCCTCAATGTGCATTAAGTGGTAAAGAACACCTACGAGATCTGAATTTGGTGACATTTAAAGGGGCATATTCAGCATACCCGAGGATGTACAAGAGAGGAAAAGAGGATGGGATGCAAATGAGTGAGCCGATTCTATTCATAAACCTTCTTGAGATATCTCTCTGGGCTGTAAAACTGCTAACAGTATGACTTTGAAGCTTTATTTCTTCTTTGCCTCCATTCCTACAGAGTATTTAGAGAAATTGTTGAAATGGTGATAAACATAATATGTGGAAACCTTCGGCACTGCTCTCTTAGCTATAGCTTTCCTGAGCAGTTTGAAAGACAGAAATTCTAATAATGACAACAAAAGACCCTAATGATTCTCCATGTTTAGTGCCTCCATTCTATTTTCCCCGTTGTCTAAGTGGCTGACATATTTTTAGATAAGATACAACCAAAGACTTTATTGAGAAAACAACAATGTAAAATAATGATGGTGAAAAAACTCCAAATAAGATGAATGAGGTTTTTTCTTCTTCCTTGTTTCTCATGGATAAAAAGCATTTACCTGTGTTAGCCAAGTGATGAAAAAAAAATCTGCCACCAGATAGAAAGAAACAGCCTTTTTGGAAGGCATGCTGTCCATATTCTGACTACCATTCTTTTCTACTGGCTGATCTAATAGGACTAAAGAATATAATTTCCCATTCCAAGTAGCTTGGTTATCTTAACTGTATAAAAACAGCATAGGTAAAATTCATCCTTCAAGTTTCCTGGGAGGAAGCTGACACTTTTCTAACTCTCCCACTACATCACCTTCTGGGCCATAAGAACAGAAGTTTGGAGTAAGAAGAAAGGAAGGTAGAAGGCATGCCCTCCAGGGACAGATGTACTCTCTCTGTAGCCAAGGGCAAATGACTTTCCAACGTTTTAATCATTAAGGGATGATGATCAAGAATACCTAATTTTTGATCTGAGATTAAAATAATCACAATTTGTAGAAGTACTTGGTCTTCATAGCTTCTAACTTATAAGCTCTAGCCCAGTGGGGACGCTGGAACCAAAAGAGTCACAACTTAGCAGAATCTCTGGCATCCGTCCTTCTATTTCTGCTTCTCACTGGTGCCAGATATTTAAGCAAATTTATCTGTCCCAGGTGAGTGTGCTCCAGTGTTCAGGGCCCCTGAGCCAGGCCTTCTACCCACCAGCCCACCAAAGACTCCCAGAGCGGCAGGAAGTGAGAGTACCTAGAATGTCGAAGCACGCGCCACTCTCCAGCCGGTGCTTCCTGTACAGGTTCTTCAGAACCTTGGCACTGCCAAAGCGCTTGAAGCGGCTCTTCACATTATTGTAGAACCATTCCAGAGATTGGGCCCTCAGAAGCCTGAGGAAAACAGAATTAGACAACACAAAATTAGAATTATTAAATGGTGAATTGCAAAACTGCTGCAATGCTTCACAGCTCCATCCATCAAGATGTGAAGTTTATTCCCCTTGAATCTGGGCGGGCCTTGTGACTTTCTCTGACCATAGAAAATAGTGAAAGTGATGTTGTGTGAATCCTGAGCCCTGCAGTTTCCTCTGTTGCTGCTCTTGGGAATCCCACAACCTTTATCACGTGAGTAAGCCCAAGCTAGCCTGTTGTGTGATGAGAGACACTTGGCCCAATCATCCCTCTTGCCCCAGCCAATAGCCGGCCAACTCCCAGATAGGTGAAAGAAGCCATCGGCCACTAGTTTGACTGGAGACACATGAGTGAACTTAGATGCGACCAGGAGAACCATCCACTGAGTCACTCCAAAGAGCAAGCCAATAAATGCTTGACATTTTAAACCATGAAGTTTCAGGGCATTTAATAGTAGGCTTTATATTTAATATTCTTACTGTATTAACAACATTTCTAATTCATCTTGGAAAAATAAAAAGCACAAGGAAGATAGCAAAATTCTCCAGCCTCTTCCTCATTCAGATTGAAGCACTCTGGGAAAGTAGTTTCCTGGTTAATGCTATAATGGTTGGTACAAAACATTGGCAAGATTCAGGCTGGGTGCTGTGGCTCATGCCTGTAATCCCAGCACTTTGGAAGGCCGAGGCAGGTGGATCACTTGAGGTCAGGAGTTTGAGACCAGCCTGGCCAACATGGCAAAACCCCATCTCTACTGAAAATACAAAAACTAGCTGGGTGTGGTGGCGCATGCCTGTAATCCCAGCTACTCGGGAGGCTGAGGCAGGAGAATCGCTTGAACCTAGTAGGTGGAGGCTGCAGTGAGCCAAGACAGCACCACAGCACCACTGCCCTCCAGCCTGGGCGACAGAGTGAGATTCCATCTAAAAATAAATAAAAAAAAAAAGAAAGACAAGATTCTTCTCTTTTATGCCTGACGAGAACAAATTTCTAAAGCCTTTCTATTTTGAAAACAGCTGCTTTTCTTATTTTTCTTATTATAAATGTAATAATACACACTCATTCTAGAAAATTCAGAAAACCAACAAGAATATAAAGGCTTCCAATTCAATGGAAGAACAATCCCACATTTAGTTGCTCTTCTTTTCCAGACCCCAGTGAAATGTGAGAAGATATCCAAAGGTAAAAAACAATCTATACAAGGAAGGAATGGGGGTGAGAGCAAAATCAGAGATTTTGGCAATGATAGCATAAAGGTAACAAAGAACCATGTACTTCAGAACAGATGGAAGAGCTTGGACTCTAACTGGAAGGCCCAATTTTGAGTTGGTTGATTCAGAGAGCAGGTTTGGATTATGACAGTACTCAGAAAGGTAATTTAATGGTTGTGTAGACAATAATGAGGCCTCTTGGTCCCCCATCCCTACACCCTAACAAATGAGCAATTGGTCTGAGGATGATTGGTCTTAGGCCCAAAAGATAAAGTGGTTCTCTATTGAAGTTGAACAATCTACTTCAGATTTAAGACTTCAGTATGGAGATTAACACCATACAGTGAAGCTGATATAGTTTGGATATTTGTCCCAATTGCAAATCTCATGTTAAAATGTGATCCCCAATGCTAGAGGTGGGCCTGGTGGAAGGTGTTTGGGCTTTGAAGGCATATCCCTCATGAATGGCTTGGTGTCCTTCCTGTGGTAATGAGTTCTCACTCTATTAGTTCACTCAAGAGCTGGTTGTTGAAAAGAGTGTGACAACATTCCCTCTCTCTTGCTCCCTCTCTCACCATGTGACACACAGGCTCCCTTGCATTCTGCTATAAGTAAAAGGTTCCTGAGGTTTTTACCAGAAGCAGATGCTGGCACCTTCTTGTAATGGTAGAACCATGAGCCAAACAAACCTCTTTTCTTTATAAATTACCCTGCCCCAAGTATTCCTTCCTAGCAACACAAATGGACTAATACGGAAGAAGCTTATCTTGTTTGGCATTGGGGGAGTCCCTACATGCCTGCCCATCAGATATCATACACGTACACCAAGGCAAAGCCTGTCAATTGCCTGCCTAACTCACAAACTTGGAGCTCTCAGTAAGCACCTCCACCTTTCAGCCCTAAACTCCTTTCAAAAGAGAGGTCTATTGGGAATATTTATCTACCCAATGGCAGAGGAGGCCCATGTTGGTTACCTTTATTCACCAACTAAGTCCTTTGTTCAAAAATATGAATAGATGACAAGAAATCACCAGACATTTGCAACAATCCAATGGCATAAGAAGAAAGAAAAAAGAGTCAAGATAAACTAACAACAAGTAACAAAGGGCAAAGAAAGATAACTCAGGATATTGAAAGTAATTTAAACTCTAATTAATGTCCATAATGATTTGAAAAGATACTGCATCCATGCAACAGGCTAGGGTGATGTGAAATATATGTAGAAGATAAGCAACAACTTATTGGAAATAGAAAACAGGATCAATAAAAAATTTAATAGAAGACCTAAAAGTTAAAATCAACATACATTTTCTGGAATGTACAATAAGAAGGCAAAAATATGGAATATATGAGAGAAAAGAGACATGGGGGATCAATTCAGGAGGTCTAGCATCTAACAGAATTCCAAAAAGGAAGAAAAGAGAAAATGAAAGAGGGGAAAAAATCAAAGACATAACAGAAGAAAATTTCCCCAAGCTAAGAAAGGGAAAAGTCTTTAGGTTAAGACGGCCTACCAATTGCCTAAACAACAAATGGAACATAAAACAAAATAAAGCAGACAAACCTACCTTGCTACATCTTCATGAAAATTCAGATCCTCAAAGATAAGGAGAACTTAGTGGCTTCACACAGAAAAAAATAATACTTTGCAAAAGGATAAAAATAATGATGCTAAAATTTGTAATCAATAACAATGAATGCTAGAAGACAGTAGAGCATAGATTTTCTAAGAATAAATGGCATGAAGTTAGACTTCTATGTTCAGCCAAACCATCATCACAAGAGGGCAAAATAAAGACATTTTCAGACATGTAAGATTGCTTTCTGGAAAAGAGAATTCTCAAGGTGTATGCCAGGAGAACTAAAAGCCATCCAAGAAAGAGGATCTTGGGACTCTAAAAAGAAGGAAACTGTCCCAGGAGTACAATGAAGAGAAGTCCCAGGATTTGATGCAGCAGATCTGGAAGGTAGGCAGCCCAAATGGGGCATTCAATAAGTATATAATTAAGAATCTACATGTATGAAGAGAAATGGTGAAGAAGGAGCCACGTCTTTGTTCTGTCAACAAGAATAAGGAAAGGCTATTAGAAGCTTTCAGAAAATCAAAACCAAAACCAAAAACAGCTCAAGAAAATATGGTCTAACTATGAAGCAAATGAAAAGTTGTATGATTTTGTAAACTAACTGAGTAGAAGAAGAAAGATGATGACCCATTTTTCAAGTAGCCCAAGTGTTATAGCCAAGAATAACAGTTTTTTTTCTCTCCATGAATTTCAAGTCATGACTTTGGTCTCTAGAAGATAATATTTATATAATTTAGAAACTACTTAATTTTCACCCTATTTATAGACAAAGTATAAAATGATCACACGGTCAAGACATGTGCATTTGTTATTGAAAGAAAAATTAAAAATCATTGATAGCCTGATAGAAGTCTGGATATAAAGAGAAGGAGGAATGATGAGGGTAGTTCAGAGATGCTAATTTCCCCATCTTGCAGAATGGAGTCAAAATCTTACAGAATGCAGTCAAGACAGACTGTGTAAGGTATATATACCAAAGATAATGGTTTCAATATGCTAGTTAAAGTCATAGAGGTCGCCAGCATATAATAAAAGTTTTAATAAAACTTCCAAGGAGAAGGTAAGGAGATAGGAAAAAAGTGAACTATTCATTAAAGTCTAAAGTTGACTAATCAATAAGTGGCAAGATAAACATATTATTTAGGATTATTATGGTAGCCCCCAGAAATGTTTAAATGTGATTCCCTGGGGGACTGGGACTTGGCAAGGAGTTGGGGATCTGAAATCCTTTTAATATCTTTTACTGTCTGAATTTATTTTAACCAAGTACATGTATTATTATAAAAACTGAAATAAAAACAGGCAAAAGAAGATTCAGAAAACTACCCAAAGTTCTACTACTGGAACCTGACATTAGATGAGTGTTCTTTCAGACTTCCATGCAAGGTGGTTTGTAATCAGCCTACACAGAGATTGGGAGGGGTCCTGGAACTTGTGGTGGGGTGTGTGTGTGTGCATACGTGCATGCAAATGTGCATGTGCTCATGTGTATGTGTGTGCATGCATGTGTGTGTGCATTTGTGTGTGTGTATTCATGCAGGCACACAGAGAAGGCAGGGACCGAGAGGTCAGTCTAAAGCTGTTGGTGCTGAAGGGGCTCCAGGGCCAGAGCAGCAATGAGAGACCAAATTTTTCAACAGGGAGGATGAACTCCCTCTTCCCACAAGGTTTAGCAGACAGGGGCTGTGGGGCAGCAGCAGGGCAGCCAACTGGAGTGGCCAGGAAACAGTGATGGTGGCAGTGGGGAGGTGCCCCTTTTAAATTGTTACTGACTTCAATGAAGAGAAAAAGCCACAAATGGGTTTTCCTGAGCACATGTGTCTTTCAGTACATACAATGTTCACACTGTCTTTTAACAAACACGCTCACACTGGCTTTGATCTTGCTGTTCCCTCTGCCTATAAAACAGTTCCCCACAGATAGTCTCAGGCTCAATCCGACACTTCATTCAGGCCTTTGTGCAAATATCACTTCCCTTGGGAGGCCTTCCCTGACGATCCTTGCAAAAATGCCACTACCACGCCAACATGACAGTCCTCTTACTCTGATTTTTATTCCTTATATTTTTACAGAATACTTCTTTGTACCTGCTATTTAGTGATATATAATTCTCTATGATTAAGTAATTACAACAATAATCAGTATATCAACATATTGACAATTATTAATTTGTTTATCTATTTCCCCTCTTGAATAGAACATAGGCTCAAAGAAGACATTTTTTTCCCACTCCTATATCCCATGTGCCTAGACCACTAAAGTGCACCTAGTAGACACTTAATAAAATCCAGTACGTGATGGACAGACATTGTTTTATAACTTGTTTTTTCCACTTAGTATTCCTGATTGACTGTAATGTTGTTGAAGTCTTCTCCCATGACATCTTCAGTCACCTCAGAGTTCTCCATAGTATGGACACAGCAAGCTTTATGTAACTGATCTCCAATCTTTGGACCTTGAATCCTTCCCATTTCTTCTGCATTAAAAACGGTTCTGTGATGGATATGCTGCCAGCTAAACAATTTCACATATCCACAGTTGTGGATCCTAGACGTAAAGCAGCCAGGTTCAAAGATGTGACTTTTTCAGAAAGCTTGCACCAATTTACACTTCCCACCCATGGTGTGAGATTCTAAAGTCCCTCTCAAAGTGGCCTCACATTAAAGAGAAACCCCTGAAAGAGTCGCCAACTGGTCCATGGCAAAGCCTACTTCTGGTCCCAAATGCAGCTCAGGAAGGAGAATGAAAGGGCAGAAGGCAAACATTATCTTCTCCCCCTGGTTTGGTGGAAAAAATGAAATTGAGAGGTTTGTCTTCCTCATGGTGGGAGAAAAAGCACCTATCAAACACAATATACCGAATGTATAATTTCTTTCCCATAAAACTTCATCATAAAATCAGTATCACTATTATGAAAAAATGAGCACAATTTTTTGAGTGCTTACTCTGTCTGAGGTACTGTGCCAAAAGTTTTCCTTGCATTATCTTATTTAATTCTCACAGGGTACAGTGCAGTGGTAGGCACATGGGTACGGGTGCTGGTGGAAGTGGCCCAGACCCTGGCATTTACTACAAGTGTGGTCTTGAGCACATTACTTAATCCCTCTAAGTCTCAGTTTCTTCATCTATAAGATGGGGATGATGACAATAACCAACTTATCAGGCTGTTTTGAAGATTAAATAATATAACATAAATAATAAGGCGCCTGGCATCAGAAGAGGGCTTGATAATTTCTTTTAATAGCTCTAAAATGATGAGTCCTCTCTTTCATAGATGCATAAATCAACATGCAGAAAGAGGGAGTTCCTTGCCCAAAGGAGCAAACTCGAGCAGAGATTAAAAACTGGGAGCTTGCAATCATGCACAAGTGCTATTCAGAGGCACCTAGCATGAATAGAGACTCTCTCTCTCCAATTTATTTTACTATAGAATTTTAATTTATTACAAGAAGCATCTGTCATTTTTATTTAAAAAACACTGATAAAGCTATTTTCAGAATTTAGAATAATATAACAGAAAATAAAGGAAATACAGAAAGCCTTGCTTCTAGAAATCACGCCCTCTGGGCTTATGATTTATTTGATATCTTTAAAAGCACAAAAGAAATGCAACTGCAGAAGAGAAATGTTCTCCAGGCTCCTCCTTCCACACACTGCCCTGCTCTCTGAGCAGCTGGTCACCAGAAAGGCTCAGCTCTGCAGCTGGAAGGGTCCACATGGTATCAGTGGAGGATAGTTGTTACTGTGCCCCTCATTCTTCTAAAAGGGACATTTCTTTTCCTTTTGGGACACTCCTCCCTCCCTCTCCAACTTAGTCTATGTGGTTCTGGAAGGCTGGATACCACTCCTGGCACTAGTGGTGGTGGTCTCATGACTCAGACCTGCCATTGGGGTTGAGCTGGGAGCTTCTACTGGAGATCTTGGTAATAGATGCCCCCTTTCTGCAGGGCTGGCTCCATGGCAGAATGAAAGCCTAGAGGTTCAAAAGCAGATCTGACAGTGGGGAGGGGCAGGATTCTGTTCATATACTTAGAACACCTGTATCTACTCAAGCCTGAAGGCAATCCCTGGACTTTACCATTATATGAGCCAACAAATTCTCTTGTTTGTTCAAGGCTTTTTGAGTTGAGTTTTTATTATTTGCAACCAAGAGTCCTAATATCATGTTCTAAGTTCTAGACAGACCGAGAAGACTTCAAGTGCATCATCGGATGAGTTCTCCATTCATTGCTTATACCAAAACTCTATAGCATTCCGAAATATTTTAATGAACTTAAAATAGAATGCTTCAGCTTACTCAAGTCTCAGAGTAGAATCAGGGCACCAGCCTGGGGCTGCAGGGAGGTGGAAGACTACAGCAAATCCGTGGGGAATGAGCTGTAAAACCACAGGTTGATTTGTAGAGCAGAAAACTTTTCCTTAAAAAGTAATGTGCTTTATGTCACACACAAAAATGATAAGATGTGTGAGATAGATATGTTAACTAGCTTGATTTAATTATTCCATAATGTATATATATCAAAATGTCACATTGTACCCCATAAATATACACAATTATTGTCAATTAAAAATAAAATTTTAAAAATAAATTTACTTTCTGCCAGGAAAAAGTAGTAATGTGTTTTCGATTATGATTTGACTTAGAGTTAACGCAGACAGCTTTTCTGGAAGCTCTTCCTTGGGGCTTCCAGGGAAGGCTCAGTCATGATTATCCTCATTTGATATTACTGATTTTATTGCGTTTATTTAAACTTATGACTCAGGGGAAACTCACAGGATGCATGTGGTTCATGGGGCAGAGGTGCGGGGAGAGGGCTGTGAGGACCCCAGCACCCCGGGTGGACTGGCTAAGTGTACTGCTCCCTGGTCCATGCTCAGGTGTCTGGTTTCCAACCAAACATGCACAACTGCAGGCAAGGCTAGATGAGAAGAACCTTTGTGTCGGCATCCTGCTGAAATAGAGGACAGGGTGGAATCCTGCGTCTGTGCATGGACTCATTTATTTGTTCATTCACTCATTCTTTCATTCTTTCACTATGTATTGAGGGCCCACTATGTGCCAGGCACTGTGTTAAACGTATAGGGGTGACAAAACAGACCAGGGCCCTATCCAACAGTGCAGCCAGACTAATCTGTTCAAAGAGTGCTAGATGAGTCAGGAGATGGAATGGAGAGCCAGGTCAAAGGCATCTTGGGCATGGCTGGACTGCCTGTGTCCCACAGGTCTTGGGTTCTGGATCATTCCCACAAATGTGTGAGAAACCGGAATCTACCTGCTTTCTGTCCCAGGCATTTTCTCTCATAATCAAACTGCAGCTTCTAAGCCTCAGTAGGTGTGTACGAGAGGTGGCTTAGGAAGAAAGAGAGATGCTCTCCTGGTGATGAGATTTATAGGGAAAAGCTTTCCAACTTGGAACTGTCCAGAGCTGTCCATGCTTGATTTCCCTGACTTATTTTTTAAAAGATTCCAAGTTGGTCAGACTCAGTAGCTCACACCTATAATCCCAGCAGTTTGGGAGGCTGAGACAGTCAGATTGCTTGAGCCTAGGAGTTCGAGACCAGACTGGGCAACATGGCAAAGCCCCATCTCTACAAAAAATACAAAAATCAGGCACAGTGGCACATGCCTGTAGTCCCAGCTACTCCAGAGGCTGAGGTGGGAGGATAGATTGAGCCCAGGAGGCAGAGGTTGCGAGGTGCCAAGATTGCACCACTGCTCTCCAGCCTGGGTGATGAAGCCAGATCCTATAAAAAAAAATTTCCAAGTTACCTCTGAAATCCCTGAGGATAATTACACAAAGATTCTTAGCTCTGTATACTTTCACAAATTTAAGCATGATAATCTCTTAAAATACCAAAGCTTTTGAAAAATCAACAGCAGGCCGGGTGCGGTGGCTTATGCCTGTAATCCCAGCACTTTGGGAGGCTGAGGCAGGCGGATCACTTGAGGTCGGGAGTTCGAGACCAGCCTGACCAACATGGTAAAACCCCGTCTCTACTAAAAAATACAAAAATGAGCCCGGCGTGGTGGCAGGCGCCTTAATCCTAGCTACTTGGGAGGCAGAGGCAGGAGAATCATTTGAACCTGGGAGGCAGAGGTTGCAATGAGCAGAGATCGAGCCATTGCACTCAAGCCTGGGGGACAAGAGCAAGACTTCTCTCAAAAAAAAAAAAAAAAAAAAAAATCAACAGCATACTACCCAGAGCAATCTATAGGTTCAATGCAATCCCTATCAAAATATCAGTGAAATTCTTCACTGAAATAGAAAGAAATTCCTAAGATTTGTATGGAACCACAAATTATCCCAAATAGCCAAAGCAATCCTGATCAAAAAGAACAAAGCTAGAGGCATTGTATTATCAGACTTCAAAATACACCACGAAGCTGTTGTAACCAAAACAGCATGGTACTGGCATAAAGACAGACACATAAACCAATAGAGCAGAGTAGAAAACCCCCAAATTAAGCCGCATATTTACAGCTAACTGATTTTTGATAAAGGTGCCAAGAACACTCACTGGAGAAAGGACAGTCTTTTCCACAAATGGGGCTGAGAAAACTGGATATCTATATACAGAATTATGAAACTAGACTTCCACCTCTCACCCTACACAAAAATCATCTCAAAAGGGATCAATGAACTAAACATGAGACCTAAAGTAATAAAAGTGTTAGAAGAAAACATAAGGGAAATACTTCTGGACATTGATCTGAAAAAGGATTTTATAAATAAGGCCTCAAAAGCACAGGCAACAAAAGCAAAAATAAACAAATGCAATTAAATTAACAGCTTCTGCACAACAAAGGAAACAACTGACAGAGTGAAAAGACAACCTACAGAATGGGAGAAAATATTGGCAGACTATTAATCGGACAATGAGCTAATATTCAGAATATACAAGGAACTGAAGCAACAGCAAAAAAACAAACAATCCAATTAAAAAATGGGAAAATGATCTGAAAAGACATTTTTTAAAAGAAGACATACAAATGACTGGATCTCATTCTTTTTTATGGCTGAACAATAGTACTCCATTGTAAATAAGTCAGGCACAGAAAGACAAATGTTGCATGTTCTCACTTATTTGTGGGACCTAAAAATCAAAACAGTTGAATTCATGGAGATAGAGTGTAGAAGGATGGTTACCAGAGGCTAGGAAGGAAGAGTAGTGGGAGGTGGAGAGGGAGATGAAGATGGTTAATGGGTACAAAAAAATCGTTAGAATGGATAAGACCCAGTATTTGATAGCACAACAGGGTGACTATAGTCAATAATAATTTAATTGTATATTTTAAGATAATTAAAATCATAAAATTAGATTGTAAGTCTAATTTTGAGGATAAATGCTTAAGGGGATGGATCTCCATTTTTCATGACATGATTATTATGCACTGCCTGCCTGTGTCAAAATATCTCATGTACTCCATAAATATATACACCTATTATATACCCACAAAAAATTTTAAAAAAGACATACACACATGGCCAACGAATATGTGAAAAAATGTTCAAATTACTAATCATTAGAGAAATGCAAATCAAGACCACAATAAGGTATTATCTCACCCCAATTAGCATGTCTATTATCAAAAAAACAAAAAAATAGCAAATGCTGATGAGGATGCAGAGAAAAGGGAACTCTCACACACTGTTGGTGGGAATGTAATTAGTAGAGCCACTATGGAGAACAGTGTGGAGGTCCCTCACCAAACTACAAATAGAACTATCATGTGATTCAGAAATCCCACTACTGGGAATTTATCCAAATGAAAGGAAATCATTATACCGAAGAGACATCTGCACCCCCATGTTTATTGCAGCAGTATTCACAGCAGCCAAGATATGGAATTAACCTAGGTGTCCAACAACAGATGAAGGGATAAAAGATGTGGTATATACAAGAATGGCTAATATTAAAAAGACTGACAATACACAGTGCTGGTAATGATGTGGAGCAACTGGATCTCTCGTATGTTGCTAGTAAAAACAGTTTGGTGAATCCTTACAAAGTTAAATATATACTGGTTACTATACAGTACAGTAATTCCATTGTCAGGTATAAAACTCAACAGAAATGATATGTCTACACAAAGACTTGTACATGAGGCATAGAGATCCACTATCTTGTCTCACCACTGCCCAAGACACAGACATGGCTTCTGTTTGCAAGTCCCTATGAAATATTTCTTTTTAAGAAAAATAAAAAGATGGCACAAGAAAACTTACAGCAATTTTATTCATAACAGCCAAAACACTGGAAACTAATTAAATGTTCATCAGCAGGTGAATGGATAAACAAATTAAATTGTATGCACAAATGGACTATTATTCAACAATAAAAAGGAACTGCTGGCAGGGTGTGGTGGCTCACATCTGTAATCCCAGCACTTTGGGAGGCTGAGATGGGTGGATCACTTGAATCCAGGAGTTCAAGACCAGCTTGGGCAACATGACAAAACCTCATCTCTACTAAAAATACAAAAATTAACTGGGTGTGGTAGCATGTGCCTGTAGTCCCAGCTACTTGGGAGGCTGAAGCAGGAGGATTGCTTGAGACCAGGAGTTTGAAGTGGCAGTGAGCTATGATTGTGCCACTGCACAACAGCCTGGGCAACAGAAGGCGACCCTGTCTCAAAAAGGAAAAAAATGAACTGCTGATATAAATGACATGAATGAACCTCAAAAACATTATGCTAAATAAAAGAATATTTAAATAAAAATTGCAATTTTATTATTCCACTTAAATGAAATTTTAAAAGAAGGAAAATTAATCTACATTGACAAAAAGCAGATCATTGTTTACATGGAGCCAGCAGCGGGACTGACAGAAAAGGGGCACAACATAACTTCTCAAGAAGTTGGAAATGTTCTGTATCTTGACTGTAGTAGTGGTTATATGATTGTATATATTTGTCAAAACCCGTTGAACTGTACACTTAAAATGGATGCAACATACTCTTTGTAAATTATACCTTAATAAGGTTTAGCCCCCAAAAAGGATAATTTAAAAATAGATGTAATACAAAAAAATATGGTATATATACACCATGAAATACCAGTCAGCCATAAAAAAGAATGAAATTCTGTCATTCATGGCAACATGTATAGAACTGGAGGACATTACATTAAGTGAAATAAGCTAGGAAGAGAAAGTTAAACACAGCATGTTCTCACTCATATGTGGAAGCTAAATAAATTGATCTCATAGAAGTAAAAAGTAGAGCAGAGGATACTAGAGGCTGGGAAGGGTAGGGGGAAGAAGGTGATAGGGAGAGACTTATTAAAAGATACAAAATTACAGCTAGATAGAAGGAATAAGTTCTAGTGTTCTATACCACAGTAGGATGACTATAGTTAACAATAATATACAACATAGTGTCAAATAGCTAGAAGGAGAGTATTGAATGTTTCTGACACAAAGAAGTAGCTATACTTGACATGGCAGCTATGTTTGAGATGGTAGCTATGCTAATTACCCAGATCTGATCACTGCATGTGATATGTATCAAAATATCACTATGTACTCCATAAATATGTAAAATTATTATCTGCCAATAAAAAACCTTAATGTCAGAAAAAAGGCATGGAACTTTATAACTTCTATTAACTAAGGGGAAACATTAAGTATCTTAAGATTTCTCAGAGAAAGAGAAAGCTGGTATAAAATAGTTTTTAAAAACTAGATTATTAAAAACTTTAAACATTTCTTGATTTTTATCTTTTGGTATGGTATAATTCCTCTAAACACTGAAAAATTTAATACGATCTTTTGGAAATAACAGCAAACCTTCAAAATTTACCAATGACAACATAGTTAGAACTGATTACTTAAAGTCCTTAGAGCTACAGTTTTCTCATCCACAAAATGGGATAGGTTGTGCCTTACAGGGCTAGAGGAAGAATTAGACAGCTCAACCGAGAGCTCCAAGAGAAAGACCAGACCCTTGGTACTCACTGGGGGTGCCAGCAGAGTGTGAATGTAAGTGAACACACCTTTCCTGCATGACCTCTGTGCATCTGTCCTGTACCAAATGCTGCAAATGAGTGATTCTTAGGAGGGGATATGTGCCGCAATGCGGGCAACAGCATCATTTCTTGGCAGAAGTGTTGTTTTCCAAACACATATGTTCTTGGAGATTCTATGGTGACCTGTCTTTCCACTTTGCTCCATTTCCCTAGGGAGAATGACTGTAATGAAGTGTTTTACTGATGGGACAAAAAGCAAGGCTGAGGATAACAGACTGCTGCTCAGATGATGTAAATAAATTTATGACATAGATGTATGACCAGATCTGTCCTGCAAGAGCTCATAAGGTTGTCAGGATAAGAGAGTGCCAGAGGCTGGGGTGTGGCCATCTTCCCATTGAAACTTCCCCTGAAGGAAGAAATGTAAGCAACCTTGGTTCATTGATTTAGTCATTGTTCACTCACTTGCTTATTCATCTCATATATACTGAGCACCCAGCATGTGCCAGATGCTGATGTAAACACTGAGTGTACAGGAGTGGACAAAATGGGCAAGACTCCCAGTCTCATGGTGTTCACGGTGGATAAGCTTTTTGACGTGCTGCTGGATTTGGTTTGCCAGTATTTTATTGAGGATTTTTGCATCGATGTTCATCAAGGATATTGGTCTAAAATTCTGTTTTTTGCTTGTGTCTGTGCCAGGCTTTGGTATCAGGATGATGCTGGCCTCATAAAATGAGTTAGGGAGGATTCCCTCTTTTTCTATTGACTGGAATAGTTTCAGAAGGAATGGTACCAGTTCCTCCTTGTACCTCTGGTAGAATTTGGCTGTGAATCCATCTGGTCCTGGACTCTTTTTGGTTGGTAAGCTATTGATGATTGCCACAATTTCAGCTCCTGTTATTGGTCTATTCAGAGATTCAACTTCTTCCTGGTTTAGTCTTGGGAGACTGTATGTGTCGAGGAATTTATCCATTTCTTCTAGATTTTCTAGTTTATTCACGTAGAGGTGTTAATAGTATTCTCTGATGGTAGTTTGTATTTCTGTGGGATCAGTGTTGATATCCCCTTTGTCATTTTCTATTGCGTCTATTTGATTCTTCTCTCTTTTCTTCTTTATTAGTCTTGCTAGCAGTCTATCAATTTTGTTGATCTTTTCAAAAAACCAGCTACTGGATTCATTGATTTTTTGAAGGGTTTTTTGTGTCTCTATTTCCTTCAGTTCTGCTCTGATCTTAGTTATTTCTTGCCTTCTGCTAGCTTTTGAATGTGTTTGCTCTTGCTTCTCTAGTTCTTTTAATTGTGATGTTAGGGTGTCCATTTTAGATCTTTCCTGCTTTCTCTTGTGGGCATTTAGTGCTATAAATTTCCCTCTACACACTGCTTTGAATGTGTCCCAGAGATTCTGGTATGTTGTGTCTTTGTTCTTGTTGGTTTCAAAGAACATATTTATTTCTGCCTTCATTTCGTTATGTACCCAGTAGTCATTCAGGGCAGGTTGTTCAGTTCCCATGTAGTTGATCAGTTTTGCGTGAGTTTCTTAATCCTGAGTTCTAGTTTGATTGCACTGTGGTCTGAGAGACAGTTTGTTATAATTTCTGTTCTTTTACATTTGCTGAGGAGTGTTTTACTTCCAACTATGTGGTCAATTTTGGAATAGGTGTGGTGTGGTGCTGAAAACAATGTATATTCTGTTGATTTGGGGTGGAGAGTTCTGTAGATGTCTATTAGGTCCACTTGGTGCAGAGCTGAGTTCAAGTCGTGGATATCCTTGTTAACTTTCTGTCTCACTGATGTGTCTAATGTTGACAGCGGGGTGTTAAAGTCTCCCATTATTATTGTGTGGGAGTCTAAGTCTCTTTGTAGGTTTCTAAGGCCTTGCTTTATGAATCTGGGTGCTCCTGTATTGGGTGCATATATATTTAGGATAGTTAGTTCTTCTTGTTGAATTGATCCCTTTACCATTATGTAATGGCCTTCTTTGTCTCTTTTGATCTTTGTCGGTTTAAAGTCTGTTTTATCAGAGACTAGGATTGCAACCCCTGCCTTTTTTTGTTTTCCATTTGCTTGGTAGATCTTCCTCCAGCCCTTTATTTTGAGCCTATGTTTGTCTCCGCACATGAGATGGGTTTCTTGAATACAGCACACTGATGGGTCTTGACTCTTTATCCAATTTGCCAGTCTGTGTCTTTTAGTTGGAGCATTTAGCCCATTTACATTTAAGGTTAGTATTGTTATGTGTGAATTTGATCCTGTCATTATGATGTTAGCTTGTTATTTTGCTCGTTAGTTCATGCAGTTTCTTCCTAGCCTTGATGTTCTTTACAATTTGGCATGTTTTTGCAGTGGTTGGTATCGGTTGTTCCTTTCCATGTTTAGTGCTTCCTTCAGGAGCTCTTTTGGGGCAGGCCTGGTGGTGACAAAATCTCTCAGCATTTGCTTGTCTGTAAAGTATTTTATTTCTCCTTCACTTATGAAGCTTAGTTTGGCTGGATATGAAATTCTGGGTTGAAAATTCTTTTCTTTAAGAATGTTGAATATTGGTCTCCACTGTCTTCTGGCTTGCAGAGTTTCTGCGGAGAGATCAGCTGTTAGTCTGATGGGCTTCCCTTTGTGGGTAACCCGACCTTTCTCTCTGGCTGCCCTTAACATTTTTTCCTTCATTTCAAGTTTGGTGAATCTGACAATTTTGTGTCTTGGAGTTGCTCTTCTCGAGGAGTATCTTTATGGCGTTCTCTGTATTTCCTGAATTTGAATGTTGGCCTGCCTTGCTAGATTGGGGAAGTTCTCCTGGATAATATCCTGCAGAGTGTTTTCCAACTTGGTTCCATTCTTCCCGTCACTTTCAGATACACCAATCAGATGTAGATTTGGTCTTTTCACATAGTCCCATATTTCTTGGAGGCTTTTTTCGTTTCTTTTTATTCTTTTTTCTCTAAACTTCTCTTCATGCTTCATTTCATTCATTTTGTCTTCCATCACTGATACCCTTTCTTCCAGTTGATCACATCGGTTACTGAGGCTTGTGCATTTGTCATGTAGTTCTCGTGCCATAGTTTTCAGCTCCATCAGGTCCTTTAAGGACTTCTCTGCATTGGTTATTCTAGTTATCTATTCATCTAATTTTTTTTCAAAGTTTTTAACTTCTTTGCCATTGGTTCAAACTTCCTCCTGTAGCTCAGAGTAGTTTGATCTTCTGAAGCCTTCCTTTCTCAACTCGTCAAAGTCATTCTCCATCCAGCTTTGTTCCGTTGCTGGTGAGGAGCTGCGTTCCTTTGGAGGAGGAGAGGTGCTCTGATTTTTAGAGTTTCTGGTTTTTCTGCTCTGTTTTTTCCCCATCTTTGTGGTTTTATCTACATTTCGTTTTTGATGATGGTGACGTACAGATGGGTTTTTGGTGTGGATGTCCTTTCTGTTTGTTAGTTTTCCTTCTAACAGTCAGGACCCTCAGCTGCAGGTCTGTTGGAGTTCACCGGAGGTCCACTCCAGATCCTGTTTGCCTGGGTATCAGCAGCGGTGGCTGCAGAACAGCAGATATTGGTGAACTGCAAATGCTGCTGCCTGATCATTCCTCTGGAAGTTTTGTCTCAGAGGAGTACCCGGCTGTGTGAGGCATCAGTCCGCCCCTACTGGGGTGTGCCTCCCAGTTAGGCTACTCGGGGGTCAGGGACCCACTTGAGGAGGCAGTCTGCCTGTTCTCAGATCTCAAGCTGCATGCTGGGAGAACCACTACTCTCTTCTAAGCTATCAGACAGGGACATTTAAGACTGCAGAGGTTATTGCTGTCTTTTGTTTGTCTGTGCCCTGCCCCCAGAGGTGGAGCCTACAGAGGCAGGCAGGCCTCTTTGAGCTGTGGTGAGCTCCACCCAGTTCCAGCTTCCCGGCTGCTTTGTTTACCTACTCAAGCCTGAGCAATTGTGGGCGCCCCTCCCGCAGCCTCGCTGCCGCCTTGCAGTTTGATCTCAGACTGCTGTGCTAGCAATGAGCGAGGCTCCGTGGGTGTAGGACCCTCCGAGCCAGGTGCGGGATATAATCTCCTGGTGTGCCATTTGTTAAGCCCGTTGGAAGAGCGCATATTAGGGTGGGAGTAACGGGATTTTCCAGGTGCTGTCTGTCATCCCTTTTTTTGACTCGGAAAGGGAATTCCCTGATTTCTTGCGCTTCCCGGGTGTGGCAATGCCTCGCCCTGCTTCGGCTCACGCAGGGTGCACTGCACCACCAACTGTCCTGCACCCACTGTCCGGCACTCCCCAGTGAGATGAACCCAGTACCTCAGTTGGAAATGGAGAAATCACCCGTCTTTTGCATCGCTCATGCTGGGAGCTGTAGACTGGAACTGTTCCTACTCGGCCATCTTGGCTCCACCCCCTTGTCTTCTTAAAATCTATGCTTGTGGGCCCATGAGAGTTGTCGAATCTATATGACTTATAGATGGGTGTCTTTATAGCATGCCAGAAACTTCTGAGAATGTCAGAAACATTCCACAGTACGACCAAACAAAATTCAAAACATACATTTTTTCCCCCTGTTTTTGGAGACAGAGTCTGTTGCCCAGGCTGGAATACAGTGGTGTGATCTCAGCTCACTGCAATCTCCACCTCTTGGGTTCAAGCGATTCTCCTGCCTCAGCCTCCTGAGTACTAGGGATTACAGGCATCAGCCACTGTGCCCAGCCTCTAAACATACATACTTTCTACTTATTTCCCCCATTCTTCTTTATAAAGCCTCATCCAACTTTCTCACTTCTTCTCTAAGCATAAATCTTTATCACAACACCTCACAGCACTATTTTAATTAATTATTTAGGGATCTGCCTGTGCTGCTAAGTTAAGCATCCATCAAGAGAAGGGCCCATGATTGGTCCCATGCATTCTGCAGACACAACTTTTTGTTTGTCTTATTACATCAGGCCTCCCAAGATGATCTCTGCAAATGGAACATGATTACAGCATATTGGTTTTTCTGTATACCTAAGATGTGAGCACCTCTTAAGCGCTTATCTTTCTTGGCTTCACAGGAGGGTTCTTAATCAGTGAGTGGATGAATTCTTATTTTCACAACTGACTCAATAGACATGAATTTTCTTAGCACTCCTTCCTGCCCTGCACTGTTGTTGTTTATGTAGACTTTGTGTTCTTCCTTCAGTTCCATCACTCTAGGCACCACACAGTGTGGCCTTCTGTGTTCTCCTCAGCACTGAATACCACACAGGTATGAATGTCCACAGAGATCTCTGACCACATGTCAGTCTATCACAGTTTTGTTAGTTCCCACCATGAGCCAGTGCTCCATCAGCTGACATGAACACCTCCATGGCAGTACACTAGCTTCAACAAAGGCAATATGCTGGAAGACTCTGAGTAAGGAGGGCTGGACTGGGATGGGGGATGAGTCCAAGCCCCAGCTGGACTGCCAGCACATGCTGTGTGCCTTTGGTGGGATCAGCCACTGGATGCCATGCCCATCTTCTTGTATCAGCCTCATGCCCTGAGGAGTTAGGCAGAGATTCTGCACCAACCCTAGAGGAAAGCTGGTAAAGGGGCAACCCTCTGGGTGGCTAATGTCCAAGCTGAAAAGGAAAGGCTAGGTAGTACTCTCATGCCCCCAGGGTGGGGCTTCCCAAAGAGTCTCATCTTGTATCAGATTCACTGAGAGGTCAAAACCCTAGGGGAACCCAGGGCCTGTACCTGGTCTAGCTCAGGGCCCTGGCCCAGAAAAATATACAAATTTGGCCTTACACTTTTGCTCTCAGAGCTCTTGGGCTTCTGGAGAATTGCCTAGCCACTGAACAGTCCAGCTCTTGAGGAATGAAAATGTGACATCATTTTTAGGAGCTCAGGTGGGCAGGTGGCAAAAGCAGAGTGTCTTTTGTTTCACAGCTACAGGCTTATCTGCTGGGTTTGCAGTTAAGGGGAAGAAAGAACATTTATTTGAGAACTTCTTAGGAGGCAACTGGTGGGTGACATGCTTCAGAGTAAACCTCTCTTCTGTAACTAAGTTCTAATTTTAAAAAAAGTGAGGCTCCTTTTCTGCAGCTGTAGAGACAACAGCATATTTTCTAAACCCTCTAAGTCTTTTTTTTAATCCCTCTCAGCCTTACCTTATTACTTGGTGTCTCAATGTCTTCCCTAATTCCCAGCTCTGGGAAGGCATTCAGAAGAAAACTGATTCTATAAGCATTAAAAAAATTGATTTCTTAAAAAATGATATAAGCACATTTTAGATTCATTTTACTATCATTTATTGACAGCCTCCCCAACCCAAGCTACTTCAAAAGAAGTCTTTTCTACATGGAGAGAACCCTTGTTTATATGTCTAGATATTCAGAAGGGGCCCTTCTCACAAGGTAGAAGAAGATGAAGAGAAGCTCTCATTGAAAAAAAAATTAGAGATATTTTTCTAGTTAAAAGTTTTGGAAAAGAGGAGATATGAGGGAGGGGGAAATTTGTCCTATCAGATGTCAAGATACATTACAAATATATAATAATTAAAACAGTATGGCATGTTTAAAAACACAGCTATAAATAGAAAAAACCCTGAAAGATAATGTAGCAAAATGTAACTGCTGATATCTCTAAATAGTGGTATTATGGGTAACTTTATTTTTTCAAATTGCAAAAACATACGCTATTTTATAAATGGAGAAGATACTACAACTTTGATGAAATTTTCCAAGTAAGAGGAAGGAAGATCATATCCCCTAAAGTGTATTATGAAGGCCTGTAGCCACAGAGAGAATACGATGGGAGCTCTACCCTCCTCACTTACTTGTGTTTGATATTAAGTCATGTACTCTCTTTGAACCTGCTTCCCACTTAAAAATAATATTTATAAAATCTACCTCACAGGCTGTGAAATTAAAAACAATGTCACAAAGCACCTATTACAATATTGGCATATAGCAGGAATGCATCCGTGAGTGAGGGTGACAGGCTAGAAGAAATACAGTAAAAAATAACAAATATGGAGATAAATATAGATAAGAGTTGGTACAGAATGTAAAAATAAGAATTAAAACACTACCAAGCTTTGCTTATATGGAGTTTAGATTCATGGGAGTTCACTATACCCTAGTATAGAAATCACTAACAGAAAAGCTGTATTCCCATTTGTTTTGGAGCATGGGGGCAGGTAGAAGTATTGCAATTTTTCACAATGGCAATTCTTCAAAATTCTCATAAATAACTTCTAGGTTTGTATGGACCATCCATCTTTATGGAGTTTAGTTCAATACAGGCATATTTTTTCAGCATTTTGCAGTGCCAAGTCTAGTTCAAAATACTGGGGTTATGAAGGTGACTAAGACCAAGTGCTACCCCAGTGAGCTCACAGTGTAACAGGAAATGATGTTTCTGGGCTTGGATGAGTGGGTTGTGATGGTCATATAACTAGCCAGGATAGGAATATAGGAAGAGGATCAGGTTTGGAGGGAAGGCAGAAAGTTTAGGTAGGACAATTAAATTTGGAGTACCCATCATATCCCCAGGTGGTAAGACCTGGTGGGCATTTGGATATACCAGTCTGGAGATACACACACACACACACATATATATATATTCTTAGGAGGGTAGAAATTTGGACTAGAGGCCGGGCGCGGTGGCTCACGCTTGTAATCCCAGCACTTTGGGAGGCCGAGGCGGGCGGATCACGAGGTCAGGAGATTGAGACCATCCTGGCTAACACGGTGAAACCCCGTCTCTACTAAAAATACAAAAAAAAATTAGCCGGGCGTGATGGTGGGCGCCTGTAGTCCCAGCTACTCGGGAGGCTGAGGCAGGAGAATGGCGTGAACCCGGGAGGCGGAGCTTGCAGTGAGCCGAGATTGCGCCACTGCACTCCCGCCTGGGCCACAGAGCGAGACTCCGTCTCAAAAAAAAAAAAAAAAGAAATTTGGACTAGAAATATAGATTTATGACCTCCTTGGTCCACATGTAGTATTAAGCCAATAATGGGTATATTGCAGGTATAAATGATCATTATCATTATTTTACTGAGGAAAATGAAAACAAGTAATTTGCTGATATGTCACTGACTGAACTAGAAGCAAATCTGGGAACAGACTGTAGACATCATTCTTGGGTCAGTGCCTTGACATCTGATCAGGTTATTTTTATTCCAGAAATCCTAGTAGTGTTCTTATGGCAAATTAGGGCTTTGGCTTCAGAGTTCAAGCAAATAGAAAGCTGCGTGAATCAAAGAATCAGAATAAAATTTAAAATCATTGTGTTGTTTCCCTAAAAAAACCTACTTAACATCATACTGCGAATACTAATCACTTCAAGGGACTTGTTGTATAAGCAGTTTTCTAATTTCTTTTTCTATGACACAAGTAAATTTGTAAACATGTGTATTCTCATTAGAAGACAGATCGGAATCACATAGAACAGCACTGAAATTACAATCACATTAAAGTTTCACCTAGGAATGCCAGGTTGATTTTGGCTCATTCGACTAAAACAATACAGTTGTGAGAAGGAGGGAACTGAAACACTGCTTAGGCCCTGGCTGCCAGTGAGGAAGCAAGGCATTCCCAGGCCTTCCTCCCCAACACAGTAGGGCACTGTGCAAACTAAGAGTTTACATGGGAGAGACTCTGTGATATGCTGAAGATCTTGCTATTCCCAGTGTGGTTCTCAGACTAGCAGCGTGGGCATGGCCTAGAAGCTAGATAGAAAAGTGTAATCTCAGACCTCCACACTCACATTGTGACCTGCTGAATCAGAATCTGCATTTTAGCAAGATTCCCATGTGTAGCAAAATTAGCTGGGTGTTTTCGGAGGTGGCATGATTTTTTTTTTTTTTTTTTTTTTTTTTTTTTTTTTTTGAGACAGAGTCTCACTCTGTCGCCCAGGCTGGAGTGTAGTGGTTTTATCTCGGCTCACTGCAACCTCCACTTCCCAGGTTGAAGCGATTCTCCTGCCTCAGCCTCCTGAGTAGCTGGGATTACAGGCGCCCCCCACTATGCCTGGCTAATTTTTTTTGTATTTTTAGTGGAGACGGGGGTTTCACCATGTTGGCCAGGCTAGTCTTGAACTCCTGAGCTCAAGTGATCTGCCTGCCTCAGCCTCCCAAAGTGCTGGGATTACAGGAGTGAGCCACTGTGCCCAGTCATGATTTTTTTTTTCTTTTAAATTTTGACCACAATCCACTTAGTAGGACAAGAGACAGAGTAGTTAACTTGTTTCCCCCCTTGTCATTTTTGTTTTAAGGAAAAAGAACTGAACTGGGTGATAAAAAGTTTTGAAGAGGAATTGAATAATTAAAATTCTACTTCAAAATTCAGATACAATAGTTATAAGAAAATACAATGCTAATAATACTATTGATACAAATTCAAATCATTACACATACAAGGTGCACCAAGCAATCTGCAACAAGCTAAATTGAGAATGATGAAGCTAAACTAACATTCCTTTGTTGGTAAAAGAATTAAGCACAGCAGCAATTAAAATCCATGACCAATTTAAAACGACCTTGATGATTTATGAAAAATGAAGTATACCTCCTGAAAACTGTAAGAATGTGATTTGTGAGCTTTGCTTTGGTTTGTGTATGCAGGGTAAATGTACCCAATGGCAATAATTGAAGCATTCTCTTAGAATGTCCCTGTATGGCAGATGCACCTGAATGTGTGTTCCAAGCTGGGGAATCCAGGTGTCGCCAACCTGGAGATTCATTCTTTGTCTTTTACAAATATCTCAACCCCTGGCCTGTCCCACGGAACACATGCAATACAGGGGATTGAGGCCCTGAGTTTTGGGTTAAATGAAGGCTGCAAGGTGGAGGTCATTAAGGGAAGGGTGTTGTGAAAATGCTATATAAACTACATGCTGTTTGGAAGTGGTTGTGGTTTTCCTGCCCAGCCTGTAGCTACTGAGCCGTGCAACTATGTTGTCCAGATCACCACCACTGGACTGTAGGAAGGCAGATATGCTGCCTAGTCTGCCACCACTGGACTGTAGGAAGGTAGATATGTTGTCTAGCCTGCTGCCACTGGACTGTTTCTGTACATAAGTCAGTTCTCCTATCCAGCTTGCTGCCACTGGACTCTCTCCCCTGTATGTAAGCCCCTATTAAAACTCCATGTCTTGTTTGCTGGCTCTGGGTCTTTTCTTTGGCCTCTTGAACCGGGTGCCTTCCCTACTGAGGTTAATAGGGGTTTGACACAACAGTATAGAATACAGAATTAGAAGATTCAGCAACCACTGATAACACACTCAACAGCAGTAAAAGAGAAAGCATTCTAGGTTTTTCAGAGGGACTCTAATATAGACAATTGGTTATATAGATGATGAAACAGCTAAGGCTCCTGGGAGAAAATGGTGAGGCATCTCAGAGGCTATGAACAGAGAGGTTCTTCCTACCTCAAGGCCAGAGGGATGAGGGAGCAGGCAGTGTTACCAGGAGTAGCATCCTGGAGCTGGGAGCTGGGGCCACAGAAAAGGTGTAGCTGCTTCTAGAGATGCTGCCTCAGGCAGAGAGACAGGAAATACGCTGTACCGTGTCTGTAGTCTTCCTTCTGCTCTCCTACCTCCCTGCATAGGCTGACATTGGCCAAGTTGAGAAGGGAGTCTGGGTAGCACAGCCTGTGGGGCTCAGTGCCCCCCACCCCCAACCGGGAATGCAGAGCAGGGGAAAGACAAGGGTGGGAAAATCCTGGCACCTAATACCGATGTTAACTTCTGAGCACCAGATCCCAGTAACCCTAATAACTAATTTCATAGATTACAGCAAGTGGCCTTCATTTCATGTAGGAATCTAACTCTGTAGAATTGTGACCCACTTGACTACAAAGAAGGGAAGAAAGGAACTACATCTGGGACCAGTTTGCAGCCTATGAAAAGCATCCTGGTGCCTCCAGAACTTGGGCTGGTTGTCAGACTGCACTTTACCATTTACCACCGAAGTGACCAAAAGCAAGTCGCTAACCTCTCTGGGTGCCCTGTTCCTTACCTGCAAAAATGGAGATGGTAATATTTATCTGGCAGAGTTATATGAGGCATCATTGATCTAACATGCTTAAGCGTCTACTATAGAACCTGAATATAGTTAAGCACTAAGAAAATGGTAGCTATTTAATCTTAGAAAAAAGAAAATCTTCATTAGATTTAAGTCATATTATAAGAAAGGTGTTTTCTTCTAAAGAAGTAAAACAAAAGGGTTGTTATTCTATATGGACCACCATATAGGGGCAGTAGGAGGACCTTGGTTTACCCATTAGGGCCAATAATTGACATCTATTTGGGACTCATGTTTGTTACATGTTTTTGTAGGGCAAAGCTGTGCAGGTAGTTTCCCTCAATGACAGTGTGCACTGTCTCCTGCCTGCTGAGGTCTGCAGAGAACTTTCCAACTGGGTCTGTCACCTGCCGATGGCAGCTCACCCAACCGACTGCTCAGCATTGAGGATAGGCCCCAGGGATGCCCTTGCTACTAGCATCACTTGCTCCTACTCTGCCTAGTGAGACTCAACTCTTAGGAATTATTATTTCTAAATAGTTCCTTGGATACAGGGACCGTCAAATAAACTTAAGGTACAATGATACAGTTTGCAAAAAACAAAACAAAAATCCCAAGAACAAAAGAATATTTTTTTCTCCTTCAAATTTGGTTGTAGGTTATGTATTTAACCTTTCAGAAATTTTATTTCCTCAGATACAAATGACGAGAATAAATATTTCATCAGATTTTTATAAAGATTAAATGACATAAACACATGGGAATTAGCACAGTGCCTCACCAAGGTAACTTTTCAATACATGCTATTTTTTTGTTATCATCAACATCATTGTTTAATCCTAAGCCCTCATTCATTCCTTTTTGAAAGGATGTAGGTATAATCAGTAAATTAACAGTAAAAACAGACTTGGCTGGAAATGTGTTTGATTCTTACATTTCATCTTAACCAAAACGCTAAGGTGTTTCTTAACCTTTAGCAGTTCTTAAACGTGAATATGCGTCAGGATCTCCTGGAAGGCTTGTTAAAACCAGCTTGTTCGGCCCCACCCCAGAGTTTCTGATTCAGGAGGTCTGGATGGGGTCTGGGAATGGGCATTTCAGATAACTTCTCAGGTGATGTGATGCTGCGAGTCCAAGGATTGCACTTTAAGAAACATGGAGTTTGAGATAGGTTGGGCAGGTCGTTAAGAGCCCATGAGAAGGTAGTACTGATTCAATGCTGTGAGGAAAACAACAGAATCCCATCCAGGTGTTTGGAATATAAGAATCCTTCAGCCCTGACAGCATGAAGGCCCTTGAGCACAGAGTCAGAGCAATCAGTTCTGAAAAGTCAAGAGAGGCTGAGAATCTGGATGGAAGAGAACAGCCCTCACGCTGGGACCCCTGAGTATGTCACTGGGAATTTGCAGACAGACATGGCTCAGAGGCTGGAAGTGTCATGTTCAGTTGATACATGACAACTGCCATTAATGTGAAGCATCTTGCTAAGGGTGAGATGCCGGAGCTGACAAATAGCGAGAAGGAAGAAAAGCCTGGAAGAGAAGTGAGAAGACGTGTGTGTGATTTACCCGCAGCTGCTCCTAGGCCCTCTATGCGCAATTTCTCCGATCCCTACAGCAATTAGAGGGAGACAGAGAAGGAAAATGAGGCTGAAGGAGGCATAAGATGACCAAGGTCACATAGCTAGCGTGATGGTTAATACTGAGTGTCAACTGGACTGGATTGAAGGATACAAAGTATTGATCCTGGGTATGTCTGTGAGGGTGTTGCCAAAGGAGATTAAGATCTGAGTCAGTGGGCTGGGAAAGGGAGACCCACCCTTAATCTGGTGGGCACAATCTAATCAGAGGCCAGTGAATATAAAGCAGGCAGAAAAATGTGAAAAGGAAAGACTGGCCTAGCCTCCCAGCCTACATCTTTCTCCCGTGCTGGATGCTTCCCACCCTTGAACATCAGACTCCAAGTTCTTCAGTTTTGAAACTTGGACTGGCTCTTCTTGCTCCTCAAGCTTACAGACAGCCTATTGTGGGACCTTGTGATCATGTAAGTTAATACTTAATAAACTCCTTTATATATCTATCCTATTAGTTCTGTCCCTCTAGAGAACTCTATTACAGAGCTAGTAAGTGGCAGGGCTGGGATTTGAGCTCCATCTGGCTGCAAAGCCCC
Organism: Homo sapiens; assembly: GCF_000001405.40. Classification (NCBI taxonomy): domain Eukaryota; kingdom Metazoa; phylum Chordata; class Mammalia; order Primates; family Hominidae; genus Homo; species Homo sapiens. The sequence continues at coordinate 40,125,136 of NC_000003.12, read as the reverse complement.
ATGCCTCCACTGGATCACATGTACCATGGGTATGAGTGTCAGGCCTGGTTCTAATCCTTATACAATCAACCTATTCAATCCTTGCAACAACCCTGTGGGGCAAGCACTTTATTAATCCTCACTTCACAGAGGAGGAATCTGAAGTTCCATAACCTGCCTGAGGATATGTGACCAGTAAGAGGCAGAGTCCATCACCACTGCACTGCCTCTTCTATATGAGGGAGGCAATTGAAAAAAGAAAGGAACTGAGCCAGGCAAAGGTGGAACTTGCCCAAAGTCATGGAGGAGACTGCAAGGCCAGCCACTTAAGAATGCCTGCTGGCACAGCAGCCATGCCAGGTGGGGGTTTATGTGCAGATCCTAGCTGCCCTTCCCCAGCTGTGTTCTGCTGGTCTCAGGGCACTCACCCTCTCTGGATCCAATCCATTTCCTTCATACCCACAACTCTGCCAGAATATCCCTGCCAGGCATACACCAAATCCTAAATACCCACCTTGAAAAGCCAGCCTTTCTCTCCAGGAGAAGCCTCCCTAAGAAGCCTCAAATAGAGAACCAAAAACAAATGCTGGGAGAAAGGTGTGGGTTGGCACAGGTGCATGGGGAGGCAGGTTCCAGTCACTGCTGAACTGGCTGTCCCCTCCCTCCATGTAACCACCAGCACCAGCCCTGACCACAATGGTGACCAGTCCTGATCTTTCTCCTAATGAGCTGACCAAATGTGAAATTTTCTTCCTCAGACAGAGCCATTCATGGCTGTAAAGATGAAAAGATCCTAACATCACAGAAAGCATTCAAAAGGGGCCTTTGGAGTAGTGGAGGATCCCGGCCCAAGTGAGTCTGTGGTTTGGTTGTGTCTGTGTTTGGGACTCAGAGCTCTGAGCTTCTGGATGCTTTGAAGTACAGCTTTGATGGAAGCGTCTTTCCATTGGGATGGGGCAGATAGAAGATGGCCACAAATTCTTTGCTACACTTCCCTCTGAGAGGTGAAGTCTAAGTTCCCTGTCCTCTTGAAACTGTGCTGGTCTTGGTGAGTTGTTCATTCACTAGAATATGGCAGAAGTGAGGTTCTGCGATTTCTGAGGCTAAGTCATAAGAAGTTTGCATTTCCATTCCAGGATGCCTGGAGCACTCTGTCTGGAAGCCCTGGGCACAAGGCAGTTCTCCAGGGAGGTGGCCTTGCACCAACCCAGTTCTCCCCCTTTCTTGATTGTAGTTCTCAGGAATAGCTGTCAAATGTGCTGGGAATGTGGCATTCTGAAATAGGGAGGAACTGGCCAGAAGAGCCAGGGTTTTGTTCCATCCACCCGCTAGAAACAGGATGCCATTCAACACTTTAGCCTAGCAAATGAGGATTCCCCTTGGATGAGCTGCTTCTCAGGGTCCCTTAGCTACAGGTGGGGCACACACAGACAAGCAGACAAGACTATCTGCCCCAGGCAGCTTTGCTGAGCCTTGAGGGATCAGCTCACAATGGATCTTAGGCTTTGGTTGTCCCTTGCTGCCTATCTGTAAACAATAAACCAGCCTCTTGTAACTTATGTGTGTGGGTGCTCTGTCTCATCAGACTTGGTAACCATGCACAGTGAACCTGCTTCAGCCTGGGCTGCTGTGTAAGAAGGGGAGCTATCCTGAGACTTATGCTGGAGAGGCCACATGGGGAGGCCACAGGGAACGAGAAGGATGGCTGGCGGGCTCCAGTTGCTCCAGCCACAGTCTCTGAGTCCTCCCAGCTGAGGCCCCATTTTCAGTCAGAGAACTGCCCATGTTTGGAAATGTCTCTTGACCAAAGGACAATCTTAAATAACTTTTAACGAACTTCAGCTTACTGAAACTTCTTCCACAAAATGCCAGGGTGACTGATATTGTTAAAAAAAATCCTTAAGACCACTTCCAAATTTGGATAAGCCTGCACTAAGCAAAATGTATGAATCCATTTTAGAAGATCCAAACATGATGCTGATTTTTATTACAAATTATTGATATTGCATGCTGCTTAAAACTATATCAGATAACATTTCTATAGGATTTAAATCATTACAATAGTCAAAAGCCAAATCATTGGCTGCTTTTTGTAAATTAGATGTATTCATACAAAATAAACTTTCTCAAGTGAAAAATTCAAAAGCTCAAAAATTACCTATTGGGTACTATGCTTATTACCTGGGTGGTGAAATAATCTGTATACCAAACCCCTGGGATATGCAATTTACCTATAGAACAAATCTGCATATGTATCTCTGAACCTAAAATAAAAGTTAAAAAAAAATATATCTACTTTATTGTGGTTTTAAGGACTACACAAAATAATATATCTAGGGTACAAAGCATAGGGCCTGCCACATTTTTACCAACATGGCATTAATTTATTATATATTATAGGCTTATATCAAAATATATATACTCCATAAATATGTACAACTATTATGTGTCTATAAAATTTTTTTAAAAGATGAAGAAAAAATCAAAACGTCTTATAGACCAGTTTTAGTCCCCCAAATGAATGAGAAAAAGTTGTACTAAGTATATTTAAATGTGAATTTAATATGAACTCATACATATACAGATTAATGTGTTTAATTATGTATCTATAGAAAAAAATGTGTAGAAAAAAGTACGACAAAATAAGATGATTATCTTTATGATAATCTGGATTTTTTCTTTTGATTTACATGTATTTGTATATTTTCTACAAGAAGCATGAATAATTGGGTAAAAATAAATTTATAATATTTATTAAAAATAAAAATTCAAAATATATAAAGGCCTTTTTTTCTCATATTTTCATTTCACATGTAAAATTAGGACCTCTATAATCTCCTTAATTTCTATTTCATATGTACTTTCCCTATAATAATTGATACTCTCATGCAATAATTCATACATGTCCAATTTCTTTTTCATTTACTTTCAAATTCAGAAGGTATATTCATATCTCTTATTAAAAAGTTTTATGTGCATCACACTTTCTGAGTTAATGTTGCTCATTAGAATTCAAAACTCTCAACTGAAAATGAGATAAGCAAAGAGTAAATTTTGAAAATATTATTGATGAATTTGGTTCCATTTTAGGCCAGGAAAGTAACATTACAATAAATTCTGGTTTCACTATAAATAAAATATTTAAACAAAAATAATGTTGTGAGTTTAATATAGCTATTTTCCTGTTTTTAAATATTTTTCAGACATTTTAATATTCTAGAAAAATTAACCCTTAAAAATACATACAAACATATACTATTGGGGACATGTATTTCCTTTTGTCTCAGTCTCTAATATGGCTCAGCATGGCATTATCAGAAACCCCTTTTTTACTTGAAAGTTGTAAATTTAGTTCATTATGAATTTTTTGCATCAATCTTTATTTTAAAAAATACTGTGTTAAAATATTATTTGTCTCTACTACTGAGTTTTTTGGTACGCCAGGGGAGTGAGTGCCTTGCTTGCTTCATCCTAAGCCTGTCCCTGACAGGGCAGTGCTGGGTTTGCACCAGTGGGGCACCTGGTGGAAGGTAGCTTTGCCAATGCAAAGGGCTGTAGTGTCCAGTGGAGCAGAGGACCTCAGGAGGAGAGGGTGGCACCCAAAGAATGCAGTGGTGGTACCCAGGGGAATGGATGTGGTGAATGGATGCACAGTGCCCAGATTGTTCTTGGGATGGGGGAGCAGAAGAAGAAGAGTGAAAAAAAAAATCCACAGATGCCACAGATAGTTGTCAAAATGCTTGCCTTAAATGTTTGTCAAGATGCTTGCCAGAAAGGGGTGGGAAAAGAGCTTTGTAGGAGGCTGGGGTCTAGTATTAACAGGGTCCTGTATTAATAGGGATAAAAACCAATGAAACTTTATTACCCAAGATAGATCTATATGAGAATACGTTTCTGAACTGGTCTGGAGGTGGGTGTGTGAGGGTACCCTTGGTCCCTTCTAGGACTCTTCTAGGTGCTATTCATGTGGTGTGGGCACAGCAGCACATCCTCTTCCCTAGCGGGACCTGCCTCAGTGGGACCCGCCTAGCTGTCTCTATCTGGCTCTCAAGGGGCCTGCTCTAGACTTGAGGCCACTGGCACTGACCTTGCCCTGAACTTTTCCATCTCTCAGCTGGTCTCCATGGCTCTTAGCTCCACCCTCATGCTTGATTCATTCCTCTCTGTATGGTTCAGTGAGCTCGACTCATATTCAGCCAAGCAGTTGTCAGGACTGGGGGATGGGGGAATGAAATGGTTTCATTTAGTCTCAATTATTTGGAGGCAGGAATAAAGAACATTTGAATATAACCTTTCTTTAGCATTCTTATTTATAAAGCTGATTGAGCTTGCTTCTTTATTTGTCAGAATCAGCTTGAAGTGAGTAAGAGAATTTACTGTGTTTATTTGGATAGCTGCTGTTCTTGCTGTAGCTGCAAAAATTTGAGCTAAGCTGGCCCAGAAGGACAATCTTGTGTCTTCCCCCTGCTAATCTGTGTGATCTGGGAACTGAGATAGCAAAGAACAGCCAGGACGTATGGATTCTTTCCTCAACCATATCAGTCAGTGTGTAGTCTTGAAGACATCAAATTATCTTTCTGCATCTCACCTCCATCATCCTCAGAATATAAGTGATCCCAGCTTCCTCCAGCCAAATTTCCAGGGACACATAGGGTTGCATCGAATGCTGCCTCACCGATGTCCTGACACACTGATGTGAGCCTGTTTTGCTCTGATAACATCTTCATATTCATATCAAAATTATGTACAATTTCCTTTTTGTTTATTCATCTGTTTGACTAATGGTAATGTTAAGTTATATAATAAGTAAGGTGTTTTCCTTTTAAATTAAGCTCCTAGCTGGTTGTTGGAACAAGAAGATGATCTGATTACTGTGAATATTAGGCAATTCTGGACTTTAGTTATAACAGACACACAGTGTTTTAGTTTACTGTGAAAATTAAAGGTAGGGATTTTGCTATATTAGGCTAAAATATAATAAAACTTCACCATTTGTTCACAAGAAAATACTTTGGTTGAAGTTGTTGGGTTGCAGTGTAATTAATTAATAAGATCTGCCACTTGCTGAATGCCTATGACAAGCCTGCCATTGAGCTGGGTCCTTTTAGTCCTCAAAACCAAACTATGAGATAGGTATTATTTTGTGAAAACAAAGGCTACATCGCTGGCTAATGGTGAAGCCAATATCCTCTCTTTTTGTGTATTAGTTTATTTATTTATTTATTTATTTATTTTATTATTATTATACTTTAAGTTTTAGGGTACATGTGCACAATGTGCAGGTTTGTTACATATGTATACATGTGCCATGCTGGTGTGCTGCACCCATTAACTCGTCATTTAGCATTAGGTATATCTCCTAATGCTATCCCTCCCTGCTCCCCCCACCCCACAACAGTCCCCAGTGTGATGTTCCCCTTCCTGTGTCCAGGTGTTCTCATTGTTCAATTCCCACCTATGAATGAGAACATGTGGTGTTTGGTTTTTTGTCCTTGTGATAGTTTACTGAGAATGATGATTTCCAATTTCATCCATGTCCCTACAAAGGACATGAACTCATCAAAGATAAAAATAATTGAATAGATATGCCACGGGATTTAAAATTTAAGTCTCCTGCTCACCTGTGTTCACCACACCTCCAGTTCCCGTCTCCAGAGGCAAACAATATTATCAGTTACTTGTGCACTTATACACACATAAGAAAATACTAAAAAATATTCCCTTTGCCCTTTTTCTGCACAAATGTCAACATGCCATTACATACTTCTCTATTTGCTCTTTTCATAAGAACACATCCTGGAGATATTTCTTATCAGTAAATAAAAAGTTTCCTCATTCCGAAATGCAAATCAAAACCACAATGAGATACCATCTCACACCAGTTAGAATGGCAATCATTAAAAAGTCAGGAAACAACAGGTGCTGGAGAGGATGTGGAGAAATAGGAACACTTTTACACTGTTGGTGGGACTGTAATCTAGTTCAACCATTGTGGAAGTCAGTGTGGCGATTCCTCAGGGATCTAGAACTAGAAATACCATTTGACTCAGCCATCCCATTACTGGGTATATACCCAGAGGATTATAAATCATGCTGCTATAAAGACACATGCACACGTATGTTTATTGCGGCATTATTCATAATAGCAAAGACTTGGAACCAACCCAAATGTCCAACAATGATAGAGTGGATTAAGAAAATGTGGCACATATACACCATGGAATACTATGCAGCCATAAAAAAGGATGAGTTCATGTCCTTTGTAGGGACATGGATGAAGCTGGAAACCATCATTCTCAGCAAACTATCGCACGTTCTCACTCATAGGTGGGAACTGAAGAATGAGAACACATGGACACAGGAAGGGGAACATCACACCCCAGGGCCTGTTGTGGGGCGGGAGGAGGGGGGAGGGATAGCATTAGGAGATATACCTAATGTAAATGACAAGTTAATGGGTGCAGCACACCAACATGGCACATGTATGCATACGTAACAAACCTGCATGTTGTGCACATGTACCCTAAAACTTAAAGTATAATAATTAAAAAAAAAGAAAAGAAAAATAAATAAATAAATAAATAAATAAATAAATAAACCTTCAACCCAGGGAAAAAAAAAAGTTTCCTCATTCCTGTTTAGGGGCATGCAGGCATTTTCACTTTATGACCATTCCATAATTAATTTAACCTGTGCCCTATTGATTAGCATCTAGATTGTTTCCTAATCTGCTATTACGTCAGTGCTTCAGGGAATGATCTTTACACCTGTCCCTTTGCATACAGGCAAATATATCTGCAAAATAAATTCCTACAGATGAAATAGCAAGGTTGAAAGATACATGCAGCAGGAATTTCACAGATATTGCAAAATTTCCTTCCATTTGAGTTATCGCAATTTATAGTCTTGTGGCAACATATTAGCCTCTGCCAACATACAGTGTTATCAAGTTTTTTGACCTTTGCTAATCCAATTGGTGAACACTGGTATGCCATTATAGTTTTAATTTACATTTATCATATTATGAGAGAGGCTAAGCATTGTTTCATTTGTTTAAGAGCCATTTGTGTTGCATTTTCTGAAAATTCTGTTTACTTTTCTTGTCCCTTTATTTTTAGGTTTTGGGCTTTTTGTTTTGGATTTGTAGGAGTATTTCTATGTTAGAAAAATTAGTTTTTGCAATTTAAATTACAAATAATTACCCTAGTCTGCCATTTGCTTTTGACTTTGTTAATGGTGATTTTTGTGCTGTAGAGATGTTTTTATTTTTATGGAGCTTCTGGTTTGGGGCCATAGTAAGGCCTCTCATGATTTCTTCTTTGTATTTGGGTTTATTTTTTATGCTGAAGTCTTTGCTCTAAAGTAAATTAATTTCAATGTCAGGTAGAGGGTAAGAGTCTAAAGTTATTTATTTTTTCCAGATGGAGCTAAGATTGGAACTGAGGTCTGGCTATAAAGCTGCCTTTATGTCCATCGCATCCTAAGGGCTGCTGTTGCTCTTCTGCCTCTACACTGATGGACTACGTCAGAACATCAATATGCTGTATTGATGATAATGGATGATATTTTCTTAGTTGTGCCAATATTACTCTTGAGGGAAGAAATGATGCCAAGGTAAGTGAGGACACTGGACATGAGTAGTGAATAAAATATTTCAATTTGAAAATGTAACAGCTAAGAATGTAGAAATGGGAATAACCTGGAAAGAAGGGATCAATGATGGGCAGAAGGTTGCCTCAAGCTACAGAGGGCAAGAGCTTTTTAAAAGGGGGGAGGTTGTGACACAACGTAGTAAAATTAATTTACATAAACACAGTAGCTATCATATGGCTTTGATGAAATCACACTTTGTAAGGCTCTCAGTTCTGTTCCTGATTTTCAGCCTCCAGGGTCTTTGTGGCTACTCCTATCCTGCTTTTACATAACCGGTGTATGATATCTTCATTAATTATCAAATTTTTCTAAACTGGCCACCAAAGGGTGGTGCAGTGAGCTACAAAAATGTCAAAATAACAAACTTTTATTTTACAATATCAGGGCGGGGGGATTGAAAGGCAGATGTGGCCTCACCGGATGCTCCAGTCATATTGGCAGCAAACTGCAAACAAGCTATAGCCGGGGGTGCAGCCACTCATGTGAGACTGTGAGACGGAGACAGGAGGGAAAGAACACACAAGAGAACGATTCACAGAGGTTGGGCCTCCACTCATTCCAAACTTATGAAACTATGGAAGGGAAACTGCTTGAAAAATATCTTAGAATGACTCATGAGAAAAGAGGTTCATGGCAAAATCAATAATGTTATGAGATTGTAGAGAAATGCTTTAACTTCTCCACATAAACAAGTCATTTTAACGGTTTTTGGGATACACCCCAAACCGTTTTTGTGTATTAATTTGTGGCTAAGAACCTGCAGCATCCACAAGGGATGTTCTATTCAGTTTTCTAGCCCTGTGCATATCCTTAACAGCCTGTCAAAAACAAAGGACGCCGTGTTCTAAACTTCCAGGTTCAAAATGTGCCTCCCAGCCTGAGACAAAGATGCAAAGAGACAGGCCCATGCCTATCAAAATTGGGCCAGACTAAACTGTGCTGAGGTGAAGACTGCTGAATTCAGAGAAAATAAAGTGTTGAAAGCAATGAGCCCTTTCCTTACTCTACTCTCAGGGACAAGGGAAAATGAAAGAGAGATAAACAAATACATAAATAGGATGGCAGGGAGTTACTTACAGTAGGGGGATGTTTTCCATCTAGAAGTTTCTGAAGATGGCAGTATCAGAGATGTGTCTTATGCTGCTAGGTGTGTGTGTGTTGGGGGGCAATGTAAGTTGTTCCTTGGGAAACTTGAGACCACGTCTTACTTTCCTAAGGTCTACACAACTCATGGAGGAGGTGTGAATGCATCTGCTAGGCTAAAGCTGGCTAAAGGTAAAGTGCTAGGGGATACCAGCATCAGGGGCAAAACACATCACAGGGATGTGAGTGTGCCCCCATCCAGGGATCAAGCAAAAGATGACAGCTGGAGACCCAGGAGGATAGTCAGCCCCAGGGAACCTGTGAGCCAGGGAGCACTGCAGCTGGCTTCTATAATGACATTTGGGAATTCAGACTCTTCACCACTCCATGCCAATTTCTATACCTGTTCTACTCAACCTTGCTCGTGCTGTGCAGTTGTCATTACCTGCAGTGGCATGAGCTGTCTCCATGGCAGAGTGAGCGGGCAGGAGGGTGTGGACCTCAGAGCCTAGTTTTGGTGTTTTATATGTGATCTCTTACGGAAGCCCACTTGGAGAGACTGATACTCCATAATAAAATCGTGACATAAATTCTACAACAAAGAGCATCACATAAAAAAAAAAAAAAGAACTGTGAACCAGGGACTGGGAATCTCCAAGTTTGTTCCTGAGTCTAGCTTTTTGAGTGACCTTGGACTTTGTAAATCTCAGGTTTCTCTTCTGTAAACTAAGAGAATAGAAATACCATATTTTAAAGGTTGATTTCAGCTCAGTTCTTAGATTCTAACTCTGGATCCTTAGTGATGTGGTTTGGCTCTGTATCCTCACCCAAATCTCACCTTGAATTGTAATAATCCCCTCATGTCAAAGGTGGGAGCAGGTGGAGATAACTGAATCATGGGAGTGGTTTCCTGCATGCTGTTCTTGTGATAGTGAGTGAGTTCTCATGAGATTTGATGGTTTTGTAAGCGTCTGGCATTTCCTTGGCTTGCACTTATTCTCTCTCCTGCCACCCTGTGAAAGGTGCCTTCCACCATGATTTTAAGTTTCCTGAGGACTTGCCAGCCATGTGGAACAGTGAGCCAATTAAACCTATTTTCTTTATAAATTACCCAGTCTCAGGTATTTCTTCATAGCAGCATGAGAACTAATAATACACTTAGTTAAAATACTAATTTTATTTTTAAACTAATAATGTAATATATACACACAGAGAGTAGGAATGAGACATTTGTCTTCCTTGGATGATCAATTTCACACTAGGAGCAACTTTTTCTTGAATATTTCCCAAATTTTTGGGCTTGGAGATATTATCATATTGATATTTCATATCAGATATACTGATATTGATATTTCATATCAGAAATACTTCATTCTTTTTTCCCTCATTGTAGAATATTCTACTATGGAAATGTATCAGTTTATTCATGCTACTAAATGAGAGACAGTTGGGAGAGTTTCCTAATATTTTGTTATTACAAACAATATTGCAATTAATATTTTTAGGCCCGTGTGTGCATTTCTATATCACATATTTCTAGAAATTAAATGATTAGCTCAAAGGTCATATGCATTTGTAATTTTGACAGCCATTGCTAAATAGTCTTCCCAAGCAGGGAGCTGTATTGATTTACATCCCACTGAAAGCACATTCAAGCACTGCTTCCCCCTTCCTGTTAACACTGAACTACCAAAGCTCTTGATACTGGCTAATCTGAAAAAATTTAATACTTTGTTAATTTGCATTTACTTATTAGAGAAGTTAAACATCTTTTCAAAGGCTTCCTTGTCTCTGAACTTTGCTCCTTTTTTCTTTCTTGGCTTGTTGCCATTGATTTGTGAAAATTCTTAATAAGAAAACTAGTACTTTGTTGTGACAAACATGCTAGCCCATATTTGTAAGATTGTAAATGCCACCCACTTTTATTTTACTAATTTGTCTTTTGATGTTAGCTATGGTATACAGTCATTATCACTTAATGATGAAGATACATTACAAGAAATGTATTGTTAGGCAATTTTGTCATTGTGAGAGCATCATAGAATGTACCCACACAAACCAAGATGGCATAGCCTACCTCACACTTAGGCTACATGGTATGGCCTATTGCTCCTAGGCTACAAACCTGTACAGCACGTAATTGTACTGAATACTGTAGGCAACTGTACATAATGTAAGTATTTGTGTACCTAAACATATCCAGGCATAGAAAAGGTACAGTAGAAATATATTACAATGTTATAGTACCACTGTTGTATATGCAGTATGTTGTTCACTGAAATGTTGTTATGTGGTGCATGACTATATTCTGTGTTGCAGAAAATTATGTTTTATGGTGTCAAAATGATTATTATTTTTTCCTTTAAGTTTTGTGGGCTTTATGTGTTTCCTAGAAAGGCTGCCTCCACGCTAAGATTATAAAAGTAAATTCTTGGCTGAGTGCGGTGGTTCATGCCTGTAATCCCAGCACTTTGGGAGGCCAAGGCGGGCGGGTCATGAGGTCAGGAGATCGAGACCATCCTGGCTAACATGGTGAAACCCTGTCTCTACTAAAAATACAAAAAATTAGCTGGGCGTGGTGGTGGGCGCCTGTAGTTCCAGCTACTCGGGAGGCTGAGGCAGGAGAATAGCGTGAACCCGGGAGGTGGAGCTTGCAGTGAGCCAAGATAGCACCACTGCTGTCTGGCCTGGGCGAAAGAGCGAGACTCTGTCTCAAAAAAACAAAAAAACAAACAAAAAAGTAAACTCTCCCATATATTCTTCTAAGACTTTCATATTTTCACTTTTTAACATTTCAATCTTTGGGCCATCTAGAATTTATTTTAATGTACACTGGGACTTAACTTTGTTGTTTCCAAATGGGTAACCAGTTGTCCCAGCAGTATTTATTAAATAACTATCCCATATGGCTCTGAGACATCACTTCATTTACTAAATCTCCCCATGGACTGAGGTCTTTTTAATAAACTTTCTTCTTGGCTGGGCATGGTGGCTCATGCCTGTAATCCCAGCACTTTGGGAGGCTGAGGCGGGAAGATCACTCGAGGTGAGGAGTTCGAGACCAGCCTGGCCAACACGGTAAAACCCCATCTCTACTGAAAACACAAAAAATTACCCAGGTGTGGTGGCGGGTGCCTGTAATCCCAGATACTCAGGAGGCTCAGGCAGGAGAACTGCTTGAACCCAGGAGGTAGAGGCTGCAGTGAGCCAAGATCGCACCACTGCACTCCAGCTTGGGCAACTGAGTGAAACTCCATCTCAGAAAACAAACAAAGACCTTTATTTTCTTTTGCATTGTTCTGAAGGCCCATTCCTGTATCAGAACCAAACTGTTTTAATGACGCTTCCCTGCATTGCTTCTATGCACCCCTGGGTTCTTAATACAGTCTGGACTAGAGATGGAAAACCTGGAATCCATCTGCATTGGTCCCACCACATTCATAGCAGCCTGGATTTCACATGTTTGAGATCAGGCTCGAGAGAAAGGAGGGATATAATAGATTTTAATAGTTTCTGGTAGGGTGGCTTCTAATACTTGATTTCAGAGGAAAACATCTGCTCTCAGGCTTGTACAATAGTCATGAAAGTAGCCTGTGGATCATGAGGCCACCTGCTTAGAAACAGAAAGGGCAGCCTGTTTACCACACAGAACTTTCTGACAGTTGGTCTGGCCCACATTTCTAGCATTCACTCTACTGGATGAAAAATCCTTATGGAGGCACAAAAGTTTGGACCTGGGAGGGCTGCACGTGCCAATATGTCAACCCTCTCCTCTGACATCTATGACTTCTTTGAGTTTCCACACTGCCACAGTGACCTTGGATCATGCGAGCTCAGGCTCACCGATGGCCAGAATTTGTTGAAATATTAGGACTGCTCAAAAATGCAGCTGGCTGGTAATGGCTCCTACCAGCTTTAGGAAGTGATGGGCTAAACCCATTCCTAGCTTACTTCTACTAGAGTAGAAATTAGAATTTGCTGATTGAGGGTTGGCCCAGTTCAATAATTCATTCCTTCCATAGTTCTCACAAACATTTACTGAGGACCAGTGTGAGTCAAACACTGTTAGGGCCAACGTGTGTGCTTATTTGTCCCTTCCTCCTTTCTTCTTTCACTCTCCTTTCCTCTTTCCCTCCCTTTGCTCTTCTTCCCTCCTCCGCCCCCGCCTCCACCCCCTCATGAGATATTAATTTCTCTATTCCTGTAGAATTCCATGAGCGTATGTGTGTGTGTTCCAGCCTTAATCCACTAAAGTCCCTCCTGTATTAAGAACCCAGGGGTGCACAGAAGCAATGCAGGGAACAATTCAGCTATCCAACTCCCCAGCTCATCTGAGGACCTTAAATCTCTTAAACCCTCACCTCTCTGGTCTGTGGATGAGGGCATCAATACTTAATAATAAGTAACAAGCATATAAAATCACAGATGTTCAGATCAGGAAAGAACCTTTGGGATCACCAAGCCTAATCAGAGAAAGTGGTCAATTCATGTATACACAACTAGTTAGCAAGGCCAGGAAATCCACTAGTTCCCAGCCCAGGGCTCACTTTCATCATAGTATACTTTCTCTTCAACTCCTGGAAATAAACACCACCTGCTTGCCTTCTTAGCACAGTAATTACTCAATTACTTAGTGTACCAAATAATTGGGTAACTTTTTTTTTTCCCAAACGTTCTTTATATGAAATCTACAGGGATCTCCAATATGTCAGATAAAAGCTGAACCATCTTATCGAGGTGTGGACTGGGGACTCAGAGCCCACAAGCCAGGCCTGGGAAGACCCTACAAAACCCCTGGGACTCCTGCACTGTCCACAGTCCCTGGCCACCTTCAGCATCCTTAATTACTCATCAGTCCCATCAACATACTGCCCCCACCCATCAACTCTATAATTTCTTTTATATCACAAAACCTTTGTGTGAATACACTAGCAAATGGGTATTTAATCTTGTTTTCCTTTGAGATTGTAAAGGTTTAGTCTGTACAGTTTCTAGGTGGACATAAAGAAAATCTCATCTCTGAGTCAAGAAGAATTAGTTTTTGAAGCTTAATGCATTCTAAACGGTTTTCAAGCACCATTTGTTGAAGAAGCTGATCAAGAGATGGGATTTTGTTTTCTACTCTAGGGAAATTAACTTGTCTACAAATGATCTGGTCTCGAAGCTACCAAAAATCATATAGGCAGCCATTCTGCTAAACAACTTCCTCCTTCCCTTCTTGTGAACCATCCTGAGCAGTAATGATGAGGAGGGGGCTTGTCTGTAGCCCTGACCACCGGCAATGTCCTAGGAACTCTGAAACCTAAGTGCAAAGAACTGCCTTCTGGGGGGACCCTGGGGTCTAACTTTGCCATTTTCAGGCATCAGACTGAAGGTTTTCCATGCTTTGAGTCAACACCCTGGGTATTCTCTTTATTAGAAGTATCAAAAATGTCTATCTGGAAATTAAGATGCGCAATTGATCTGTTTGCATTCAAAATTAGATGAGTACGCTACACACACACACACACACACACACACACACACACACACACACACACCCCTTCATGAACTGCAGAGTAGCATAAAGACATTTGTGGTTATTTGAGAATAATTACAGAGAGAGAAGTGAAGTTGAGAATAGAATAGGGAGGTCAGGAAGAGAGGAGAGGAGTGGCCTGTGTTTCTGCAGTGAAGCTGTGGAGTGATAAAGGAAGCTGGCACCATGTCCCAGCCTTGGACATGTATGTGGGCCTGTGAAAAGAGGGGCTGTTGAAAGGGGTCAGAGGACACAGGGTGCCCAGGCCTCCCGTGGTTGGTAGGAGAAGCCTCAGATGTCTGGGAAGGGAGGTGTTGTATCCCCAGGTACGCAAGGGCTTCTGACCTCAGCTGCAGCAGGCTGAGCAAGTTAAACAGAATCACCCATTCCTCTCCAACTTTAAGTGTCTTGAGCATCTTTGAGGTTAGAAATCAACATTACTTCTACTCTTGATTTCTCTTACTCACATAACTGATCCTTTGAGGTTACTTCTTTTGGCCTTGGCCTCTTGCCTCTAAACTAGACTTGCTTCAAACTGAACATTTCTCCATAGACTGGAAAGGCCTTTTTTTCTACAAGGCCAGTGCTTTTTATTATGTTCATAAAAACAGGCTTACTTCTGGGCAAAGTAACCTGCAAATAAATGCAAATATGCCCTTTCCAAGGACACAGCCACAGATAAAAGGGCTTTTCAAAGTAAAAATTCCCTGGCTTCTCAGGGAATTCTTCCCACTCCATTCCTGCCTGAGGCTGTATTTCCAATGAGTCTGGCAGGGCCTTGTCCCAAAAGGCCCACTGGTGGGCAGAAGTGAGTAAGAAATGAGGTAACAGGCTGTAAGGCCCATGGTGGGCATCAGGCAGTCAGTTCCAGTTGCACTTATCATAGTTACCCTTTTTCCCTACACATATCTGCCCTGTACTCCTGCAGGAACTCCCTAGGCAGGGACTGTGTCCTGTTCAACTTGATGCTGGGCATTGAGGACATAGCTAAGACAGCAGGGACATGACTAAGACTACCTCCTTGTAGTAGGGTGGGAAGGACATTTCATCATCCATAAAGACAACCCACAGCAAGATTTATCAGTGTCAAATGCATGGCTCAGGCCAAGTCCTAGGGGAGTGTGCAGTGGTCATTATGGGCTGGTCCAGAGGAGTCTATGAGACTATGGAGGACAGAGGCTAGGGATGGTGATCTGGCTTAGCAGTAGTGCCAGGAAGAAGGACACAGGGTTTGTTTTGAAATGGGGCCTCCTCTGCACATTTGGGAGCATATCCTTCCCAACATCAACCTTCCCTGGCCTGAGCCTGCATTCTCCTTCTGAAACTCCTGGCCCCAAGCAGTCCTCCTGCCTCAGCCTCCCAAGTAGCTGGGATTACAGGAGTGAATGAACCACTGTGTCCAGCTCTGCCTCCTCCTTGAAAGGCAATGGCTCTGGGCTCATCTGTTCCCATCTCTTCAGACTTTTGCCCCAAATTCCTCTTCCCTCTCTCTTACATTGTTGACTCCACCCTCTTAACTGGCACCTTCTTAGCATGAACTCGACTAAGTCTCTCTCATCAGTTAAAAATGAACATACTAAAGCCTCAATCCTCTCTCAGTCACTACATTTCCCTCTTGTTTTAAGGTGTAGGTTTGATTATTATTCAGAAGTGGTGAGGCCAATAGATCAGAAGATGACTGCTGTTGAAAAGACAGTTCATTACTCACAGATCCCAAGAGAAAGGGCCACATGGGGAAGCGCACATGTACCCTAGAACTTAAAGTATAATAATAAAAAAAAGAGGCAGAGTGAGGAGTAAAAGTGGGTAATAACCTTTATTGTGTTTCAAAGGAAAGGAACAGATGAGAAAAGGGAAAGAGACTTAGGGTTGGCTTGTTTGAATAATTACAGTAGGCTCTGAGGTAAAGGGATTGTCTCTATCTGGTACCTAGCCCTGGGGTGATTGGGGCAGGGGAACAGTGGCCCTGAATGTGAGAGCCCCATAGAGAAAGTGGTGGGGTGTGGGCTCTGGACTGGTTGGTTTGCATCTGAAAGGCACACCCATATGTGAGCCATTTACTATCTCTAGGAATTGGCAGTCTCTCCAGGAAAGCAAGTCAAAGCATGAATGCAGAAACCAGGAGTCTTAATGCTTACAATCGCAACTTTAGCTTCTGCACTTCCCACTCCCTCCTTAAATAATCCAGTGTTCATTCCTCTGAAATTGCTCTCCCCAGTCAAAGGGTTGCTTTGCTGGTCTTACTTCCTCTGCTGTTTCAGCCCACAGTTTTAGGTGTTTAACCTCCTCATTGTTTCTGAAATGCACTTCTTACTTTGGCTGCCATGATACTCTGACTTCCATAATGCTGGTTTCCTTTCTGTCCCTCATTGTTCCTTCTCCATTTCAGCCTTTTGTAAAGACTCCTCTTCCTCTGCCCATTTGTTGAATGTCAGCACTCCCAGACCTCCATCTCTGCACTTGCACAATACAAGAAGTGGAGTCACCCCAGGGTCATGCCTGTGGTGTCAGCTGGCATCTCTTCTCTGCAAGACCCCTACAGACCCCATCAGCTCTGCTCATTGGATATTTCCACTTCTGTCTCCCACTTCCCACACAACATGCCTTAAATTATAAACTCTGTCTTTTTTCACACAAGCTGGTTGTAGTCCTACATCCTGCACTTCAGTGAGTGCCATCTTCGACTCACCCTCTCTCTCTCTCTCTCTCTCTCTCTCTCTCTCTCTCTCACAAACACTGCTAACTCATAACTAAGTGCTGCAGCTTTTCCCTCCTGCATGTTGGCTGAAACTATGTTATGACTTCATGTCCTCTGCTAACACTTTCCTTCTGTCTCCCACTTGGATCACCACACAAAGGTTTCTAATTAGCCTGCTTATCCAGCCTCTCCCCTCTCTATGCTAATGTCAGAATGGCCATTCTCAAATGTGGGACACGGATGCAGTTGGTTTTGCATTTTAGAAAGATGACTCCCAATTAACTTGGGATAATAGCAGAATGCTTTGTGATAGCATTCCCTTCTGAGTCTGTGATTTGTGTCTCTCCCTCAGACTCACCTCCCATTACCTTGGCATTAGACCTTGTATAAAGTATCTGTCAATTCTGACTTAAAATGCAGTCAGTTAGTTTAGCATCTTGTGCAGATATCTGGAATGTTTCTTTGATCCTTGCCCCTAACAGTACATTATTTAGATTGTAATTCTACTGGCCTTGATGCTTTCAGTTAGCTTTGTTCAGGGATACCTATAATTTTTGCTCTGGCCAGAGACATCATTAAGTCTAAAGACCATGGGCCTTATACCTGCTATTTCCTCTGCTTCCCTCTTTCAGCCAGGCCAACTCCTACTCCTCATCTGATTCAGCCCAGTGATGAGCTCTGTCAAGAAGACCTCCAAGATCAGCCCCCTCTATGCTCTCATAGTCCCCTCTGCTGATTCCTATTAAGGTATTTATTAGGCCATATTGAAATTTCCTGTTTTCTGTCTTTTATACAACTTTATGGCAAGACCAGTAGCATAATTTATGGGGCCCAGTGAAAAAATAAATTCAGGGTCCTTTGTTGAAAATTAGAGTTTCAAGACAACAACAGCAGAGCATTAAACCAAGCTGGAGGCCATAAAGTGACTGCAATCTCATGAAACTGGCCCTACTTACAGGGCAAGGACTGTAATGTTCTCTGTTACATCTCCAGTGCCTGGCCTGGTGCCTGGTCCCCAGCAGGTATTCAATAACTACTTGCAGAATTTATGAATAGGTCAATATGTAGCCATCACAATTGGCTGCCCTCACCATTCAAGTTTTTAAAAAGTTGAGCGCATGGGTTGCAATACTAGCATAATCTATTGATAAGGCACGTAAAGAGTGATAAACATATCAATTATCATCTTATATGTCAATAGGTTTAGCTTCTATTTAATAGACAGATGCTTGAAAAATAATAAAATCAATATCCAATTATATGCTGTTGATAAAGAGCATATCAAAAAAGTCATAGAGAAGATTAAAAATGAAAAAAAGGCCAGAAAGCATCAAGTGGACACAAAGAAAAAAGGAGGGCAAATCAGATGAAACAAAATTCAGGAAAAGCCCATTAAATAACATGGATGATTGTGTTTCCAGTGATAAAAAGGAATAATACATAATTTAAAATATAATAGGCTGAATAACAAAATTTACATATATAAAATAAAATCTGTTAGAAAAACAAAGAGAAATTTTTAAAAAGCATAATGGGGGACTTCAAAAGCTCTCTCACTCTCTGATGGACCAAACAAACAATTTAAATAAGAACAGAAGGAAAGTGGACACTGTTAGCTTGATTGAAAAGATATACCTATGAAAGAATATATAAAATTCAATACCTCTGAAACAGAAAGGGCACTTTTTCCCCCAAATAAGCAAGGAAGATTTATAAAAATGAATCACATCCCAGCAGCCATAAACAAAGCCCAAAATAAATACTGTTCAGGCAAAATTCTCTGACTATTCAAAAGTCAGCATTAACAAACACACAAACATAAAAATTCAAACGACTTGCATATTAGATCTCCATATCCACCAAAAACAAAAATTCTTCTTAACTCTTCTGCTGAAGAAGAAATAACAAATCTAATTACGCTGTTGAGTTTCCTGCAATTTTGTGTTCTTTTCACATGTAGGTGAGACTGGTCTCGGGGGCCTGAGGAAGGGAAGGGGGATGTGATTGTGCCAAGATTGTTTTGTTAACCTGGATATTCACTTTATTATTATTATTTAAGCTATACAAATATATATTATAACTCTCTGGTATGTGATATGCTTTGGATATGTGTCCCCACCCAAATCTCCTGTTCAGTTGTAATCCCCAGTGTTGGAGGTGGGGTCTGGTGGGAGGTGACTGGATCATGGAGTAGAGTTCTCATAAATGGTTTAGTACCATTCCCCTTGGTAACTGATATGGTTTGGTTGTGTCCCCACCCAAATCTCATCTTGAATTGTAATCCCCATAATCCCCACATGTCTAGGGAGAGACCTAGTGGGAAGTGATTGGATCATGGGGGCAGTTTCCCTATGCTGTTCTTGTGATAGTGAGTGAGTTCTCATGAAATCTGATGGTTTTATAAGGGGTTCTTGCCCCTTCCTGCCTCACTCTTCTCTCTCTGCTGCCATGTGAAGAAGGTCCTTTCTTCCCCTTCACCTTCCACCATGATCATAAGTTTCCTGAGGTCTCCTCAGCCATGAGGAGCTGTGAGTCAATTAAACCTCTTTCCTTTATAAATTACCCAATCTTGGGTATTTCTTTAAAGCAGTGTGAGAATGGACTAATACAGTACTGTATAGTGAGTGAGTTCTCACAAGATCTGGTTATTTACAAGTGTGTGGCACCTCCCCTCTCTCTCTCAGTCCTGTTCTTGCCAGTGAGACGCCTGCTCCAGCTTTGCCTTCCACCATGAGTAAAGGCTCCCTAAGGCCTCCCAAGAAACAGATGCCACCATGCTTCCTGTACAGCCTGCAGAACCATGAGCCAATTAAACCTCTTCTCTTTATAAATTACCCAGTCTCAGCTATTTCTTTATAGCAATGCAAGAATGGACTAATACAGTATGTAGGACATATTTCACAACTTAAAAATTTTACTTTAAAATAGAAAAATATTAACCACAATTTAGGAGATGGCTCAGCTGGGAAGCATTTATACAGACATAATAGCATTTATACAGATATAATAATAGAAATATGGCTTTACTGAAAGGTATGGGAATGGGAAGGGAGGCAGGATGAGGTGGAAGAGGCTAAATTCTCCTGTTCCATGATGAGAAGTAATAGATGATGCCTAAAACTGAATAATTAACAAGGAACAACACAGGCAACCTACATAGATATACATCCTGCACCTACATAGAGGAAAATGTTGTCATGAAAATCAGTGAAACAGTTAAAAATGGTTTTAGGGGGTGGGATAGGGCTGAGGGAAGAGGGATGAAAAAAAGAGAAAATGAAAAAAAGTTGAAAGGCTTTTTAGAACAAGTCTTGACTCCTTAAACACTGCAAATATATCTTTAGTAAAAGTAACAATGTAAAAATAAAGCACAGTATAAGTTGTCTTATTGTCAAGAACAATATACGCATTCAGGACAAGTTTAGAAGCTAATATTATAAGACTGTCTCTTTGTGTCTTGGATTAAAAATCTCAGTGACAGAATTATGTATGTTTAGATTAAAAATAACTCAGACGGAAGTGCACCTGCTGTGCCAGGAAAACTGTGTTACATGACTCAGAATGGGTCTGATGATGATGAGAATGTTGACAGAGAATGTTGACACTGAAAATACAAAACAAGAGTTTGGGTAAAACTGGTTCATGAAATGAGAAAAGAAAAATCACAGTAGTTCCCAATTAGTATATGACTATACATAATTAGTGACTTTAGAAGTGTGCCTGTTACGATATTAGTAGATTGACATTGCAAGTAGACACCGATTACTTCATCTATACCTCTAAAAGTTTAGGTATCAAAGATGGACATAAGAATTCTACTTTTGTTCATCTTCTCACTGAGAAAATGGAGAATATTATTTGGGGTGACTTTAAATTCTAGCAAAAATGATCTATGTTTTGGGTTTCTGGAAGTTTTTTCTAAGTATGACACTAAAGGTAGGAACCATAAAATAAATATTGAGATATATTATCATACTAAAATTTAAAACTACCAGAGACATGGTATTTAAAAAATGACAATACCTAGAAGTGGCCACTATATAGCCCAACAGGCACTCTCCTGCACATGGGGTTTGAACTGATCTGTTCTTCCAGGAGACAGACTTGGTGGTATGCATCAAGAATCCAAAGTACTTACAGGTATTTAGACTTATGTGCAAAGATGTGCACAAGGCAGTTCTTCACAGTGAGTCATAAAAGTAGTTACAAAATTATATATTTAACAATAGGATATTGCTTCATAAAGCTTAAAGTGTATCTACCATATTGATGGCATACTGTCAACATTCTAGAAATTTTTTTACATAAAAATATTGCTCTGTAGGAAAGGTTACTAGATAATTCTTGCCACTTAATAACCCTATTTTATATCAAAATTTTCTTCTTGGTGTTTTCCTAATTTATTACCTGTTCTTCTGTAGCCAGAGTTTTTTTTTCTCTTTTTTTTAGACAGAGTTTTGCTCTTGTTGCCCAGGCTGGAGTGCAATGGCACGATCTCGGCTCACTGCAACCTCCGCCTCCTGGGTTCAAGCGATTCTCCTGTCTCAGCCTCCCAAGTAGTTGGGATTACAGGTGCATGCCACCATGCCTGGCTAATTTTTGTATTTTTAGTAGAGACAGGGTTTGTCCATGTTGGTCAGGCTGGTCTCGAGCTCCTGACCTCAGGTGATCTGCCCACCTTGGCCTCCCAAAGTGTTGGGATTATAGGCGTGAGCCACCACGCCCAGTTCTGTGGCCGGATTTTATCTTCACAATACAAACAAAAAACATTCATGCCCTTTCAGACCCCAAGGTTCCCAAGATTCTGAGTGTGTACATTAGATGAAGTTCACAGGCGTTCTGCCATTTCATCTGGGTCTTTAAGAGTATGTATGAGAGTTCTTGGGGCAGGCAGTGGGGCAAGGGTGCCTAGGCAGAGAAAATGCTATCTTAAAAGGCTTGGTGTGCTTGAAGTACATGCAGGGAGGAGGGTAGAAAGCATGCAGGAGCCACTGCTGTGAAAAGCATGTATACTAGGTGGGCACACTGTGGGAGGAGATTTGACAGGCAAGCTGGAGCCAGGTGCTGAAGGCCTTGAATGTGATGTTCAGGGGTTGATGGAGAATCCTGGAAAGTTTTAGGGCAAGAAGATGGCAAGAGTGGTGATATACTGCAGGTGTCTGGATGTCACCTCAAGTGACACTGCTTTTCAGTCTTCTGCTTGTGACACATTAGTGGGTCAAGACCATCATTGAAAACAAACAAACAACCTAAATAGAATAGAAATACCTGAGTGCTTGGCCCGTAGAAGGGGTTAGTACTGTCTTGTAAAACTTTTGCTTTTCTGTACAGTTTTGTTTGTAGGAGTGTGTAGGTATCTGTCTCTTAGATTGTGAGAGTAAATAGAACTTCTTAATGTGGGTCAAAATAAGTTTGCAATCCATTGCTGAATCCCCTATCAGGCCTCCCCTAGCACCATCCTTCTCCAGGGTGTACATACCTAACTCTGAGATGCCAGAGGTGACACTCCCGGCTGCTACAGAGAAATCACATCTTGTACCACTTCTACAACCTTACATTGTTGCCACAGTTTCCCAGGGACATCCTCATCTGGCCCAAATGCCACTACTGGAACCAGGAGTCAAGGACTGGGCTTCCACTTGAATAAGGCAAATTAAACCCACACATTTACTTCTGCTGTCTCCTAAATCTCATTAAAATACAAACAAGATACAAAAGTCAAAACTCCTATGGGGCCACAGTAATAACATCTGGGAAGCTAGAAAGCAGGTGAAGCATAAGTAAATGACTCAACACCCTGGAGAAGCTAAATCCTGATGCTGCAGTGGGAAGCCTGATTCATATATCAGAGCCCCATCAAGGCTCAGGAATTACAACCATCAGTTACCTTTGGAAGTGAGAATGCAGGCAGATGAAATAGTTAGGCCTCTAGTCCCCTTTTATACTGTGCTTACCCAGGATACTTCCCTCATTCATCTCAGAAGACTTGAGGTTTACTCCTTAGAAAGGTTAGCATAGAGGGACTCTGAGACCAGGGCTCCAGGCACATCAAGGGCAGGGGCACCCACAGGAAACATATTAGTGAGTGCTGGGCTTGGCCTTGGCCCCCATCTGTCACTGGGCTCCCCTGAACTATCAGACCTACATCCCCAGTAGGAGACTGGAGCATTCCTTTCTGAGAAACTGACCGACTCTAAAGAAAAAGACCTACTGACAGTTCTCCCAATAAAACAGTCCAGCCAGATCATCCTAGGCTGAAGCCAACCAGTCAATAAGCCCTACTGAGGCCCACTAACCCTCAGATCAGCTTTCAGTGCATCACTATTAAAGGTAAACTGCCAGTCCTGGGTCATGGGATTCTTGAGCAAAGTTGCTATCGTTAAAGATAAATACCAAAACAAACACAATAAAGAAAGTTGAAGGAGAAAAAAAACTTCAAAAATGATTAATAAGAATATATTGCAGGTATGAAGCAATAGCATTACATAGTAAAGGGAATATAGAAACAAAAATAACTCTCAGAAATAAAGAAATTATTGTGTAAATTAAACACTTGATAGGATTGATGATGAAATTGAGGATATTTTCCAGAAAACAGGACAAAGAGAGGAAAAAAGAAGAAAAAAGAAAACTAGAGAATTAATCTGAGAGGTCTAATATCTTTACTTCAGAAGAAACAAAGAAAATGGAAGAAAGAAAATAATCAAAGATGTAATTCAAGAAAGTTTCTCAAGCCTGGAAAAGCTATCCAAAATGAAATGGTTCTCTAAGAGCTCAAGTACAGTGGCAGAAATAAAGACCCAAAGGAAAGACATTGGTGAAGTTTTATAACACTGAGACCAAAGGAAAGAGCCTAGAAACTTTCAAAGAGGGGAAAAAGCCACATAGAAAGGATCAAATATCAGAATGACTCAACAGCAACACCAGAAAGCTGCTTTTTATGATTATAATAATAAAACACAGAAAACTGATGTAACAAAGACTATATTGCAGATATACTGGGAGAATGGAGGAAAGGGGGATATGTATGTGTTGAGTGTTGGAGGTGTTGAAAACAAAACCTTTTCATAGAAGAAAATAAAGATATAAGCTGTAAAAACAAAAAGGGTAAGCATATTATTTAGAAATTTGGAAGTAAATACTGAAAGAAAGCTAAAAGTTGAAAGTGGTGTGTAAGGAGCACAGATGGGGTGGAGTGGGGTGAGGGGCTTTTTTTTCTTTTCAATAAGTCAAGAGAATTATTTGATGTTTTAAAGTCTATACATTCATGACTTGGATTAAAATAAAATTAAATAAATAAGAAAAAGATCCAAGGACTTCGTTTTTAGCTTCAGGACCCTAAGAAATCTCTTAATGTCCCTCCTGGGTGATGGATATAGTATCATGCTGTGTCATCTTTGTCAAATCCATGCTTACACAATGAAATTTCCTAGAACATTCAGGTCTCATCAGTTGCTGCTCAAAAAACATGTATGTTGGGTTAGCCCAGAGTAAGTCAATGTTCTTAAACTCACATGTGACTTTCCCACTCCCTGCTGGAATAAACTAAGAAGTTTAGTCCCAGCCTCAGAGATAGCACATCTGCAGCAAAGGCAGCCACAGCTACAACCCTCACCACATCAGGTTTCTGTTTTATCAATAAAAGAATAAAATTCTACCTGTTTTTGTAAAGCAGTCAATAAGGAGAGGAGAAATACTTTTTCCACCCATATTGTTGAAATAGAGCCAATGGTTTAAAATGCTCTTCCTTTATGATTTATTTCTTAATGTTTGCACAGATATGCATATGCAAAATGCTAAAAAATGTACAAAATAGGACAAAATTGACATAGTTCTGTTGCAAAACATCAATGAAAACAATCAGGCAATGTATAATAAAGGATTATAGTACATAATCAATAATAGCAAATTGTGAAATAAAGGACAAGTCAATGTTGCTTAATTATTAAAATTACCGTAACTGGTGGTTTTCTTTCTGCCAAGCTCTTCTACTCAAATTTAGCTCACGTGTCTTGAGAAATAATTAAACGCCAGGACACAGGGCACAGAGCTCCAAAATCTTCACTCCATGTCCTCATGGCCAGAAAAGCCCAGACAGAGGATAAGCCAGGTAGTCTTCTTAAGAAAAGACACAGGGCTCTGGGTAGAGAGCAATACCAGAGTGAAGGAACAGCACAGTGCTACTGCTCGTTTCTATTACCAGTTTCAGAAGGGAGGTGACGGAGAGCTGTGAAATCTCAGACAACCAATGCCGAGAAAAATCCATCAACACATGTGCAACAGGGAGAGAGAGGCACCAAAGCTCATTTAAAGCTGCCCGGTTTAATACAACTTTGTAGGGGAAATGTTACATGAATTTTTACTTTTTTTTCCCACTTTCTTGGTTTGTAAATTCAAGATATGGAAGAGCCAAAGACATGGTTTTATCATGTGCTTTCTTGTCAGTCACAGACTATGAGGTTTGCTTTAGCTAAATGTTCTTAATACAAACATGCTTCAAATAGCAGCAAGAGACTGTACAGAGGGAAGGGAATAATTGGAAGAGAAATCTCAGGGGATCTTTTTTGGGCAGGGCAAATCAGTACACTCCCTGTGGTATAAGAAAAGCACGAGAGTGTGTGTATATATATGTTTGGCCCCATTCATGTTGACTCCAGTGCATGTGTAAACATATACTGTGATGGAGAGTATGTGACCACTCCCTAGCCCTGTGGCCACAGGCAAATTATTTTGCTTCTATGAACCTCAGTATCTTTATTTGTACAAATGGCTATCATCCTCACCTTCACCCTGGTTTCATAAATTTGTGGAAAGGACCTAAAGACATCATGCTCATACTCCACCAAATTACAATGCTTTGCATATTATAGTGCTCAAATATTAGTGCCCTCTCATCTGCAAAGTACTATTATTAATAAGCATAGCATTTTTCTCAGACCACATAAATTATGAAGAAACTATCTTAGACTAAGAAGAAACACATTTTTTTGTAAATCCAGACACTTTCTTGAAATGTGCCTCCTGCAACACCCATCCTCTTCTGATGTGGGTCCCCCTCCCTTCTACATAGGCAGGGCAAAATCGGGTGGTCACCAGAAAGTTCTACAGGAAAAGCTGGTTAATTGTCCAGTGCACTTCCAAATGCCAGTTCTCAGCTGGGCCAACCTGTTTTCTATCCAAAACCAGATACTTTTCAGATAAAATTACATTCTGGTGCTGAATGAAACAAACAAGAGATCTTGACTTGAAATTCCTAATCAAATGTACACACACACACACACACACGCACACACATGCACACCCACACACCCTCTTAATATATGCCTGGAGATAGCTGTTTGTTTTGCATTTTTGGAAATGACTGTAAAATGTCAATAATAATCCCAGATATTTCTTTAGGTCATTTTATCTCTGATCTGTAAGAAGACACACACACACACACACACACACACACACACACACACAATGAGAGAGACAGAGAGAGATACACACATCCAGAAGAGAAGGGGACAGAATATTTGATCAGAAAAATTGAGAAAGAGAAGGGGACAGAATATTTGATCAGGAAGAATATGCATATGCCTTTATTGTGAAGAGGTTGGTAGCACTAGCTTCCCTCTGTGAGTATGCATGGATGATTCAGAATATTCATGAAGACCCAGGGCACTTTGCTTACAGTGCAACACTGTTTATGTAGAACTTAGATAGAAAAGGATCTGCAGATAAACAGAGTGTTAGGAGGGAAGAAAAAAATCAGTCTTTTTTTGCCCACTGCCAACTACCCACAGCTGCTACCAAAGGGTCCCTCTTTTCCAGACAAATGCACACATGCAAAATTCTGCTCACACTTTTATGGAATGTATTGCATTACAAATGGGTTCATACCACATATGCAGGCTATACATAAAAACTTTGAAAAGGGGCATGCCTCATTTTCTGGCAAAAATCAATGGCCTTACTTCTTAAAAAATGGAAAGAAATGTATATTTAGCAAATAAAATGCAAACTTAATGCACTTCTACTTAAATATACATATCAAAAAGGCTGCTGTTGTTGTTTGACTTGAAAAATAAGTTGAAATCATGGAGTGGTCTCTGATGGGGCCCAATACAGGTCATCCAACCCGCTAATCCATTCTGACTTTTCATTTTGATAGTGAAAGTGCTAATAACTCTGATTTAAAAGGGAGTGCAGTACTAAACTCAGATCAGAGTGTCCAGGGTTGCTTTGACAGAGAAGAGCAGATGAGGAACACCAGCTCTCTCTAACACTCTTCCAGCTGAATTCCTGTGGCAACACTTCATTCTCTTTAAGTCACTGAGCTCATTTTCCACCCCTGTTGCTCATATTGTCAGTGGAGGATCACAAGTACCCCTTCTAGAGTCCAAATAGTTTGAACAGACGAGACCACCAAATGGGTTCTGCAGCATTTCCATGCCTCTGCAGACTTCTGTCTACAGAGACACAGGAGGCTCTGAGCTCTGGTACCATCCCGTGGGACACTTCCTCAGGAATGGAAATCGTGCACATTTGTTCTCAATCCCCACCTCCAGGGTGGGAGCCTGGCCAAAGATCTCGTGCGTGTAGGTGGAGAGGGGGTGTTTTTTATTTTAACATTACCCATCGTGGTGGACTTCACGGCTCTGAATAGAAAGATCTACTCCATCTGTATATAGCCAGAAATATCTCCCAAGAGAAGCCTTGAATAAATTGCTTTGAGAGGGGACTTTTTTTTTTCCTACCAAAATTGAAAACACTGACCAAGATTCAACTGAGTACCTTAGAACTCACTCTTTGGAAAGCCCACAGATTTGTGAACTCTTTTGTGGGCACTATAGGTCAGAGGATAAGAATGCCAACCCTGGAGCCAACATACCTGGATATGAATCCTGACTCTTTGACTTCCTCTCTGTGAGACCACAGGCAAGTTACTTGATCTCTCTTTCTTTAGTTTCTGCCTTTGTAAAATGGGTAAAGTATATCTGCCTTATAGAGTTGTTGTGAGGGTAGGTGAGTGCTTAGAACCGTACAGGAGTCAGCTCTCAATAATTTTAGCTATTATACAGAAAAGTAATTAGTTTCCTATTCCCATAAGCTTTTCTTCTTTTGGTCGTGGTTGGTTTTATTTGCAAAGGCAGTGAGTCAAGGTCTAGGCTTCACTGAAGAAGTCAAAAGCCTCCATGGCAACAGAGGAGCCTTTTACTGAGTTGTTGGCAGGGCTGCTGATAGCCAGGCAAGCTGATGCAGAAGGTGAGGAGTTAGGACGATGGGCGGAGCGTTTTGCTTCACCCAAACAGTAAACCAGGGGCTTTGCCAAGCAGCACAAGCTTTGCCAAGCTACATCTCAGAGTGCCCAGATTTTTCTTACAGTTGTTATTTTGCCTGGTGAAGAAAGTTTTCATTATTTCAAAGATGCCGATGCCTTTGCCCAATGCCACATTGTGATCCACGCTCTCAGCCCTGCTGCTCTGAGATGCAGGCCCTGTGGAATCTGCCAGGCTAGACCCTACTTGCTTAGGCTGCTCTCATAGCAGCTCCCCTGGGGCTGGTCCAGATATCCCACCACAGAGTCCTCCTAGTGAGATCATGCAGGAATTCTGGCCTGAGACGGCCATTCCTGTATCCAGAGCTGAAACAGACCCATTAAAAGTGATCTTTTACTTCTTTGGTCATTTTGCTGTGGTTGCGGGGAGTCAAACTCATGAACTCAAAATTACCTGTACACACAGGTTCCTGCATTGATTTATGAGGCTCCCTTTGCCATATGCTAAATTTGACTTTATCCTCACAGCACCTCCCTTATTACACAATGAGGATTCAGGATGTGTGAGATGCACTTCAAATGAGAAGAGAGACATGAGAAAATACTGCCCTACAGGTCCAGAGAGCCGGGTTTCATCCCCACCGCTGTCACAGTGACTGTGTGACCATGCCCAGGTCACCCCTTTTTTGACTACAGCCCTCTCACCTGAGGCACTCTGTGAGAGCGTGAGACTGCTCTTTGAGGATGGAACACCGGTTTAGGATTTGACTGCCATCTCGGGTATATCTAGAGGTAGAATGGCCCGAGAAAACCTATGAAGGCCAACCTTTGAAGGGACAGCAGTCACAGACATGGTCAGAAGGCTCAGGGTTGGGGGTGTGGGTGCTGGAGTCTGGGGGAGGGGGGATGGTGGAGTGTTATGGTATGGAGTGTGAGGGGGAAGTGTGCATGAGAGTGAGAGAGATTGGGTATATCATGTATGTGTATGTGAGAGAAATGGGGATGTGTGTGTGTGAGAAAAAAGGATGGGGAGAGGGAAGGTGCTGAGGTGGTAGGAGAAGGAGAAGGAGGGAAGGACAAGTGGGAGAGGGCAGAGGGAGAAAAGAGGAGGATAGAAGAGGGTCTGTGGAGTATGTAGGAAAGATGTGTGTGACAGCATACTGTGAGGGAAAGAGGGAAAGGGAAAGAGGGAGGAAGGGCAGAATCGAGGGAGGCAGAGAGATGGCAGTGTTAGTGAGTGTGCAGATGTGTGTGACTGCATGTCTGCCTGTGGTGTCTCTGCATTGGGGGTGGCTGTGTAGAGGCTGGAGTAGTATACACAGCCCCTGCCCACGCATTTCTCAGAAACCTCTCTGAGCTCCCTGGAGAGCATCGTTAGGGGCTTCGGGAAATTCTCCCCCCATGACTACCTTTAAAACAAAGCTGGCTTCTCAGAGTGTGAAGGCAGAGGATCAGGACCCTCTCCTGGGGTCCTGCCCCTCTTTTCAGGGCCAGGCTCGTGGGCTCTGGGTGTCTGGAAGTATGACACTAAGCTGGATGTGCCAGTCACACATTAGCTGGGGGTTCTCAGAGCAGCAAAACCTGTGAAGGCAGAAGCTAGAAGCGGACTCACCCTCTCTGCTCAAAGAAGGATGCCATGACCTGTTTATAGCCCCAGGCCTGACAGTCTTCCCTGAAGGGACTTGAGGAATGGGAAGTCAGAGTCAGAGGAGGTATAAGGTCAGCTTGAAAAATCTTGAAAGGAGATTGTAGTGGAAAGCTGGCTTTCAAGGCCTGGCATCCATTAATCCTTTTCCTGGTAAAAGTGTCCCCCTGCCTCCCCTCACCCCCAACTCTTGCTCTCGGGTGGGGCTGACCTCACTCCCAGCTTTAAGAATGGGTCTTGCTTGAATCAGGGTGTCTCCCCAGCCACAGCAATTAGGTGAGGAGGAGACAAGTGACCTCACATCAGACTCGTGTTAGCCATGCTGAGGACCTTTGTTCAGTGTTGGGGAGGGAGGTGGTTTCTGAGGCTGAGTGGCTGAGACACAGAGGGGCCAGAGCTCTGGCAAAGCCATCATCTTGCTATTGTAAGAAGTCTGAAACTGCAGCTCATCAGCAGAAAGCAACAGCAAAAGAACTGAGCCCTGAAGGTATAGTTTGAACTCTGAATCCAGTCATACCTGAATCCAGTCTACTCTTGAATGTCTTCAATTACACAAGCTAATATATATTCCTGTTTCTTTAAGCGAGGTTGAGTTTTCTGTCACTGGTAATCCATAGAGGCCTGGCTGAAACAGAGGGGAATGGGATTCCCAAACACCTACTGAGAATCTACAATGTCCTGGGCAGGAATAGCCACAGGTACCAGAGAAGGAGGTGACTAAACATGAGATTCCTATCCCTTAGGGACCCCTGGGCACTAGGGCAGGCAGATGTCTGAACAAAAATCCAAACTAGCAACAGATGTCCTTGTGCTGCAAAGCAGGGGAGGTGGACAGCATTACTCCAGAAGCCAAGATGGAAGGCCAAAGGCAAGACTGAGGAGTTAGGGCGTGGAGGTGCCATGGTGTAATAAACACCAGCTTTAGAGACAGACAGACCAAGCTCTGAGTTCCAGCTCAGCCTCTTAGTCTCCATTTATTCACTTGCAAAAGGGAAATGGTAACAGTCTTGTTTCATAGGGTTGTGATAAAAATTAAATAATCAGCTATTAAGACTTATTTCTTGAGCACCTATCATGTACCACAAACTGTGGAAAACAAGATGAGCAGAAACAGAGGGAGCTAAATCCAGTGGGGTAAACATCACCAGATGGACATAAACTCACTGGATAGCAGTCTGTGATGATGGAGTTGTGGCATGGAGGGGAGGTCTGAACAGCAGAATAAAATTGGGACATGTGAAGGGGGAGGGAAGGGGAAACTTTCCAGGCAGAGGAAATAGCACGTGCAAAGGCCTTGTGGTAGGAGGTAACAGGAAAGTAGGAAAGACAGAGTGTCCCCCATTATGAAGAGAGAGGGGTGAGGGGAAATATACAGGTGGAAAAGCTGGTGGGCCAACCCTGCAGGCCTTCATTGGATGTTATGGAGTTCTGTCTTTATCTTAAGAGCAGAGGAAAGCATAGATGATTGCCTCTGGATAGTTAGGAGTTTAAAGCAAATTGCTATTGCTGGTTTTGCATCCAATTGCAATGGTGGTGTAGCTAGTCTGAGAACAGACACTGGGAGAGAAGTAAACTATGACCAGCTTGGTGCCTCTCACTTCTGTTTGAAAAATGTTGAGACAAGAATGAGCCCAGGTAAAGTGCACTGCTATCCCAGTGTGAGAGCAGGAGCTGCTAGCTGGGAATGGTAGACTTGGTCCCAGGATCCCCTCACGGGGTAAACATACCTGATAGCAATAACTTAAGCATACCCTTAGAATGACCCTGCATAGCTGGTCTGCATAGTTGGAACTGAATGTATGTTCCAACTAGAGAATCTGGGCATGATCATCCTGGAGATGCATTCCTTGTCTATGAGGAACATCTGAGCCCCTGTTCGGTCCTGTGGAACACAGGCCATAGAGAGGATTGAGGTCTTGGGTTTTGGGTTGAAGGAAGATTGCCAGGTGGTGGTTATTAAGGGGAGAGTGTTAAGTAAAAATGCTATATAAATTTCACGCTGTTTGCATGAAGTTGTGGTTTTTCTGCAAAAAGCCTGCAGCCACTGGGTCACTGGACTGTACATAAGGTGGATATCTTGTCTAGCCCGATGACACTGAACTGCTTCTGTACATAAGTTGGTTCTCCTGTCTAGCCCATCACTACTGGGCTCTCTCTTCTGTATGTAAGTCCCCTAATAAAACCCTATGCTTGTTTGCTGGCTGTGGGTCTCTTCTTTGGCCTCTTGAACCTGGTGCTTCCTTGAGGTTAACAGGGAGGGGTTCAGCACAACAGGGCCAGAGGTACCAGGCCTAGGCTTCAGCTCCCTGGGAGATTCTGGGAGGGAGTCACTACTAAGTACAAATCTGTGATGTACCAAAGGACTTGGACCTCCTGGAACATGAAGCCCACTAGCAGACTAAACTCCTGCGACGGGAACACAGAAGACAGACTAGCTTCTAGAAGCTGGTGGTGGTAACCTCAAGTTCCTAGGTAATCTGAATGAGATGGTGGAAATATTTTGGATTTCAGAGCCAAATAAACTGTTTCAAATCCAAGCTCAGTGCCTTATTTGCTGGGTGACTTGGAGCAGCTAATGAACTTCTCTCATCTCATCTCCTACTATGTAAATAAGGGCCAATACCTACTTTGTTGACTTTCTGGGGATTTGTTGAACTAATGTATATGACATACTTAGCACCCAGGAAATGTACCATGACTTTAAGAACCTTCACCTTCCCTTCACAGGGTTCTGGGTGACCAACCTGAGCCACATGTTAAAAGAGGGATCCTAGACGGTCCCAAGCACTGCCAAAAGCTTCCCAGAGTAAAGCCCTGGATTTTTCCTGAATGCCCCTCCATCAGCTTAAGAACTTGCCTGGTGAAGACAAAGTTCACCTGGGAGAGGGTTTTGGGGAGGCATAGCTATCCCTTACAGTGTGGGTGAGTATCTTTCCCAGCCCTTCCTGGCAATTGCTGTCATCAGGGAAAAGGGAGGGAGCCCAGGAAGCATGCAAAACAGCCAGGAAGACATCTTGGGGGCTTTAGGGTGCTGATGATGAACAAGCAGCAAAAACTCTAGGCAGGGTCTCTGAATCAAGATTTAGTGGCAGCTTCAAAAGCTCAAGGGCTGACTTGGAGCTCCAGATGTACCTCCTTTCACAGTCATCCAGTGTGAGGGGCTCTGTGTCTTCAGAATGAGCACAGACTGGCAGGTTGGGGAAAAAGAAGGTAAACACACACTGCACAAGAGACATTTCAGGACAGAGTCCATTTCAAGGCTTACAGAGCTTCTGACAAGCAATTTATAGCTTGTGAAATGTATTCTAATGTGTCTCTTTGCAATATCATCTCTTTCCATGCAAATTCAATACTTGGCACCATTACCAGGGAGTAGAAAATGAAGACTTCTTTGGGCAATTTTAGTACAGAAATGCTCCTTCTGGGAGGTTCTGGGAAGAGGAAGAGATAATTGAGAAAGAGCATTTATCTTGTTTGAATTCTCCCTCAACCCACCCGGCCCCTGATGCTGCTTGGACAAGAATCCTGCAGTCTAATTTGTAGATCAAATGCATTATTAGATGTGAGAATTAGAAGTGACAAGCAAAATGCCCTGTTGCCATGATGGGAATACTCATTAAACCATTCCTGTCTAGTATTTCAGATACAACACAAGTCAGCTAAGAATATACTCAGCAAGTGTCTGCAAAAGTGTGTGCTTAGTATTTCAATTAGACAACAGGAAGAGGTCTGGGGTGTTTGTGATTTGCCACATGACCATTAAATTTACTATTTACTAGAGAAATCCATATTCTTTAATTTTAAAAAAGTGGCTAGTACTAGAAGGAAAGGTTTTACTAAGGTGAAGCATCTGGCCAGGAAACCCAAAATGTTGGTCTCACCCTCATAGCCAGACCCTCTTCTACTCTACCCTCTCAGTTAATAGTTGACCCCTTCAGTGGCTCAGCTGGGGATAATCCCAGCATAACAGGTCAGTGGCTAGTACTAGAAGGAAAGGTTTTACTAAGGTGAAGCATCTGGCCAGGAAACCCAAAATGTGGGTCTCACTCTCATAGCCAGACCCTCTTCTACTCTACCCTCTCAGTTAATAGTTGACCCCTTCAGTGGCTCAGCTGGGGATAATCCCAGCAGAACAGGTGAGTGGGCCTGATCAAGGCTCAAATGAAGGCTCCAGAGCCACAAAGGAGTGGTGAACACAGAAGGGGCCTTAGGCTGGCTCAGCTCTTTGATGCGCAGAGGGCTGCTTCCTGCTGAGGGCTGCTGTCTTCCTATGGTAGGTGCCACATGTGCTCGCTTGCCTGGAAGCACACATATGGACCTCCTGAAGTCCACACCCAAGAAACCATGACTGAAAGAAAGAAACGGCATCCTCTGCTTCTTGAAGATCCCCCTCTGTTCCACCTGCATGTTGGAGGAGACAGCCTACTTAAGGTTCCACAGCCCACCAAACTACAGTACAACTCAACACTGTATGTCCTCGATACCCATTCAGGAAACATACACCAAGTAGAAGTAGGACACTACTGTTGAGGAAAGGAAGGCACAGAAACACATGCCGCATAAAATGTCAGCATTTACTACCCTTTTATTTCTGAAAGATATTCTGAAATAGCCCTGGACAGAGAAACGCATAAGCCAGGAGGTTTGTTAGACAATCAGTTAAAAGTGAATGAAGCTGTTCATCTGAGTTAGGGTTTCCTTTCTTAAAACTGAACCCTATGCTGTAATGCTTCCAGCTGACTTGCTCTTAGAGGCTAGTAGCCATCCTTCAGCAGAAATGATGATAGGTAAAAATCTAGCTGGCCAACAAGGAACGAGGGTTTTTTCAAGGACTTGAGCCTCACACCCCACACCAGATGGTCACTTGTCATATGCAAAGACAAACTCCCCCACTGCCCCTTCCTTTCCTCTTTTCCCCAACTGTCTTAGGGAGTCCTAATGCTCTCCAATTCCAAGGGCATGGAATGCCTGAACACAATCATACCCTTCACAACTTTGGTGAATTTCAGCACAGAGCACCTGTCCAGCTCCTCACCAGCCAGCACCTGGATCTCTGAGGAATGTGTCACAGGGCTCCGTGATCATCATAATCTTCACAGATGAGGCCCAGAAAGATCAGGGATTTTGTACAAGGTCTCAAAGCTCACCATGCAAGAAAAAATGAACAGAAATAAAACTGAACATGTTGATTATTCTTGATGAAATTTTGAATGCAAGAAGTATTCATGAAGTGTTTTTCAGCATCCAGTAACACCACACTAGATACAATAACTCATAAGAGAGACTTTCCCAAGGTCATAAATAAAAGAATTGAGAGAAGCACTTTTATATTATTAGTAGAGGTATATGCAGTGTAGGGTGTGACTTTGCTTGACCTTTTCCCACTGAAACAGACTCACAGGCTTTTGCATTATCCACATTTACCTTGGCCTAAAGACCCTCTACGTAATTTTGGAGAAGAAAATAGAAATCTATAGAAAATGGTTTTTAAGGAAGCAAATGCAATTCTGCATGAACGATCCATTGCCAAGGCCATTAAAATATAATAAGCCAGCAACATCCAACAGAGAGAGGCCCTTCCCTTGGAACAAACATATAAAAGCTTTATGATAATATTTCTGTAAACCTCAGAAAACCATTCTAGAAAGTCTCATGTCTCCTTTTTGCCTTTGTTTGTTTTTGGCTATTACTTGAGTTAATTTTTTTGAGTCTCAGTCAAATCCAATAAACACTTCTAGCATTTAGGCACAGCCTATCTAGGACTCCAGTTCCACTGCTATGTTACTACTCTCCAGTCTCATGCCTGGAAGAACCTGCATGGAAAGCCGCCAAGCTTAAAGATGGCTTCAAGGGTTGTAAATGAAAAAGGATGATGTTCTAACAGCCTCTGTATGCATCAATTTCTTCAGGTACAAAATTGAAATAATGGCTCCACACACCTCATGGATAGTTGAAAGTTTAAAATAACACAATGCAAGCAAAAATGCTTCTTAAACTTAAGTGCTTAGTAAGGAAAGACTGAATACTTCTTAATAACTAAGAGTCCAGTTTTGGATTAAGTTGGCAGTCAGATACCTACTTTCCCCATCCAACCCTTTCTCCTGTCACCTAGTGTCTCCTGTCATATAGCAGTAAAACTGGAGTCCTAGGTGTGCTGTACACCAGAGGGATCCCAGGCCCTCACATCCATGCATCATCCGCCCTGTAAGCTGCTACTTTCTGGGGCCGCCTCCCTGGGAATGACACCAGCATCTACGCAGGTGCCCAAGCTGCAATCACTCCTGACTCCTCCCTCCCCCACACCCTCTGCATGCCTAGATCTCTCTCTCTCTGTGTCTTACCATTCCTCTGGTTACCACCAAGGCCAAGTCCTCATCCCCTGCCATGGATCACTACAGTGGCCTCCTTCCTGACTTCCTGCCTCCAGCCAGCAGCCAGAGCCATTGTCTTAAAAACATGAATCTGAGCATGCCAGCCTCTGCCAAAAATACCTAATGGCTGTCCTCTGTTCTCAAGATAATCCTACTCCCTACCAGGGCTGAGAAAGCCCTCTGGGGGCTGGGCCCTGCACTTCTTCCCAGCCACAGGCTCCAGCCACAGAGATGGGCTCTGGTTTCCTGGCTCACATACCTAAGGGCCTCTGCACTGCCTGCTGGGTGACCTCCCAGCACCAGCACTAGCTCTGTAGGGTTGGGGCTGATGGTTTTCTGTCTCCCATACTAGACTCTGAGGTCCTGAAGGGTAGGAACCTCATCTATTCAGGTCTGTGTCTTTAACTCAAGCATGGTACCTGGCACAGAGCAGGCACTGGGCCAATATCAGCTGGATGAATGAATAAAAGCTGATTAACATTCAGGATATATTAGGGTAACAATTCCTGGTTTCCCAGTAATGGAGAGATCCACAACTCTGTCCCTCATAGTTGTATTGACTGATCCTTCAGCTTATGTTCTTAGCTCCAGTCCTGCTCTAGGTTCTGAGCCAGTTCTGACTAAAATAAGGAGTGCAGGTTCCCAAGAACCACAACCATCTGAACAACTGAGAAAAAAATTCTGAGGTTTGGAGACTAGTAAAGACTGATGAGTTCCAACATCTGTCCCCCCTCCCCTCCTACCCCTACTTGCTGCCAATCAAAGCAGGTGCCAAAAGCCTTGGGGACCCCTGCTGTCTTCCCACAGCATCACTGCTTATTGGCTCCCAGGTCAACCAGCCCTTGGCCTGGGTCTTGTTCTTCATGGCTGCCCACCTTTTTCTGCACAGAGCCTGGCACTTCTGCCAGCCTCCTTCCTGGTGACTGGGTCTTGCTCCCTCTCCTTTTTATAGCATAGGGTCTCCTGTCTGTCCCCACTTACAAACACAAGACAATGGTGTAGTGAGGCACAGGCATCTTTGTGCCCCAGCAGTGGCACCCCTACCTGCCAGCTGGTCACAGAAAAAGTGATAATCCCTAGTGCAGTCTTCAATCTGAATCTTCCTGTTGTTTCTTGGAAACACCCTACTCCACCCCACTCCACCCAGTCAGTGGTATGCTGAAGCAGACTCGTTCTGGATCCAGAGAGCTCTCTGTGTGCATTTTTTCCCAGCTCTGTATTCAGTGATGACATGTTGGCAGCTTAACAATGTACAAGGTAGTAGTATTTACATAGTGGAAATCGGCAAACACTACAAATCAAAGCTTTCTTTTCCCCTGGAGAACTAGTTAAACATTGGCTACCATGCCACTGATCACAGACTAGCCCTCTTGCTTTGGCTTCTTAACCTATTACATTCACACTAGATAAATGCCCTCTGTAATAGAACTAAAGCCTGGTCTCTCATAACACACTCCCTTCTTGAAGCAGACATTTCAGTTTGTATTCTTTGTTCTGTTGATCTACTTAGCCATCTCACTTCCCAGTGATAACAATAACAACAGCAGCAATAATAATAGGTAACATGTATCAGTGCTTACTCCTGGCCAGGGGCAGGGCTGAGCCCCTTGCATGTGCCTCTCACTGAATTTCATCCACAGCACTGTGAGGCTGGGACTGTTACACTCATCTGACTGAGGAGAAAGTGTGGTTTTGGAGCTTTGTCCAAGGGCAGATGGGGCTGGTGTCAGAATCCACACTAACTCAGCCACACCACTTCCTCATGATAGCCACACTGGGTTGCTTGCCTCACTTCTTCTTGGGACCTCTCTCCAAGGGTACAATCATATCTTTGTTCATGTCCAGCAACAGTTGCTGTGGTAATATGTTCGCCCACGTAGCAGTGGCATGAGAGGAGCTAACTGATAATGCCTTCTGGCATATTATGAATTCCCCAATCACCCCCAGCATTGTCCTGGTCATAGGGCATGGCGCTGGCTTCCCTTGTTCCTACCCCAGAGCTCTGAATGCCAAGCAGCCGCAGTGCCCACCCCGAGAACCGCTTGCTGCTATGTACTACCTGCTGGAATGTGGGGGGCCATGGCTGTCAAAACCTCTTCTCTGAACCCAGTTCTGGAAATTGGGAGCACCCACCATTCATTAGAGGTCCCCTGAAGTAGGTACTGGGTTACCTTGTTTATTCCTCCCAGCATCTCCCTGAACCAGCATTATCTCTGATGCATAGTGGAACTGGAGGACAGAAAGTAAGGGGCTGAGCTAGGATTTAAGCCTGGAATGCCTGCTGATAGGGTTGGTATTCTTTCTGCAACACCAGAGGTCCTGAGTGTGAGGCAGGAGGCAGGTGTCTAAGCAGCCAGGAAAGCCAGCTCACACCGCATGTCCTGAAACCTGGCGAAGAGCAGCAAGGTCTGCCCTGGT
This sequence comes from Homo sapiens, assembly GCF_000001405.40. Classification (NCBI taxonomy): domain Eukaryota; kingdom Metazoa; phylum Chordata; class Mammalia; order Primates; family Hominidae; genus Homo; species Homo sapiens. The sequence continues at coordinate 40,086,508 of NC_000003.12, read as the reverse complement.
GGCTCTCACCTGGACTCCTAGGCTGAGTTACGGCCCCTCCTGTGTTGGAGGAGCCTGCCCGAAGTGCGAAAACCCCTCTACCACAGTCTTCCCATCCCTCCAAAGGAAGCCTCTACAGAGGGAAAAGCAAGTTCATTAAGTATGTTTTCAGGTGGCTGCCAAGAGTAACTGAGGTTACTTACAGAATCACATCCATTGCTTCTGGGTAGTTTTGGAACACCCTGGTTTGAGAGGACCTTTCAGACCGTGAGAAGTTATTGTCATGGAGTCTGGACTGGGGCTCTGCTGGGAAGATGCAGAACTTTCCAAAAGTTTGTAAGAATTTTCCTAGATTTTGAAAATTCTTTAGCAGTTTCTTCTGCTACTGTTTCTTCTAGTTCTCATTCCTTTGTTTCTCTTTTCCTTGCCTTCCTGTGGGTGAAACATTTTTTGGGATCCCATCCTAATTTATTCATAGGGTTTTTTTTACTGTATTTCTTTATATACTTTCTGTAGTGGTTGCTCTTGGTATTATAACACATATCTGTCCCTTATCACAGTACTGTGTGTACATTTTTCCACTTTGAGTGAAGTATGAAAACCTTATTTTCATTTAGGTTCCTTTGCCTTTCCCACTTTTCCATATGATTGTCTTGAATGTCAGATGGGGTTATAATTTTTGTTTCGGTTACCAAATATGATTTATAAAACTCATGAGGAGAGAGATAGTCTATTTTATGTACCCATATTTTTACTCTTCCATTGCTGCTGCTTCCTTCCTTCCTTTCTTCTTCCTTCTTGAGGACACTATAAGCTTTTTCGATTCTTTCCTTACCCACTAATTCCTAAGTACTCCCTTGCTGGGGCTGCTCTGCTCCAGGATGCCTTCTTTTACCATTTCCTCCCTGAGGAAGTTCTTTAGCCACTCTTTAAAAATATATCTGCTGGCTGGGTGTAGTGGTTCATGCCTGTAATCCCAGCACTTTGGGAGGCTGAGGCAGGCAGATCACCTGAGTCAGGAGTTCGAGATCAGCCTTGCCAACATGATGAAACCCCGTCTCTACTAAAAATACAAAAATTAGCTGGGCACGGTGGTGGGTGCCTGTAATCCCAGCTACTTGGGAGGCTGAGGAGGAGAATCACTTGACCGGGGAGATGGAGGTTGCAGTGGGCCAAGATCGCGCCACTGCACTCCAGCCTGGGTGACAGAGTGAGGCTCCATCTCAAAAAAAGAAAACGAAATATATGTATGTGTGTGTGTGTGAATTATATATAATACATAGACACATATTATCTGTGGATATATAACACATAGACACATATTATCTGTGGATATATAACACATAGACACATATTATCTGTGGATATATAACACATAGACACATATTATCTGTGGATATATAACACATAGACACATATTATCTGTGGATATATAACACATAGACACATATTATCTGTGGATATATAACACATAGATATATATCTATCGATATATAACACATAGATATATATTATCTATCGATATATAACACAGATATATATTATCGATATGTAACACATAGATATATATTATCTATCGACATGTAACACATAGATATATATTATCTATCGACATGTAACACATAGATATATATTATCTATCGACATGTAACACATAGATATATATTATCTATCGACATGTAACACATAGATATATATTATCTATCGACATGTAACACATAGATATATATTATCTATCGACATGTAACACATATATATTATCTATCGACATGTAACACATAGATACATATTATCTATCGACATGTAATACATAGATACATATTATCTATCGATATGTAATACATAGATATTATCTATCGATATGTAATACATAGATGTGTATTATCGATATATAATACATAGATGTGTATTATCTATCGATAGATAATACATAGATGTGTATTATCTATCGATAGATAATACATAGATGTGTATTATCTATCGATATATAATACATAGATGTGTATTATCTACCGATAGATAATACATAGATGTGTATTATCTACCGATAGATAATACATAGATGTGTATTATCTACCGATAGATAATACATAGATGTGTATTATCTACCGATAGATAATACATAGATGTGTATTATCTATCGATATATAATACATAGATGTGTATTATCTATCGATATATAATACATAGATGTGTATTATCTATCGATATATAATACATAGATGTGTATTATATATCGATATATAATACATAGATGTGTATTATATATTTTATATATTATATATTTCTACATTTTACATATATAATATATATATAATATTTATGCCAATGACAAACTTTTAGTTTTCCTTCTTCTGAGAATGTCTTTTTTTTTTTTTTTTTTTTTTTTTTTTGAGATGGAGTCTCGATCTGTTGCCCAGGTTGGAGTGCAGTGGTGTGATCTCGGCTCCCTGCAAGTTCCGCCTCCCGGGTTCACGCCATTCTCCTGCCTCAGCCTCCTGAGTAGCTGGGACTACAGACGCCTGCCACCACACCCGGCTAATTTTTTGTATTTTTCGTAGAGACGGGGTTTCACTGTGTTAGCCAGGATGGTCTTGATCTCCTGACCTCATAATCCGCCCACCTTGGCCTCACAAAGTGTTGGGATTACAGGCGTGAGCCACCGCGCCCGGCCGAGAATGTCTTGATATTCCTTTCCTTCCTGAAGGAATGTTTCCCCAGATAAGGAATTCACAGTTGACCATGCTTTTCTTTCAGCACTTAAAAAATATTGTGCCACTTCCTTCTGGCCTCCATGGTTTGAGATGGAGAACTCTGCTGTCACCCTCATTGATCTTTCCCTGTAAGTAATGCATTGTTTCTATGTGCTTTCAATTTTTTTCTTTAGCCTTTAGAAGTTTAATTATTATTTGTCTTGGCATAGATCTGGATGTATTTGCTTTTCTATGTTGTGTACCAGGTCTGGTATCTAGGGAGTCCAAAAGGCAGAGACTCTTCTCTGATAATTCAGTATTCTTCTTCCCTTTGCCCCTTACCACCTATACTATGCTTTACTATTACTGAAGATGGAAATTAAGATGAAGAGAAGGGGAAAAAGGAAGAAGGAAGAATAAGGAAGAAAGCAATCTTAGCCACATTGGGCCCTCCAGGACTGTGCTTCTTCCCTTCTGGCCTCCAACACTGACAAATCTACCTTTGTCTAACCAGCTCCCCAATCCTTCAAGAGGAACTATAATGCCACATCTGTCATCCCTACTGTCTGAATGAAGACCCACTCACAGCATTAGACTTTCAGCATTCCCTGACTGGAATCACACAATAATCTGTTTGTTCCTTCTCTAGGCCATGAGCCCCACAGACATAGAATTATGCCTGTTTTGTTCATATCTGACTCCCTAATTCTGGAATACAGTGCACAGCAGCCACTCATTAAATAGGTGTTGAATGAATGACTAAATTCCTGTGAGCTCCCTCATGAGCTAGCAAGAGATTTTGTTTTCTAATCTTGGCTAAACTCAAATGTCCGTTAAATGTAAGATAATGCTCAGCTTCTTTAAATTTGGCTCCCCACTCGAATGATCCAATATTATTCTGGCCTATTTTACGGGTAGAAGCCTTGATTTTCACCTGATTTTATCTTATTAAGTGTCTTATTACAGAAGGAGTTATGGGACCATTTCCCGAAATTTATCTGCAAAAGAAATGCAGTTGCCTTCATGAGCATCGAGATGAAAAATGTATCCATTACACATGCCATTTCCTTCATGATTAGGAGGCCCATTTAAAGGAGCCATATCAGGACGGTGAAAAAGTTAGTTTCTGTTTTTGTTTTTCCTCAGCCATTGTAATTAGCAATAAGATTTATGCTTTAAATAATCTGGTAACTAGGCCCTAATGAGAATTATAAAGTTCCTGAGTTCTATGCCTAATGATCACAGGAAAAGCACACAGAACACTAAATGCTAGAGAGATGATTTGTTGATTTCTGGCCCAGAAAATAAATAATCTTGGAGTTCATTATTTTGGGTAATTAAATATAAATTAAGCCATTAATGAAAAACTTTACATGAAAAAGACAGGTGTATGAAATTTTGAATGTGATCAATTGAATGTAGACTTCTCAGACTGGCAGGGAGCACTGATTTCAGCCACCAGCTCCCGCAATGGTGAGGTTCATAAATGCCAGGCTGATTCCATATCTTGGCTCTTGTGAGTAATGCTGTGATGAACATGAGAGTGCATTTATCTCTTTGATACACTGATTTCAAATTCCTTGGACATAGATCCAGAAGTGGAATTGCTGATCACATGGTAGTTCTATTTTTAGTTTTTTTGAGAAACCTCCATATAATTTTACATAATGGCTATACTAAATTACATTCTCAACAACAGTGTACAAGGGTTCTCTTTCCTCCACATCCTTGACAACACTTGTTATCTTTTGTCTTTTTGATAATGGCCATTTAGTAGATAAAGAAAATGTGGTATATACACATAATGAATGCTATTCAGCCTTAAAAAAGAAGGGAATTTTGTCATTTGCAACAACATGGATGACCCTGGAGGACATCATGCTAAGTGAAAGAAGTCAGCACAGAAAGACAAATAGTACATGATCTTGCTCATACGTGGAATATAAAACAGTAGAACTCATAATAGCAGAGAGTAGAATGGTGGTTAGCAGAGGCTGGGATGGGGGCATGGGGAGATGTTGGTCAAAGGGTACATAGTTTCAGTTAGACAGAGGGAATACATTTTTGAGATCTACTACACAACATGTTGACTATAGCTAATAATATACGTTGTATTTCAAAATTGCTAAGAGAATAAATTCCAAATGTTCTCACCACAAAAAGTGGTATGTGAGGTAATGAATATATTAATTAGTTTCATTTAATTATTTTACATTGTATACATATGTCATAACATCACATTGTTAGGTTGTCATTAAAAGTAATGGCAAAAACCACATAGGATAGGCTATATAGCAGATTAAACACAACTTGACAGAATTAGTAAAACGAAGGACAGATGTAAACAAATTATCCAAAATGCAGTGCAGAGAGCCAAAGTGAAAAAGAAATATATAGCAATTCTGAACTTGTATGTACCTAATAACTTGACCTCAAAATGCATAAAGCATAAACAGACAATTGCAAAAGGAAAGAGACAAATTATTGTTAGGGTAGATTTTGAAATGCCTTTTTCAGTAATTGATATAACAAGCAGTCAAAAATTGAGGAAGAATATAGAAGATTTGAGCAGCACAATATCAAGCTTGATCTAAAGATCATACATAAGACACTGTACTCAAAAATTCATGAATATATATTCTCCTCAGGCACCTGTGAAATACTTAGGAAAGTTGACCATAACATGGGCAGGTAAGTCTAAATACATTTCAGAGAAGTGGTATCATACAGGCCACAGTCTCTGAGGACAATGCAATAAAGTTTGAAATCAATAGCAAAAAGACAATTAGAAAAACCTCATATTTTGTTAATTTAAAAATGTGTTTTTAGATAACACATAGGTCGAAGAAAAAATCAAACTAGAAAAGAATTGAATGATAAAAAGACTACATCTAGTTACTATGATATATAAAGAAGAATTTAGTGAGAAAAGAAGAAAGACTGAAAATAAATAAGCTAGGTATCCATCATCAGAAATTAGACAAAGAAGAGTAGAAAAAGCCCAAAGAAAGTAGATGGAAGCAAAAAAAAAAAAAAAAAAAAAAAGAAGTTAGGATAGAAAACAATTATTCAGTAGAGAGAATCTAGCAAGTCAGAAATTGGTTTTTTGAAAAGAGAAAAAGATAACTCCCATCTTAAAAAAGAAAAAAAGAAGGTATAAATACTAACAGGTATGATACTAGAGATGCAGACAGATGCATACACACTTAGAGAATAAGATGATATTATAAATAAGTTTGCAAATTAATTGGAAAGTTAGATAAACAAATTCCTAGAACCTGTTCCTTACTAGAAACCAACTCAAAATAAAATATTATAAATTAAGGAACAACTAATCTAATTTTATATACACTTTTTTTCTTTTTTTAGAAAACAGGAAAAGAAGGCATAGCGCCTTACTCAATTTATGGGGATAGTGTAACATTAATACCAAAAACTAAAACCTGACCAAGAAGAGCAACAGATTTGAAAATTATAGGTCAATCTCACCTGTGAACATAGGTACAAAAATATTAATAAATATAAGCAGAGTATAAAAACACAATACACAACCAAGCTGGGTTTGTGCCAGGAATGCAAGTTAGTTTAATTTTTAGAAAACTAATTAATATAATTCACCAAGTTAAGGGAGAAGGAAAACTATCCACTCATGTTAAAATCTCTTGGCAATGTAGAAATAAAAAAGAACTTCTTGATTCTGGAAAGGAGCTTTTAAAACTCCCTACAGCCAATCTCACACACACTAGTGAAATGGTAACAGTATTTCCCTTAATATCAGGACCTTTCCAAGGTTGTTAGTGATGACTAACATGTTATTCAGCTTTCACTGGAGATTTTAGCCAGGGCAATAAAACAAGAGAAAGAAAAGAAATGTATAAGGAAGGAAGAAATACAATTGTTTTAATATGGTAAAATTAGTTTCTTAGAAAACCTTGAAAAATCTGTATATAATTAGAATTAATTTTTTAAAAGGAATCACATATGCTTCACAGATAGTCAAAGTTATTTTGTATTGCAATGGAAATATCTTCTCTCATGCAATGCTGTGAACAATGCTATACTTCCAGCTCCCTTGGCCCCAGCCTTCTGAACTTGGCTAACTGGTATGAGTTTATAGCACAGTTTAGCCAGCATACATGCATTTTCAGATCCTGTGTTGGTTTTTGCAAAGGCTCTTGGAATGGAATGTTCAAGAATCACACAAAAAGAATGCACCTAGGGAATGCATGGAACTTCGACATTCATTGCTTTCTTGTGTACAACGAGGAAAAGTCCTGATTGTTTTAGCACTCATGTGTGCTCTGAAAGCTGAATGTACCTACTTTAAGGTTAAGGTCTGGGCTGTCTCTGACAGAGGTGTGAGCTGCCAACAGGACTCTTTAGTCCAGTGGATTTAACGGCAACTGTCCCTGATGAAGCTGCACTTCCCTAATTCAGCGTAACAACTGTGTAGGTCACAGGCCCACTAGACACTAAAAAGTTAGAAATATAGACCAAAGATGGCTTGTCTGTTAGTGAAAGGGGCCACCTAACTATTAAGATACCACATAGCCCAGTTGCCCAGGATAGCCTTGGTATGGCTATCAGTCCAGTGTAATGAAGGGTGCTCCCTTTTACTCTCAAGTGTCTAAGAAGGCTTAAATGGTAAATCGTGTGATCTTCGAACAGTCAACTTCTAAGTACCACATTTAAAATCCCTTCATCTCTACTGACAACAAGGGAGCATATTTTTCTAGCTTCTCTTTCCTCTTTCTGGGGTTTTCACTGCTAAATTAGGAAATCTAGTCCTTTCCCCTTCTAACATCCATCACGTTACTTGGCCTCACCTCCAGGATTAAGGAGCTCCAAATGATGTGGAAATGAAGTGAAACTGGAGAAGGAAGAGGGTCTGGAGGGAGTCGGTTTTGTGGTCTCTGAGCATATTCCACTTTCCAAAAGAACTCCAAATCATGTTTTGACAGGTGGAAGTCCCAGCACTCCCCTGTCTCCTTCAGCAGAACGGGCAGTCTGTGGCATCTCTTAAAATAGGGCTCTTTTCTCCAGAGCACAAGCCAATTCTTGGCAGAACAACCTGCCTGCTGCAGCATAAGAAGTGATTTTACAAGTGCTAATCTGGGAGGCTTGGGGGTGAGGAAAGGAGAGGAGACCACTAGTCTCTCTTACCAGCAGTTGAGGAGCCTGCAGGAGGCTCGTCCATATATAAACTTTGGGAGGAAGAGAGTCTTGAATTCAGCAGTGTTTGGGATAGGTACACTCAAATTTCTAAACTGCATTTTAAAATGTGGTACCAAAATCACAATTCCAAAGGGCTCATGGTTTTATCCTCTAACTGAAATGAGAAAGTCATACAATAGTGAGAGGTGACAGCGTGCTGGCAGTCCTCACAGCCCTCGCTTGCTCTAGGTGCCTCCTCTGCCTGGGCTCCCACTTTGGCGGCACTTGAGGAGCCCTTCAGCCCACCGCTGCACTGTGGGAGCCTCTTTCTGGGCTGGCCAAGGCCAGAGCCGGCTCGCAGGGAGGTGTGGAGGGAGAGAGGTGCGAATGCGAACCGGGGCTGCACACAGCGCTTTCGGGCCAGCTGGAGTTCCGGGTGGGCGTGGGCTTGGCGGGCCGCACTCGGAGCAGCCAGCTGGCCCTGCCGGCCCTGGGCAATGAGGGGCTTAGCACCCGGGCCAGCGGCTGCGGAGGGTGTACTGGGTCCCCCAGCAGTGCCAGCCCACCGGCGCTGCGCTAGATTTCTCATCGGGCCTTAGCTGCCTTCCCGCGGGGCAGGGCTCGGGACCTGCAGCCCGCCATGCCTGAGCCTCCCACCCTCTCCATGGGCTCCTGTGTGGCCGACCCTCCCCAACGAGCGCCACCCCCTGCTCCACGGCGCCCAGTCCCATCAACCACCGAAGGGCTGAGGAGTGCGGGCGCAGGGCGCAGGGCGCGGGACTGGCAGGCAGCTCCACCTGCAGCCCCACCTGCAGCCCCGGTGCGGGATCCACTGGGTGAAGCCAGCTGGGCTCCTGAGTCTGGTGGAGACGTGGAGAACCTTTATGTCTAGCTCAGGGATTGTAAATACACCAATCAACACCCTTTGTCTAGCTCAGGGTTTGTGAATGCACCAATCCACACTCTGTATCTAGCTACTGTGGTGGGGCCTTGGAGAACCTTTATGTCTAGCTCAAGGATTGTAAATACACCAGTTGGCACTCTGTATCTAGCTCAAGGTTTGTAAACACACCAAACAGCACCCTGTGTCTAGCTCAGGGTTTGTGAATGCACCAATTGACACTCTGTATCTAGCTACTCTGGTGGGGCCTTGGAGAACCTTTGTGTCCACACACAGTATCTAGCTAATCTGGTGGGGCCTTGGAGAACCTTTGTGTCCACACACAGTATCTAGCTAATCTGGTGGGGATGTGGAGAACCTTTGTGTCTAGCTCAGGGATCGTAAATGCACCAACCAGTGCCCTGTCAAAACAGACCACTAGGCTCTACCAATCAGCAGGATGTGGGTGGGGCCAGATAAGAGAATAAAAGCAGGCTGCCCGAGCCAGCAGTGGCAACTGGCTCAGGTCCCCTTCCACACTGTGGAAGCTTTGTTCTTTCGCTCTTTGCAATAAATCTTGCTACTGCTCACTCTTTGGGTCCACGCTGTTTTATGAGCTGTAACACTCACCGCGAAGGTCTGCAGCTTCACTCCTGAAGCCAGCGAGACCACGAACCCGCCAGAAGGAAAGAAACTCCGAACACACCCGAACATCAGAAGGAACAAACTCCAGACGCGCCACCTTAAGAGCTGTAACACTCACCGCAAGGGTCCACGGCTTCATTCTTGAAGTCAGTGAGACCAAGAACCCACCAATTCTGGACACAATAGTACATGGTAAGCTGTCATATGCAATGAAAAAGGGTTAACTATGTTTCCTTTTTCTAACTTAAAAAATAGCATTAGAGTTCTGAAATACAGAAAATTATGAAGAAAAAGGCCATAATCTCTGGTGTTGTAATTTTTTGCGTGGGAGGGTAAGGTAATACTTTCACGTGGTTTATGTCACAGAGCCTGCCAGCTGACCACCAAAATCCCTTCTACCCCTTTTTTCTAGAAACAGAATTTTAGCCATGTGGCTGCCAGTCCCCCTTTGAGCTAAGCATGAGAGGGTGATTATGCTCTTAACAATGGAATGGGAGCACATATGATGTGTGCCTGTTTTGGGCCAGGCCCTTTGTACAGAAGGTGGTCCTCCTCCATGCTCTCCTCCCCTTCTCAGAGGCTTAAACCATAGATGGCCTGGGCATCAACAATTAGATGATAAAGCCCTAAGGCACCTGGCTGCACAAGAATCTTCTGGAGTAAATATTAGTGCCTGTGCCCTGGCCCAGTGATTCTGACTTAATTGATATGGTTTGTGGTTGGGCAATGTGATTTTTTTCCAAAGCTCTGCCAAGGATTCTAATATGCAGTCAAATGTAAAAACTATTGCCCCTAGGGGATGGCAGAGCTGTGGGGCCTTGAGTGACTGTATGGAACATATACATACTGGCCAACCTGGAACACTCTCCTTGGACTTCCCTGAGAAAGATAATTACTTTTCTGTTCTTTAAATCACTACATTTTGGGAGTTTCTTATTTTTATTTTTTGAGACAGGGTCTTGCTCTGGTGTCCAGAGCAACACTGGAAAGCAATAGTGCAATCACAGCTCATTGCACTTCAACCTCCCAGACTCAAGTGATTCTTCCACCTCAGCCTCCCAAGTATCTGGGACTACAGGCATGCACCACTATGCCTAGCTAATTTTTGTATTTTATTTTATTTTTTTAGAGATGAGGTTTTACCACGTTGGCCAGGCTGGTCTCGAACTCCTGGGCTCAAGTGACCCACCTGCCTTGGCTTCCCAGATTGCTGGGATTACAGGCGTGAGCATGCCCAGCCTTTGGGGTTTCTTTGTCATCACAGATTAGCTTTCCTGACAATACAGTTAGGCAATTCAAGGAATACAGACAAAACTGTAAAATGAAGATGACAAGTCTCTTCCCCTCCACATTTAAGTATTTCTATGCTTTTCCCCCACCCTCCCTGTCTCCTCATTCCCTCATTTACTCCACCCCCTTTCTTCTACAGAAGAGACCATACTACACACTGGCCTATGTCCTGCATTTGTGCCATTTAATAATAATGTATAATAATTAATATTTACTGAAAGATTATTCTGTGGTGGCACTGTTCTAAGCATTCTATTAAGTTATTTAAATCTAACAATAGCCCTCTGAGATGGGTACTACTGCACACATTTTACTCAAGAGGATTGAGGCACAGAGAGGCTGAATAACTTGCCTCATATTACACAGCTAGTAAATGGCAAAGTTGGGATTTGCACCCAGGAGGTTTGGCTCCAAAGCCATGCTCTCGCCCTTCTCCCATCAGGACAGGTGGATCTACTTCAGTACTTCATGGAATGGATGTCTTAATTTTTAAAACTAGTCCTTGATTAATGAACATTTATATAGTTTCCAGTTTTTCTTAGGCATTAGAAACAATGCTTTAATAAGTACTACTGTACTTATTTGTATCTTTGCCACTCTTTTGTAAGTTGGTCAAGTTTAATGAATATTTAGAATTGGAAAGTATGTGTAAACTGTCCTCTAAAAGTTTGCACCACTTATCTTCCCAGTAATTGTGTGATAGATTGCCTGTTTTCCCATATACATGTATCAATACTGGATGTCATTAAACTTAAATGTTTTGTTAATTTTATAGATGAAAAATGATTTTTCATTTTTGTTGTATTACTTCAGTTATAAAATATCTTTTCTTGTGATTTCCTTGCCTGTAACCTACTTATTTCACATGTCCTTTTTCTATTTTAGTATCTTTGTTTTGTATTAACTTTTATAATTTTGAGGAAACTAGCTCTTTGAATTTGTATCATATGCAATGGAAAAGAGTCTTAATTTGCAGTTTTCCTGATAACATATGATGTGAAATATCTTTTCATATGCTTATTTGACATCTACGTATCTTCTTTGGTAAGGTGTTTGTTAAGGTCTTTGCTCTTTTAAATTAGGTTGTTTTCTTATGGTTGAGTTTTAAGAGTTCTTTGTATATTTTGGATAGCTCCTTTATCAGATGTATGTTTTGTAAGTATTTTCTCCCAGTCTGTGGTCTGGTCTTCTCATTCTCTTGAGCTTTTCTGCTTAAATTAATTAATTTCTGCTTTCATCTTTTATGATTTCATTTTTTCTGCTTTCCTTGGGTTTATTTTACTGTTACTTTTTGAAGTTACTAAGTTAGAGGCTTAGTTCACTTTTCGTTCTTCTTTTATATTAGTAACATAAATTTAATACTATAAAATTTCCTCAGAGGACAGATTTAGGTGTGCTCTATATTTTAATTTTAATATGTACCATTTAAATTTTCTCTATTTCTTAAAAATTTTGCAAATTCCTTTGTGAGTTTTTCTTTGACATAAGAATGCATAGGTAGGAGTTTCTGTCATGCCTGTAATCCCAGCACTTTGGGAGGCCAAGGTGGGCAGATCTTGAGGTCAGGAGATCGAAACCATCTTGGCTAACACGGTGAAACCCTGTCTCTACTAAAAACACAAAAAATTAGCCAGGTGTGGTTGTGGGCACCTGTAGTCCCACCTACTTGGGAGGCTGAGGCAGGAGAATGGTGTGAACCCGGGAGGTGGAGCTTGCAGTGAGCCGAGATCGCGCCACTGCACTCCAACCTGGGTGACAGAGCAAGACTCCATCTCAAAAAAAAAAAAAAAGTTTCTAAATATTCAAGCAGAAATATTTCAGTCTTAAAATGTGCTACAGACTAAACTACTAGTTGCTAAAGGAGTACAAGAATGGAAAGAGTATTGGGTTCTAATTCCAGATTTCTATCAACTACAGTGATTGTCATGCTCTTCTTTGGACCTCAGATCTATACAGGTAGAGAGTAGAATTGAAAGGTCCTTAGTGTTAGAGTAGGCAGATAGCTAGACATAAGCAGTAGGGGGAGCCCCTGGGGGCGAAAGCTCTGGAAAACCTCACGCCTCAGAGACCAACCAAAACATGCTGCTAGATATGAGCAGAGAGGTGGGAAACTACCTATGCAGAAAGGAATGTTCTGAAACGTCCCTTAAGATGCCCAGTAATCACTTACTCTGTAATTAACTTGTCAGAATATAGCTACATGCTAATAAGAAGGGCAAAAGGGAAATTTCTAAGAGATACGCAGAGGCAATAAATACAGATTTGACTGCTAAAGAACCTTCCAGGGATGGTGGTAATGAGCAACACCGTCATTAGGTAGGATTCGTATTGATCACTGAGCCCCGCAGCATGCGCATCAACAGAGAGTAAGGCAGAATCCTACAAACTTCGGCAGGAACTAGGTGGGGACAAAGGTGGAGACTTAAGACAGAATTGGGAAACCAGATAAGCAAAGTCAGAGACTTGAAACAGAGGCAGGAAGAGTCCGACATAATAAAAACCCGCAGTGCAGAACTCTTGGGGCTGCTCCCAGCCAGGCCAGCCCACTCTCCCACTCTTCTCTTGGAGTGTACTCTTATTTCCTTAATAAACCTTTTGCTTACTTTACTAATTGGTCTCTTGGTGGAATCCTTTCCTCCAAGAAGACAGGAACACAGAACCCTCATACTTCTGGTAACATTAGGTTCAATCTCAGTTTTTAAAACCTACCAACTCATGTAGTTGTGAGAGTCAGGATAATTTTAGCTTCTCCTTCAATTTGTAACCAGTCAGAATTTTCTCAGTAAAAAGTTCTAATTTCTCTTGTACGTTCTATCAAAATGCCAAATGAGAAAGCAGGTCCCAGCCCTGGAACTCAAAATATGAATATTTTTAATATACCTTTTTCAAAAATGATGCAACACATAGATTAAAAGATCATAAAGAATATAGGAGAATGTAATATCATTAATAAACCTTGCCTATGGATGGATGGATATCTGTATCTCTATTTATGTCTCTATATCCAACAACTGCACAATATACATTTTTTTTTAAAAAAGAACACACCATGTTTACGAGAACTAGCAGTATACTGGACCACAAAGCAAGTCTCAAAACATTTCACAGGATTGAAATAATACAGAAGAGTTCTCTGATATCTATTCAATTAAGTTAGAAATCAATAATATAAATATAACCAAGACATCTCCACATGCTTGGAAAGTTTAAAAACACACTGCTAAATAACCCACAAGTTAAAGAAGAAATCACAAAAGAAATTTGAATATATTTTGAATTGAGTGACAATAAAAATATTACACATAAAAATATATAGATGTAGTAAAACAGTATTTAGCAAAAACTTACTTTTTAAAATGCAGGCTGGGCGCGGTGGCTCATGCCTGTAATCATAGCACTTTAGGAGGCCAATGTGGTTGGATTGCCTGAGGTCAGCAGTTCGAGACCAGCCTGGGCAGCATTGTGAAACCGTCTCTACTAAAATACAAAAAATTAGCTGGGTGTGGTGGTGTGCGCCTATATTCCCAGCTACTCAGGAGGCTGAAACATGAGAATTGCTTGAACTCGGGAGGTAGAGGTTGCAGTAAGCCAAGATCATGCCACTGCACTCCAGCCTGGGTGAGAGAGCGAGACTCTGTCTCCAAAAAATAAATAAAAAATAAAAAAATAAAATGCATATAATACAGTAATAAAGGTTAAAACTTAGTGCACTAAGCACCTATCTTGATGCTTGCCCCAGGCAAGCCCTACAGCCTACTTTCTGCATCCGGCCCCTGAGCCACTGAATAAACTGCAGAAAAATCACACAACCAAACTGGGGGGTTTCCCATTAAACAAGCACCACAGACTTTGAATGGCATGCCATTCTGACCAGAGATTCCTTTGTGTTTGTCTAGCAGAGAGTCTGGCCCTCATTTCTACTCCTAGGTTCAGATTTAGGTGTCCCAACCAGAGAACCGGCCAGCTCCCTCGTGACCCTGCAGGTGCTGTGCCCTGTGAAAGGCAAGAAATGATATCACCATGCCACACCCCAAAGCAAATAACCAATACATGACCAATAAAATCCTTGTTTCCTGAGACAACTCTTTTATATGTCCTGTCTTCTCAAACTTCCAAACTACCCTCTGTGAGAAAATGAGGCACCAAGTGGGAGTACCTCATCTCTCCACCCCAACCTCCCCAGCATCTGCATCCTGCTCGCAAACCTCTGAAAATACTGGGAACATTCCCTTCCATCAGAAGCCAGGCCCTCACTCCTGCTCTGAGTGAGTCCCAGCTCCTTAGATTCCTAAAAGCCTCACACCTAGAGTTGACCCTTGTGCCCCAATCATCAATTGCTCCCTTTCTACTGAATCGTCACACATGTTCTAAAATCACACATAGTAAATAAACTGTCAGCCTCTCCTTGACCCCACAACTGTCCCAGCTTTTACCCCATTCTCTATGGTCAAACTCCTGAGAAGAGCCATCAGGATAGACTGCATTTCCTCATCTCCCATTTTCAGCTCGCCTGTTTTCATTCCTGACCTGCCATCCGTCCCAACCACCAACCAGTGCACCCCATATAATTGTCTGAATCCCCTGATCCAGCCATCTCTCTGATGGCTCACATTCTGACCCCAACTCCAGCAAGATTCTTAGTTTACCCGATGGGCCTGAGGGACTTCTGCATCCAGGAGATTACGGTAGGGAACAAGTCAGGTCAGAACAAGTCAGGGAGATGGCTCCTACTGCAGTTGAGGACATCAAAATGACTCTCTTCTTCCTGTGCTTTCTTCCCTACCACAGATTCTTATGTCAAAAGGCAAATGCATCTTGCTTTGGCTTTGCCTGACATCTTGTGTGACTCACTCCATGTGGGAGGTCTCACCCAGGCATGGGGAGCCATCAGTCTGTTGGTTTGTGCTTTAAGGTATATGGAGCTCACAATAATCCACCACATAGAATGCCCTTGCTGGGGGAAGACACTTTTTAGATGCCCAACATCTCTCAGAAGCTGGACTGCAGAAAATGATATGTAAGGATGTTAAAGGACATGGAGCCTAGATTTCTTGCTCCTGAATCTAGCCTGATCATCAAAAGCAGCAGTCCCCAGCCTTTCTGGTACCAGGGACTGGTTTTATGGAAGGCAACTTTTCCATGGACCAGGGTGGTAAGGGGGTGGATGGTTTTGGGATCAGGCATTAGATTCTCATGAGGAGCGTGTACCCTAGATCCCTCGCACACACAATTCACAATAGGGTTTGTGCTCCTATGAGAATCTAATGCCATCGCTGATTTGTTAGGAACCAGGCTGGTTCCTAACAGCTTGCAGACCGGTATCAGTCTGGGGGTTGAGGACCCTTAATCAAAAGCACTAGGCTATGATTTGTAATCTCACTGAGGGTAAGAATTATACCTCATTTGCCTTTGTAATCCATGCTCACAGGTGACTTGGTGAACTATTGTTAAATGACTGTATAAATGAACAATGTCAATATAAGCCATGCTTCCTTGGCCTCACTCTCAGGCCTTTTTTAGAGCTCTTGTGGAGTTACGCTTTTTAAGGAGCAGTCCTGTGAAATACTATGAGGCCATTATCAAGGATACAGTCCCCCACATTAATGTTTCCCTGCAAAGAATGAAAGGGAGAAAAATCTTTCAGAATTAAAGTGCCCTGAAATACTTGCTTTGCTTGGAAGTCAGTATGTTCTCTATAAGAATTATGTAATTGATCAAGTATTATGTTCTGTTTTGGGCATTAAGGGACCCAGATATAAATGTGTGGTCCAATGTCTGAAATTGTGTCATTCACAGCAGGGTGCATTTTTGAATTATACTTAGTTTATATTTTTCTTCTCCTATTTAAAAATTTATGTCTATGTATCTTTTCATGTTAGTAAAGGTCTCTTGGAAAGATACTGCGAACCACTTTAAGCATAAGCTGGGGTAAAATTTAAATGTTTAAAATGTATTTGGTAAGACAGGGGTCCCCAACCTCCAGGCCATGGACTGGCTCCACAAAAGCTCAGTGGCAGCATTAGATTCTCCTAGGAGCACGAACTGGTTGTGAACTGCATATGGGAGTTTCATTCTGAAACCATCCCTCTCCGCACACCGTAAGTGGGAAAACTGTCTTCCATAAAACCCGTCCCTGGTGCCAAAAAGGTCGAGGACCACTGTTGTAAGACACAAAAGGCAAACTACTGTATGATTCCACCTATATGAGGTACCTAAAGTAGTCAAATTCAGAGACAGAAAGTAAAGTGATAGTTGCCAGGAGCTGGGGGAGGAAAGGAATAGGGAGTTACTATTTAACGGGCATAGAGCTTCAGTTTGGAATGATGAAAAATTTCTGGAGATGGATAGTGATGGTTGCACAACAACATGAATGTACTTAATGCCACTGAGCTGTACATTTAATAATGGTTAAAATATTCAGTTCTATGTTATGTATATTATATCACACTTTAAAAAGCAAAAAAAAAAAAAAGTATCTTGCGAAATTTGGCCTTGAGGTAGGTTGGATTAGAATCTGTTGTGAATTTTTGTTTTAGATGAAATAAGCACATGAAAAGTACCTGAAGAGTCATAGTAAATACAATGACAGTAAAGATAAAAAGTAGGTGGTGGTGCGTAGCTTCTGTACAACCACTGCCAGGATATGGGGGGAGAAGAGATGTGCAGGTGCATCCCCAAAACATGTGGTGACATGTTTCTCTCCCAAAGGAGTAGTGTTACTGAACCCACTTCTGAGACTACAATCCTTTTGTCCCATGGGTACCAGCTACCAATCTACTCATTTATTTAGAAACACAGGACCATACTACTACTTATTTAGAAACACAGGGCAAGCCAGGCTTTGTTTCTTAGATGTGTTTTGTGTCTTAATACAATAAGGGAGTGGGTGAAGATGGGGCTGTGCCTGGGTTTTGTAGCTGGTGACGCAGAGCAGTGTTTTCAAGCCCAGTGTCCACAAAAGCATGATGAATTCACAGGCTTTCTGATGGCGTGCAGTGGATATGAATGTTCCGCCCTGCAACTGTCAATACAAGCCTGAACAGTGCTCTCCATGGGAACATGTAAAGACAACATGCTAAAATATAAATGACAAATGGGGAAACGGGTTAGAACTGAAGCCAGGGATGATGTACCTTTTCCTCTTGTTTACCTCTCTGGCTCAGTCAATCAATGTAGCCCAAGAGGGCTGAGACTGGGGAGTTCTGTTCCCTTTTCTTGTGCATAACTTGAATGTAGTATCCTTGATTTGTATGTGTTTGATTCCATTTCATATCTCCGTAAGTTGATAAAAAGATTAATGAATACAGTATTTTGTATAGAATTGCTGTTTGGCTTTCAGGGCTAAATAATTTTTGCTGGAAGAAAACTATATACAATACATCCTTAGTGTAACTCTGGTTCCAGCTTCACAAATCTGACACTATATCCTCAACCATCTCAAGAGGCTAATAAGATATTTTAAGGAAGCCAGAGAAAAACATCCAAAGTCCTGGAAATATTTAACTCACCTAGAGCAAAACATTGTTTTACTCCCAGAAAAGTAGTTAGAATTTTTTAAATGAGAGAACTTGACATTGGTGTGTTTGTGCTGAAAGTGATATTTATTGCTGGTGGCAGAATAAGTTCATGTAATTTTGTGAGAAAGCAACATAGTACTATTTAAGAAGAGCCAAAAATATATACATTCTTTGAACCAAGACTGCTACTTGTAGAGTTTTTCTTAGGAAAATAACCAGAAGCAAAGGATATCTGTACAAAGGCATTCATGGGAGCACTGTCTATAGCTGCGAAATAAAAATGAGAGAAGAAACGCCCAATGTTCAAAATCATGAAAATGGGTTAATACATTGATACAATATCATGATAGACTATTAAATATGCATCTCAATAACTATGGCTATTGTATAGAAATATGGATAGGAGTTGATGTATTTATGTAAAATGGTAGTAAAAAGAAGACATTACCATTTAAAATATGAGGTTATATGGATGATAACACGTAGAGATGACAATAACTCTATCAAGGTGATAGGATCATGGGTGATTATTCACAATGCCTGGCATCTGATAAGCACCTTATAACTGTTAGCATTGAAAATGTTACCATCTCTTAGACCTCATTTCAGGGTATCTCGTGCGTACCAGAAACAGAAGTTAACTTTCTTGTGGACTAGCTCCTTCTACACCAGTGGAAAAGCTAACTAGGTCTTTCTGGGTAGAAATAAGGCCTATCCTTCATTCTGAGTACAATACCTAGCTTGACTCAGGAGATCCTCACCCTCCTCTGTGCTCACAGAAAACCCACTCAGTAGAGTCTACTGTTGCCACTCAACAGAACCCTCCTGGTATTTTGGAGGGAACAGATCTTCTTGGCCTGCGACTGGCCCACATACTGCAGGATGCCTGGCCCCACTGCACCAGAGGTCAGTAGTAACCCCAGTCATTGTGATAATCAAAATACTCTCAGAAAAGATATTTATGAATGCCCTCTAGACAATTAGATTGAGCCCCTGAAAACCACTGAGTCTTTCTCCCACCCAGACCTCATTCTTGCTTTACAACTGCACACAGCCTTTGCTCAAATCCACCCATGGGTAGGTAAGTGATGCATTTCTTCCTGAATGCTTGCTTAGTTCACATAATTTCTAAATTGCAGATGTGAGTCTAGTTCTCTTCTGGGAAGCCTAGAGTTAGAATCATTATTTACTATTCTCAACTTTAATAATCTCTGACAATCAATAGCAAATGCTTATTTATGGCCTAGTTATAGGAAATTTTTTCTGAAAAGTCATTATAGGTTTATGAATAACAGTCATTGTTTTCTTGATTCTATATGTAATAAATATTGATAGTAAAAGCTTTGGAAACTATAGAAAAGCAAAAAGGACAGAAAAGCAAAAAGGACATAAAAGTTGCCTTCTACATGAAGAAATACCAGCTTTTAAATTTAAACATATATCCACAAATATGTCACTCATTCACATATTTTCATTCATGTTGTAGTATAGAGGGACAGTTGGTAAGATTGTGCTAAACACAAGGGAGCAGGAATGTGAACTGCTGAAAACACCCTAGACAACTTATATTTTAATCATTCATTTGCTCCTATAACATAACCTGCAGCCTTATCCAAGTGAGCAGACTATATTAACTGTAAATTACTTGGAATACAGAACCTTCTCTGTAGTAAGAGTCCATTGAGTAAATTTTAGGATTTCAATTCATTAATAAAAAAAAATTCAACCAGGATATATGAGTCAGTAATCTGACATACATTCAAACTAGAGGTACAACCTTAAGGGAATCACAGCTTTTCATTTGTGTCAGGAGTTTTAAGTCATAGACTAAAATTGTTATTAAAGTGTTGAAACCAGTACTCATCTACAACCTTAATTCTACCTTAAGCAAAAACATTGCCAACACCCTCTGAACAGGAGTGGGGATGCCACATAAATAAAGGAAAAAAAAAGTTTTCTTCAGATCTCAAGATTGCTTTGTCCCCCAGAAGTGCAATTTGAGGAGAGGTTCCCCTTAACATATCAGGATGGTCTTAATGGACCCCAGAAAGTTTGCAGTCTGTGCATATCAGAACTCCCAAGACAGAATCTTCCATATTCACCTGATACAAGGGCAGTAAAAAGTTGCAAGTTGGTGTGGGGAGGGTGGTGCACAGCAAAGGACTTCCTGGGCTCATCAGAGAGGTCTCCTTCTCCTCCTCCCACCTCTATTTCTCTGAAATGACGAGCAACACTGAAACCCTAAATCCAACTCTTCTTCCATTATGGCCTCCAGGAGGCTGTGCAGAAGGTGTGGGGTCCTTCTTCGTCACAGCAAGGCCTATTTTTCCTAGAGTTCATGGCAGGAGCAGATCTGAGCTATCAGTACAGCTAAGGCATCACTCATCCATTTCTCCAGTATTGGCCCC
This sequence comes from Homo sapiens, assembly GCF_000001405.40. Lineage (NCBI taxonomy): Eukaryota > Metazoa > Chordata > Mammalia > Primates > Hominidae > Homo > Homo sapiens. The sequence continues at coordinate 40,065,942 of NC_000003.12, read as the reverse complement.
ACCTAAAACAGTTGGTGGACTGAGAAACATAGTCCAGGCTCTGAGACTTCAACTCCACATTTGCTAAGCATCTACAGTGTGCCAGGCATTGTGCTCGAGCTGTGTTGGGTACAAAGATAAAGAAGACCAGATCCTGCCCTTCAGGACATGGTAGAATGAGGTTCATCCATGCATTGAGATGGGGGACAACAGAGCCACATGCCTCTTCTGGGTGTAACGACATAAAATGGAAGATTAATTAAATGCTTTCTAAGATTAAAGCATCTACCTCTTGTTTTAAAACTGTCACCTTCTCACTGATGCCCATGTCACATGCCTATGTAACATCTTCCTGTGTATTTGTCATTGTTTATATCTCTTTCTAAAGTCACACCAATGCCAATTCCAGACTAACATCCTGAAGCTCCAGTTTTGAGGGGTGCAAGCTGCAAGACTGATATCAACATCCACCAAATACCACTGATGAGTGGCAAGTATTAAAAAAACACAGAAAATCCCACAGCATGTTGTGGGTTGAATTATGCTTCTTCCCTCCCCAGAAGAGGTAAGTTGAAGTCCTAACACTGAGTAGCTAGAAATGTGACCTTATTTGGAAATAGGGTCATTGAAGATGCACTTAGTTAATGTGAGGTCATACTGGAGTAGGGTGGACCCCAGTCCAATATGGGTGTCATTATAAGAAGATGGTCAAAGGCCGTAGGAAGACAGAGACACACAGGGAGAATACTATGTGATAACGAAGGCAGAGGCTAGAGTTACATGGCTCCAAGCAAAGGAGCACCAAAGGTTGTCAAACCACCAGAAGCTGGGAAGGATCAAAGGATGATTCCTCTTACAGACTTCAGAGAGAGCATGGCCCTGCCTGCACCTTGATTTCAGATTTCCAGACTTCAGAACTGTTTTTTAACCCACCCAGTTTGTGGTACTTTATTATGGAAACCCTAAGAAATGAGTACGCAGGGTTAAGGTTACTCATCTGTAGGGAACGTGGAAGTTTGTGGGTTATTACTCTCGAAATATCATTTAACCAAAGGTCACAGTTATCCAGTGTTCCCCTCCTAGAAAGATGCTCCTTTGACACACACACTATGGTTTCCCATCGCTTTTAACAGGGTGAGGAATTAAGTCCCAGGATGAGGATTTTCTTCTCAACTCAACACAAGCTCATTTTATCACTTTTTATAAGCAAGACCAACACCTACCTTCATGGGGCTGTAGGAGCCCCTGCTAATGAAGTCAGGAGAACAGATCATCAGCTCAAGGGACAGAAACGTCAACTTCACCCAGGCATCCCAGGACCTCCGTGGCTTCAGGACACTGTCCTTGCCTGTCTTGCTATAGAGCAGTGTTTCATAACCTTTGTTTTACATTGTTGCCTTTTCAGACATTTTCCCCCTAATTACCCCCTGGATAAAATTTTAATACCACAGTTATACTGTCTACCTTAAGCACAACAGAGTGGGGATATGAACTGCTGAAAACACCTTAGACAACAACTTGTATTTTAATCATCCATTTTCTCATATAGCATCATCTGTATATATGTCTCTGCTTTATAGATAAAGAGAGCAAGGTTTTTTTTTCTCCCTCCAAAGGCCACTTTTTGCCCCCTTAGAGGAATATAATCCTGTTGAGAAGGCACACCCTAGAGTCCAAAATCTGGGTTTGGATCCTGCTCCTGCCCTTACTTGGAAAATTACCTTGGGTAAATTACTGTCTCGGTGAGCTCAGTTTCCACAACTGTAAAAGGGGGGTACTGTCCACCTGACGGGACTACATATAATAAGGTGGAGAATGTTGACACCTAATCAAGATTACTCTTCTCCCATCTACTCTCTGCTTGCAGCCTAGATTCAGCCCTCAGAAGTTAGTCTTGCCTAAACTTGGCCCAGGCTTTCAAGTCTGCCCCTTCTTGCTCTTTACTTTATATAGCCTGCCCTTCCCTCCTGTTCTCACCTGCTGTACACTCTTCTCATGGAAGTCCAGCGCATGCATCCCTTCCCCTGGGACACTTGTCATGTTGTTGCTCTAGCCACTGGGCTCCCTGAGAATTTTGCAATCTCCGGCAGAGCACTCTTTACTCCTCCACAACCACCCATGCACAGACCTTTTTCCACAAAAGCTTCCATAAGCATGAATAGTGATCAATTCATCTCTTTAACCTTGACTATTAATGTAGGCCTGGGAACTTGCTGAAAGAGTGAACCAGTTGTTTTTCCTTATAAAAGAAATTTCAAGGAGATCAAAATTCCCACCTGGTTTGTTCCCCCAACATAACTGTCATGTAAGCTATGCAAATATGCTTCAAGAAGAAAAGAGGAAAAGAATATTACAAGTAAAACACAGACCAACAATTTCTACTTCCAAAATTATATACAAAGATGCAAGTGAAAATTTGAACAAACCATTCTCCAGAAAATTGTTGATGGGCAGTAAGCAGTTGATAGTACTTTAGCATAGACCTTTTGTATAGGTCAAACTCAGTAAGCATTCATAGAAGAAATAAGTAATAAATATGTTGCTTTACTACTGGATATGTCAGTGTGTATTTCCAAGAACAAGGACACTCTCTTACATAAACATGGAAAATGATCAATTCAGGGAAATTTTAAATTACTACAATACTATTCCCCTACTATCCATAAACAAATATTTCCAACTGTCCCAATGTCCTTTGTAGCTATATTCCCCTACCTTAGGAGTTGATCAAGGATCAGGCAGTTCATTTAGCTGTCATGTCTCCTTAGTCTTCTTTAATCCAAACATTTTCTCAGCCTTTGTCTTTTGTGACATCAACATTTTGAAAAATTTAAGCCAGTTTATATATATGTATTTGTTTGATGTTTCCTCAAAATTAGATTTATACTGAAATTTGGACAGGTGGATTGTCTCTCATGGTACATAAGCTTCACACCAACATCTCCTAAATCTTTTTTTCCTTCAAATTCTTTAATCTAGTCAAGAGATTTGGCAGTTGTACAGCTTTTCCACTAAACAGCCCTGTGTAACTTGGGATTTTTCAGGCACACAGTAACTTTCTTTGACTTGCTACATCTTGGTGTATAAAGACATCTCAAGAGCTAATTATCCAAGGTAAGGTAATGAAAAATGGCACACGATGCTACCAGCACAAATAACTCAGTGAAGTGATCATTTCAATAATAGATATTTTTCACACAAGGCCAAGTCAACAAATGAACAGGCAATTATATTTACAATTTATTTTTTCCACGGTGCCTGGCAAGTATATTTTTGAAGACCCATCCTGATTTCAGAAACGTTAAAATGTAAAGCACAGTCATTTTATAATCAATTTAATAGAATCCAGAGTTAACCTTATCTGATTATTAGTCAAAATTTGGGTGCCCATGGATTTTGTATGGGTCCTCCTACACATTACACATATTCTAGAATTTATGTTTTATTTAAAATGAAATATATTTGATACAATATTTATACTAATCTTTTAATATCTTTTAATGTTGTCTTTCTCATTTTAATAATAAGTAGGGCTTTCAGAACTAAGGCTGCACACCTATGACCATCTGATCTTCAACAAAGCTGACAAAAACAAGCAACGGGGAAAGGACTTCCTAATCAATAAATGGTGCTGGGATAACTGGCTAGCCATGTGCAGAAGATTGAAGCTGAACCCCTTCCTTGCGCTATATATGAAAATCAGCTCAAGATAGATTAAAGAGTTAAATGTGAAATCCAAAACTATAAAAACCCTGGAAGACAACCTAGGCAATACCATCCTGGACACAGGAACAGGCAAACATTTCATGACAAATACACCAAAAGAAATTGCAACAAAAGCAAAAATTGACAAATGGGATCTAATTCAACTTAAGAGCTTCTGCACAGCAAAAGAAACTATCAGAGTAAAGAGTCAATCTACAGAATGGGAGAAAATTTTTACAAACTACGCATCAGAAAAAAGTCTAATATCCAGCATCTATAAGGAATTAAACAAATTTACAAGAGAAAAATAAATATCCCCATTACAAAGTGGGCAAAGTTCATGAACAGACACTTCTCAAAAGAAGACATACATGTGGTCAACAAGCATCTGAAAAAATCCAATATCACTGATCATTAGAGAAATGCAAATCAAAACCACAATGAGATACCATCTGACACCAGTCAGAATGGCTATTATAAAAAGTTAAACAAACAAACAAAAAACAACCCAACAGATGCTTGTGAGGTTGCAGAGAAATGGGAACACTTATACACTGTTGGTGGGAGTGTAAATTAGTTCAGTCATCGTGGAAAGCAGTATGGCAATTCCTCAAAGAACTAAAAACAGAACTACCATTCAACCCAGCAATCCCATTACTGGGTACATACCCAAAGGAGTATAAATCATTCTACCATAAAGACACATACACATGTATGTTCACTGCAGCACTATTCACAATAGCAAAGACATGCAATCAACTTAAATGCCCATCAATGACAGACTGGATAAGGAAAATGTGGCACATATACACCATGGAATATGATGCAGCCGTAAAAAAGAACAAGACCATGTCTTTTATGGGAACATGAGTGGAGATGGAGGCTATTAGCCTTAGCAAACTAACAAAGGAACAGAAAACCAAATACCACATGTTCTCACTTATAGGTGGAAGCTAAATGATGAGAACTCATGAACACGAGGAAGGGAAAAACAGACACTGGGGTCTACTGGAGGGTGGAGGGTAGGAGAAGGGAGAGGAGCAGAAAGATAACTATTGGGTACTGGGCTTAATAACTGGGTAATGAAATAATCTGTACAACAAACCCCTGTGACAGAAGTTTACCTGTATAACAAACCTTCACATGTACTCTTGAACCTAAAATAAAAGTTAAAAATGAACACAAAATTGTTCTTTCCATCAAAAAGTAGGGCTTTTAGAAATGCATAATATAATGAAGTTTTTAATCAAATATGTCAATAACAACATCAATATGCATATCCTGTTGAATTATAATGAAAGCACATCCAATTCAATTATGAAAACCTATACATTTTTATTTTGCTTCTTTAATATAAAAATATCTAGGTCGGGCGTGGTGCCTCATGCCTGTAATCCCAGCACTTTGGGAGGCCGAGGCAGGTGGATCGCCTGATATCAGGAGTTCGAGACCAGCCTGGCCAACATAATGAAACCCCGTCTCTACTAAAAACACACAAAATTAGCTGGGTGTAGTGGTGGGCGCCTGTAATCCCAGCTACTAGGGAGGCTGAGGCAAGATTATTGCTTGAACCCAGGAGGTGGAGGTTGCAGTGAGCTGAGATAGCGCCATTGCACTCCAGCCTGGGTAGCAAGAGCGAATCTCTCTCTCTCTCTCTCTCTCAAAAAAAGAAAAAAAAAGAAAATCTAATACCCAAATCCATAATGTTTTCCAAGATGTAACCATGGCCCTCTAAAATATTCAAGTATAACCATACACATGTCAGCCTTATTCGCAAAATAACCACCAACAGAATATATGCTGCCTTTTTTGTCAGTGTTTTTCCTTTGAAATAAGAAAAAAAAAATCTGAGTTCAAGCAAAACATAGTCCACAAACTAAAAGTGGCAGAACTCTCTTGGTTCATCAATATCATTTATAAAGAGGCATTTAGACAAAGGTTTCTGGTTAAAAATGATAGAGTAAAGGCATCACTGCCTTGCTGTCCTCTCTGAAACCATCCAAGAAGAACTCACAGTTCTCAGGCAAAATGATCAGAGCACAGAGTTTCCCAAAGCAGGGGTCACCCCTGAGGGACAAAATTAATGACACCTTGTAAAATTTTTTTTTTTAAAAAGACTCAATTTTTGATGTTTGGCAGTTGACAGCTTTGAAGCCCTATCTCTCTTCTTTCTCTTGCTTTTGTCCTATATCTGGGCAAGGTGGTAAGAAAGCCCACACACTCAAGTCCCACACCACATGCAGAAAGCCTTATCCCATTCCACTCCCTAGTCACTGTAAGGGCCCAACCCATTCTCTCTGCCTTGCTTGTTATCTGGACTGGCATGAGCCTTCCAGTTTGCCTCACAAAGTCCCATCATGTGAATAATGAACTTTTTCATATCCTCTTAGTGGGTTTGGAGTTGTCATCTCAACATGGAAACTAATTTTGGATGGAATGTTGATCTGGCCCTTCACGGGGCAACCACAAAACACCTGGCTTAGACCAGTATCTAAAAAGGAGATGAAGAACCCAGTCTGGAAGTTAAGAAAATCCAAGAAAAAACAAAAGAAAATTCCTCTTGAGGATTTCGCACTATGGAAAACCTAATAGAAACATGAACTCAATAAGGCAAGGGCTCAAGAACTCAAAGACAAAGTGTCTTTGAAAAGACAGATCACCAATCAAAGAAACAAAGAAAGACATTTATACGGCCAACAAACATATGAAAAAAAGCTCATCATCAATGGTCATCAGAGAAATGCAAATCAAAACCACAACAAGATACCATCTCATGCCAGTTAGAATGGTGATCATTAAAAAGTCAGGAAACAACAGATGCTGGAGAGGATGTGGAGAAACAGGAACGCTTTTACACTGTTGGTGGGAGTGTAAATTAGTTCAACTATTGTGGAAGACAGTGTGGCAATTCCTCAAGGATCTAGAACCAGAAATACCATTTGACCCAGCAATCCCATTACTGGGTATATACCCAAAGGATTAGAAATCATTCTACTATAAAGACACATGCAAACGTAAGTTTATTGCAGCACTATTCACAATAGCAAAGACTTGGAACCAGGCCAAATACCTATCAATAATAGACTGGATAAAGAAAATGTGGCACATATACACCACAGAATACTATGCAGCCACAAAAAAGGATGAGTTCATGTCCTTTGCAGGGACATGGATGAAACTGGAAATCATTATTCTCAGCAAACTAAAACAGAACAGAAAACCAAACACTACATGTTCTCACTCATAAGTGGGAGCTGAACAATGAGAACACATGGACACAGGGAGGGGAACATCACACACCGGGGCCTGTTGGGGGGTGGGGGGCTAGGGGAGGGATAGCCTTAGGAGAAATACCTAATGTAGATGACGGGTTGATGGGTGCAGCAAACCACCATGGCACATATATACCTATGTAACAAACCTGCACGTTCTGCACATGTATCCCAGAACTTAAAGTATAATTTAAAAAAGAGAAAAAAAGAATCCGTATAGACATATTGAAAGTATGAAACCACCATTAGTGAATACAACCCAAGTACCATGTTCAAAATGGTGATTATCTCTGGGGGAAGGGAAAAATGCAATTAAAAAAGAGGACTCAGGGGCTTCCTTAGGATAGATAATGTTTTAGTTCATAATCTGAGTGAAGGAGCCATAAGTATTTGTAATCTCATTCTTAATTCTCTTGGTATAACTTTATAATTGCATAGCAAACTTTTAAAAATTGCACATTAAAGAAGACATTCATGTAGTCAAGTTAAAAAATGTTAGCTATATAATATTAACTTAGCTTGATGATTAAAACTTTTGAGCAGAAAAAAATGAAATGCCTATTGAGATACAGTACAAATAGTTTTCAATTGATGTTTGTCTTGAAGCTATAGTCTTCTACACATATTTTTTAGTTTCTAGGGACTTCAAAACTTAAAGTAATACACACTTAAGTTTATTAGATGATGACTTGAGTCTTAATATCCTCAAACATTCACTGTATGATCCTATGAAGTCTTTCAGAAGGTACCTAAGTCTCCTCATTCACCAATTCCCAAGTGGTGGTATCTTTAACTGCCTTAGGTCAATGCTGGGAAAAAAATTATGGGAATTAATTATAGAAATTAAATTGTTTGCGTGCTAAAAAAGAAGTACTACACATTGAGAAAATGGTTTCATAATCATAAACAATGATATGGTGCTAAATATTTTATAAAGTAAATACCCATGCAGCAACTTCAAAATGAAAACATCATAGTAATAGCTCTGAGTCATTGCAGCTAAGTCATTGCTAAGTGATTTTTGTGCTGTATCCCTCTTTTCCTCTACAATAATCTTTTGAGGAAAGTACTGTTACTTCCAAACTCAGAAGGGTTAAATAACTTGTCCACCATCACCCAGCAAATAAGTGGCTAATCCAGCATTCAAACCCATTAATCTGTCTGATGCAGAGCACATGAACTTAATGCATGGATATAGGATGGAAAAGAACCCCAAAAGAAAGCAAAGCCCCATCCCTTCCTCTGGAAGATGTTGCTAGCAGAGGAAAATTCTGGCCTTCCCAAAACACAAGTTTCTAGTGCAGAAGATCATTACCTTTTTGATAACATATTTTAGGCTCCATCATTCCATGTGTGCACCACTAAGACAGAGAAAGTATGAGTTCTGGGACAGGGGTGGTCTGTGAGAAGCCACTGGGGCCTCTGAGCAGGACTTGCTGGGAGTTACCAAGGCATATGGTGCCTGTTCTTACAGGTCAGCATCATTCTCCTATTTTATGACATACGGAGGTTGTCTAGATTAACGTTAGCTTCTAATTGCTGTTCTAATTCATTCAAGGGCTCTGATGTGTTAGAAAAGAGATATTTTTCATTTCTTCTTTTTAACTTCAGCCCCTTTGAAATACCAGCTGCCTTAGTTCCAAAATGCAATCCCAGTAACAAGCCGGCTTTGATGAGTCAGGCTGAGGGAAAATGTGAAGAACACCCTGGCTCTTGGCAGCTTTTGACATAGGACTGTTTAGGCTTCTCCAAAATCTTAATTGAGGCTCTTTTTGTGAATCTGGAGCTTACCAGAATCTAGTAGATAGGGAACCAAGCATGAAGGTGAAGGGAGGAAAGAAGAGAAGGTGTGGAAGGTGGTGGGGGTGTTGAGTTTCATTCCAGCATAGTCCATAGATGCTAAAGGGCTCTTCTTTAGGGCTCCTAGAGAAGCCGGCAACACTGTTACTATCACATCAATAACAGCAGTAATTAATAAAAGTAACTGATATTCACTAAACACATAAATGTCAGGTACTGAAGCAAATTTCCTTGATTTAATCCTCACAACAACTCCAAGGGATGGGCACTGCTACCCCTACCCTTTGCATAGTGAATGGTGGATTTCAATTCAAGTATTTAATTCCAGAGTCTGTAATTCCAACACATACCACAGACTGACAACTTCGGGAAGGTACCCAACCTGCTTCATTTTATAATGCGCTATGGATTTTTAAGTTAATCCAATTCCATCTATTAAACTAAAGCTCCTTAGTGAAATCTAATCTATTAATTAACCTAAGTTATTTAGCTTATTTGTGCTTAAGTTTCTCTATAAATATAATGGAGAAATAATAGTACCTACCTCGTGGTATAATTATGCATATTTAAAGAGTTAATATTTATAATGCTCTTAGAGCAGTGCCTAGCACATAGTGGTTGTTAAATAAAATTCTCTCTAATTAAAGCTTGCCCCTACAGCAGCTGGGAAACAGCCATGTTTATCCAGAAAAGAAAACCATAAGCCTCGAGAAACTGTGGTATGGGAAAGACTCTGAGAAGAGACTCTAAGAGTATACTTGCTGTGCTTAGGGTTGTCAAGAAGTGGGATGCAGGCCTCCAGCTTGAGGCCAAAGGTCTAAAATCAGCAAGTACTTAGCTGAAAACCAACCTGATAAGTTCTCCCATGTTCTCAATCAGGAAAACTGATAGTGAAGTTGGAAGCTGTAGAATAAACACTGCTAGGAGGCAATTGAATCACAAGATATGTGTGGTGGTGGCAAGGGAAGTATCCCCTTGCCCTAACTAGCTTCATATTTAATTACATCCCAAGGAACGGAAAGAATGCCCAGGCATGGTTCCCAAAGCAAGCTGATGATCTTCAAAGAACCACACAAGCTCGCTAAAGAGCCAGGGATGCCTGTCACACGTGCTGGCTAAGCTTTTACCACTTCCTTAGTGGGGAAGAATTAGATGTTAACATCAAAACCCCTCTGTACACTAATTAATATTTGTTGAATTACAATGATGTTTATGTGAATGCTAATAATCATATATGGTTTAGTTCATGGCATGGATTTAGTCATTTTCGATTAATTCTCTTATTTCTGTATTATCTAGTTAAAGAAAACCTCCAGCTCGTGTTAAAATTGGAATCTATTGTGGGGCTCTCAGCTTACCCTTGCTGTCTAGATCCTGGTCCAAGACTGGCCAGAGTAGAGGAGCTATGTTCCTTAGTAAAAGACATTGTAACAAGGTTTGTTTGGCCTGGATGTAACTCCTCAACCAAAACATATGAAAACAGTAAAGTGCTATGGACAGATGAAAAATGATTACAATGGGGATTATCTGTTGTAAGGCCTGTTCATGTCCTTGGTATGGTATGGCTGAGTGATGAGAAGCAAACCAGAGAGGTGGGCATATTCTTCCTCCAGAAGTCATCAAACATCTGAGTCACAGGTGCTTTTTATGTTTTTGGCTTTTCTCCCGCCTCAACTCATGACAAGCTGTTCAACTGTTGCCTCAATTTTAAAGAGCATTTTCTATTGATTTTTCTCCCCTAATTTAAAGGTGTTATCAATTAGGGGCTAAATGAGGAGCATTACCTATGATGGCAGTTTGTTTTCTATTTGATAGCCTTTTTATACTGGCACTTGAACAAAAGATAAACTTTCCCATTTTATTTTTTCCCAAAAACCTTAAAGCACATTTGTAGCATATCTAATACTGCAGCTTATTATATTTTCAGAAGTAGTTTTCATTGTAATGCCACTAAGATATATCAAACACTGGTGTGATTGGTGGGTATGTACTTGATTGATTATATGATAAAAAGGTGGTGCTAAGGAAATGCCTAAAGGCCTCAAGACTGGGTACAAACCTAAATACCAGAGTGTAAAGCAGTTAAATATTTGTCATTTTTTCCCTACCATGTAAATAAGCAGAGTCAGTGATGACATCTGCTAGGCTGGTGACTGTTAAAAGAAAACAGAGCTTAAGAACCCATGATTTCTTATTACCCTAATTGCTCCAAGGCCAAAAAATGTGGCCCTCTCAGTAGTGTTCCTTGGTCCATGAATCTATAGTGAGTTAATAAGAACTATGCTATTAGCCAGTGTGATGTTTTTTCAGTTGCTAAAATCTCCAGTAATTTGAAAATATGCCTTGCGGCAGACGATGACGGTTGCCAAGGCATCCACTCCCCCTTCATTCTAGCTAACATCTAGCTAAAGTGCCAGAGAGAGACATTTATTTTAAGGAATAGGCTTATGAGATTGTGGAGGCCAGCAAGTCCACACTTTGTAGGGTGGATGGCAGGCTGGAGACCCAGGGAAGAGTGGATGTTGCAGCTTGAGTTTGAAGGCAGACTGCTGGAAGAATTCCCTCATCTTTGGGAAGGTCAGTCTTTTTTCTCTTAAGGCCTTTAGTGGATTGGATAAGGCTCACCCACATTGTGAAGGGCAATTTGCTTTACTCAAAGTCTATTGATTTAAATTAATTTATCTAAAAAATATTTTCACTGCAACATCCAGACTAGTATTTGACTCAATACCTAGGTGATATGACCTAGCCAAGTTGACACATAAAATTAACCATCATAGTCCCTTATGCAAACAAACTCATGTTAATAAAAACCTATGGTGATCAGGCTATAAATGTATCCTAAATGCTCAGATATTGTGGACATTACAGATTTAATAAAAAGCCTGTCAAACTTTGTATACCAAGGTAAAGCTTCATTTTTCTTCCTCTTTTAAATCCTATTAAAAGATGAATTGGGAGGCCAATGAGTTTCCAAAATAACTTAAAGATTTAATTCATGCACCTCATGTGCAAGGTCATGGTATATACTTTCACTAAGAACACAGACTTCTAAGGATTCAATCATTCAGTGGATACCACCAACTCATCCTCTGTGGTCCAGATAGGATAAATGTTAGAGCTGAAAGGCCTCAGGTAAGATGAACTTAAGGCAGCCAGAGTGACAAAACAGTTAGCGGGAGTGCCAATGCTATACCCATGGGCTGTGAGGCCACTATGCTGTGTTGGGGCTGTGTTCCCTGATGGTTACTCCCCTGTTCAGGTCTGTTCTCACTACTACAGCTGCTCAGGAAATCCAAGTGTGCAGTTAAGTGCCTTGTAGACACAAGTGCCTTCAAGAGGAAGCAGAAATCACCACCATTCTTTTGAGGTGAGGGAGCACAGGCTGGCTATTCCTCTAAAGACTTAAACTAGGGTGCAGGGCCTGGTTGAGTAAGGAAGCCTGTTGAGCAGTTGAAGGCAGGGGACCCAGAGGCTCAGGCTGTTTTCCTGAGGATATTGTAAGGAGACTCCTGAACTTGGGACTAACAAGGTGACCTTGAGACAACCACATAATCATTCCAAGTTTCAGACTTCCCTGGCCCTACACGTGGTTTATCACTTGCCCTTCACAGAGTTCTTGTAAGGATTAAATGAAACAACTCATCTGAAAAGACAAATTCAATCCCATACCCATAGCAAGTCCTCTTGATACATTTATTTGTTCTTTAATCTATTGATATTAAAGAACTAGTGAATGGAAAATATGTTTAGCTTTCACTGGTGGCAATTTAAATTTTAAAGAATTCCTATCCACCTCATGGTCACTTAGGGTCACTTTGACAATGATTCAGATTGAGCTCTGTGGTTACAGTCTCTGCAGAGATCTGATTTAGACAGGGCAGTATCTTAACCTAAATTGCCCATTAATTGGGACTTCAAAATACATGTCCCCTTCAGTGGCTCCATTATCCCTGGGAAGCCAGGTGGTATCAGCCCTGTGGCTTAAAGTGGGGCAGGGATGGGGGGAAGGGCAACACTAGGCTGATAAAGGAGAGGATTTTGGAATGGGGAAGAGAGAAGGGAGCAAGTCCTACATTTCTTTATGTTTATTTATTCCTGGTTATAAAAGCATGCATGCAAAATGTGGAAAACTTGGAAACTAAATGGAAAATAGAGGTAAGAAGAAAATAATCCACAAGCCTAGCTCCTAAAGAATGATTACTCCTAATATCATTGATTGTATATTTCCTTTTCTATTTTTCTATGTTTTCCTTATTACATAGTGATTATATGTACATTTTGCATTGCAGTTTTCAATCTAACATTTTAATATAAGAGTTTACCCATACTAACAAAACATGTACATTATTTTAAAGGATTTATCATATTGTGTCACGTTGAATGTGTCCTAACTTACTTCTACCATTTTATTGTTGAGCATTTAGATTATGAATATTCTTTATATTACAAATAATTCAGTATAACTCATTTTTGTACAGCATTTAAAAAATTATCTTACATCATCAGTTGTAGGTTTTCAAACATGAAATTACTGGGAAAAAGAGTGCTTGGATATGCTAAAGGCTCTTGATACATGATGGTAAAATGTTGTGCCCATTTATACTTCCCCAGCAATGGAAAAGAGTGCCACTAATTTAATTTAAAAAACTACTTGAAGCATAAACCTCTATTCCCTTGATTTCTAATGAGGTTCAATATTTCCCCATATATTTGTTAACTTGTGCATATTCTTAGCCCACGGTGATAATTGTTTAATGTATTTTTCAAAGGATATTACAAATACATTGGAGTATCTCTAAAGCATACTGTGGAATAAAACCCTGTCACCGGCAGCAACATGGATGAAACTGGAGGTCATTATATTAAGTGAAATAATCCAGGCACAGAAAGACAAATATTACATGTTCTCATTCATATGTGGGCGCTAAAAAAGTGGACCTCATGGAGGTAGAGAGTAGAATTTCGGTGGTTACCAGGGGCTGGGAAAGGAAGTGAGGAGGAAGGGATGAAGAGAAGTTGGTTAAAGGGTACAAAAATACAGTTAAATGGAAGGAAAAAGTTATAGTATTCAATAGTATAGTAGGGAAATTACAGTTAACAACAATTTATTGTATATTTCAAAATAGCTGGAAGAAAAGAATTGTAACATTTTCAACACAAAGAAAAGATAAATGTTTCAGGTGATGGATATTCCAGTTACCCTGATTTGATCACGACACATTATATACAGGTATCAAAATGTCACACATACCCTCAAAATACATACAACTAAGATATATCAATAAAAATAAATAAATAAATAAAACATACTGTGGAGTTTATTCCAAAAGGACAAGATGCAATTTATGAGGTATGTGGGCTGTGTGAATACCAAGTAATAAGTGACTAGATAGAAGTAAATAATACTCAATTCCAAGGAAAAAGAAAAGAAGCCTTAAGTTTTCTTAGAAAAACCAAAGCAAATGCCACAAGCTTAATGAGCTGTGTTTTGATTTCAGTTCCAAGAATAATTTTTCTCCCATTCACTGAAAACAATTTTCCAAATTGTTCTGTGTTAAAGGTAATGTAGGCACACCTTGGGCATATTGTGGGTTCAGTTCCAGACCACCACAATAAAGCGAATATCACAAAAAAGTGAGTCACACAAATTTTTTGTTTCCCAGTGCATATAAAAGTTAGATAGACTATACTGTAGTCTATTAAATGTTGTGCACATAAAATTTATGTTTACAACATTCTGTAGTCTTTTAACTGTGCAACAGCATTGTGCCCCAAAAATGTACACAGCTAATTAAAATACATTATTGCTAAAGAAACACTAAAAATAATCTGGGCCTTCAGTAAGTTGTAATCTGTTTGTTGGTTGAGGGTCTTGATGTCGATGGTTGCTAACTGATCAGGGTGGTGGATGCTGAGGTTTGGGGTGGCTTTGGCAGTTTCTTAAAATAAGACAATTATGAAGTCTGCCATGTTGAATGATCTTCCTTTCATGAAAGAGTTCTCTGTAGCACGTGATGCTATTTGATAGCATTTTACTTACAGTAAACATTTTTCAAAGTTGAAGTCAATCCTCTCAAACCCTGGCTACTGCTTTATCAACTAAGTTTATGAACTATTCTAAATCATTTTTTTGTCATTTCAACAATGTTCATAGTATCTTCACCAGGAGTAGATTCCATTTCAAAAAACCATTTTCTTTGCTCATTCGTAACAGGCAACTCTTCACCTGTCCAAGTTTTCTCATGAGATTGCAGCAATTCAGTACACTGTCAGGCTCCACTTCTAATTCTAGTTCTCTTGCTATTTCTATCACATCTGCAGTTACTTCCTCCACTGAAGTTCTGAATCCCTCAAAGTCATCAGTGTGGGCTGGAATCAACTTTTTCCAAACGCCTGTTAATATTTTTACCTCTTCTCACAAATCACAAATGCTCTTTATGACATCTAGAATGGTGAATCCTTTCCAAAAGGTTTGTTTTCAATTTACTTTGCCAAGATCTATCAGAAGAATCATCTGTGGCTGTTATAGTGTTATGAAATGTATTTCTGAAATAAGACTTAAAAGTCAAAATTACTGCTTGATCTTGGGCTGTAGAGTGGATATTATGTTAGCAGGCATGAAAACAACGTTCATCTCCTTGTATATTTTCATCAGAGCTCCCAGGTGATCAGATGCATTGCCAATGAGCAATAATATTTTGAAAGGAATCTTTTTTTTTTTCTGAGCAGTAGGTCTCAAAAGTGGGCTTAAAATATTCAGTAAACCATGCTGTAAACATATGCACTATCATTCAGGCTTTGTTGTTTTATTTATAGAGCACAGGCAGAGTAAATTTAGCATACCTTTTAAGGGACCTAGGATATTTGGAGTGCTAAAATGAGCACTGGCTTCGACTGGAAGTCACCAGCTACATCAGCCCCTAACAAGACAGCCTGTTCTTTGAAGCCAGGTATTGACTTCTTTTTAGTTATGAAAGTTGTAGATGGCCTCTTCTTCCAGTAAAAGGCTGTTTTGTCAACATTGATGAAATCTATTGTTTAGAGTAGCCACCTTCATCAATGATCTTAGCTAGATCTTCTGGATAACCTGCAGCTCCTCCATCAGCACTTGCTGCTTCACCTTGCACTTTTATGTTATAGAGATGGCTTCTTTCCTTAAACCTCATGAACCAACCTCTGCTAGCTTCAAACTTTTCCACTGCAGCTTCCTCACCTCTCTCAGTCTTCACAGAATAGAAGAAGAATAGGGCCTTGCTCTGAATATGGCTTTGGCTTAAGGGAATGTTGTGGCAGGTTTGACCTTCTATCCAGACCTCACAAACTTTCTCCCCATCAGCAATAAGGCTATTCCATTTTATCATTCATGTGTTCACTGGAGTAGCACTTTTAACTTCCTTCAAGAGCTTTTCCTTTGCATTCACAACCTGGCTAATTGTCTGGCTCAAGAAACTTAGCTTTTGGCCTATCTTGGTTCTCAATATGCCTTCCTCACTAATCATTTCTAACTTTGATTTAAAGTGAGAGATGTGTAACTTTTCCCTTTTTTTTTTTGAACACTTAGAGGCCATTATAGGGCCATTAGTTGACTGAATTTAATATTGTTGTGTCTCAGGGAATAAGGAGGCCTGGGGAGAGGGAGAGAGATGCGAGAACCACCAGTCAGTGGAGCAGTCAGAACACACACAATACTGATAGATTAAGTTTGTCCTGTCTTATATGGGTGTGGTTTGTTGTGCCCCCAAACAATTATAATAGTAACATCAAAGATCACTGATTACAGATGACCATAACAATAATAATGAGAAAGTTTGATATATAATGGAAAAGTCTGAAGTATTGTGAGAATTACCAAAACGTGACATAGAGACATGAAGTGAGCCTATGCTATCGGAAAAAGTGGCCTCGACAGACTTGCTCAATGCAGGGTTGCCACAAACCTTCAATTTGTAAAAAATGTAATATCTGTGAAGCACAGTAAAGTACAATAAAATGAGATATGCCTATGACGTACAAAATGACAAAAATTAGAGTGAACAATTTTTATAATGAAGCAAAGAGCTAGAAAGCTAATTTGTTTCCAAGGAAAGTAGGAATGTTGTTCCCAAACCAATTAGGCCCAAAATGATTATGACTGATATGTATGGTCTGGGCTCACTCTGAAAAGTTTTGCTTCCTGAAGAAGACCTTAAATACAAGTACTATATGTCTTTATTCATAATGTTTGAATGAATGCATACAATAAATTGTCAAGAAGATAAATCTATATATAATGAAAAAATGACAAAGGGATGATTCAGTAGTATCCCATTTTCTATAGAACTTCCAAAATAAGTAATTCATCATTCATTCTATAATACATTTAATTTTTTAATCTCCCAAAGCTAAAAATTTTAGATGAACACTGATAACAGAAATACATTTTAATGCAAAATATATGAAGCAAAATTACTAACAAAGAACCAAATGATTACAATTACAACTTTAAAATTCTCAAAATGCTTTTACTGAACTAAATAATCAAACAGAAAAAAATATGGATTGTTTTTCACTGAGATGAAAAGAAGAAAGTTAAAGTTATAGGTTACCACGTTTTTCTTAGAGACTTGACACTGTCTGGGTCCTCTCCTGATGAATGCCATGTTTCTAATCCGACTCTCTCATTTACAGCTGTACAATAGACAGCCCCAGGTATTTGATACAGTTATTACTTCTGAGGCTATTCATATTGTAGGATGAATGTCTACCTTTAATTCCTACTCCTTTTTTGTGGACAAGAATTTTTATTATTATAATTATTCATAGCCCACAGTATCTCAAAAACATATGCATATTGTAGCCACTGGATAAATAGCTAGAAATTAAACCAATGTAGCAAAAATGGTTTCATTTAAATAAGGAAAGGAATGCATCTCATGGGTAGTGGGGAGTGAATATGGGTCTGAAAGTGGCCTCACAAAAGTGGTCATCTGTGTAACCTCATAGACCTACTATCAACTATTGAGATTTCATATACAAACACAAAATGTGCTCTTCATAGAATCTGACATACAATGTTTTAAAAACCCACTTGCTTGAAGATGAAAATTCTAGAAGAATGTTCCAAAGAGTAGTGTCTAAAGTAAATCAGTTCTAACCAAGAAGGGAGTTTCAGATTGAATGAAGGGCAGAGGAGCTACTGGACAAAGTGGACAAGCAGCCCTGAGTGTCCATACTGCCACAATATTCAAGTCACGTAATCCTTAAATGTGTTACATGATGAATTTGGCTCTAGCACTTGTGTAATGTTGATGGGTTACACAGTTTGTTGATATATAAATAAAATTAACTCTTCTAAGGCATCCTTCAAAAAACAAGAATGTGATCCAGGTACAACATAAAAGACTGTCCGCTCACAGGCCATACATCCGTGGTACTTTGAAAGACATACTTCTCTGTCAAACAGGGCCTTAGAGACATTTCAGGATGCAAAAATATGCCACATATTTCATGGATTTCTTTCCTAGACAGGTTCCTGTGATTGAATTGAGCAATACAGAAAAATAGGGAATGAACAAAATTTCTCCATCCCTTTGGGTTTCAGCCAATAATAATCTCAAGACATAATACAAGATTAAAGCAGCAACATTTCCAATTTCTCCTCAGCATCCCCTTTCTGCCAGCTTTGATTAAACAAGTGTGGGTGTGTTCTGTTTGAGCTAGACACATTGAATGTGGAAGACTCCTCAGTAACCCTCCACTTTCTTAAAATAAAAATGGAACAAGGGTACACTGGCTGTTGCATGTCTTTCCAGGTATCCTTCTATGAATGGTTCTTTATTTTCTAATGCTCAGCTTCTGAGACTCAGGAGCTGTCATGCAATATTAACACGAACATGATGCAAGATTAAGTGAAATGGGACTACCTAAGCCTCCTGCCTCCTCATTAAGTTGCTAGAAATATGAAATGAAAATTTAAAATATAGTCTTGGCAGCCATTGCTGCCTTTTTTACAACTTATTTTTCCAATATCTGACAAATTATTGAGACAACATTGTACAAGAGAAATAGCAAATGGTTGGCATCAGAAGATCTTGCTTTTGCGAGGCAAGGTTCTTCCATTTATAGGTGATGGGATTCTGAGGTGGTGCATCAACTACTCAGCACTACTGGTATTTGATTAATGCAATGTGTCATTTAATTGTAACTAATAATAGATGCCTGCATACAACTCATGGTAAATGTGGGGTTGACAGGCTGTGACTGCACTCTATTGCTACTAACTGTTTAGTAAATTTGGTGACTTTTCTTACTCGGGGAGAAGAGGACTAGGTAAATATTGAAAGAAATGAAATCATGTAGGTACTGATACTTCCTTTTATTTGTGGGGGAATATGCTGAAGCACAGTATAGTATACTTTAATAACGGCTAGGGTTTGACATTCCAGTGATTTCGCCATCCCTTAAAGATCAAACGCCAATTCTTCACACAAACTGACCCAATCACTTGCCATCATCCCGCTTCAATAGCGGTCTGCTTCAGACCCTCCACACACCTTGGGTGACTCTGCTTTGTTTGCTCATGCCACACATTGTCTGAGAGTGTCTCCTGATTCCTCCTCTCCAACTGAGTTCCATCTAGGATGCCCTCCTTTTCCATGAAACCCCTTTAGGACATCTAACAGTCTCTGAGTCCTTTCCTCTAAAATTCCTAAAGGCTCATTCTGTACTATGCATCTGGCTGCTATAAACATCGTCCTGTTCTATTTGGGTCACAAAGATTCATGTGCTTTCTATGTGTCAGGCTCTGGTGCTACAAATGAAGAAGACAGTGTCCCTGTCCTGGCGGTGTTTACCACCAGTTGGTAACAAACGTCAGTGTAGCGCATGCAGCCATGGCAGATGTTTGAGTCAAATGCTACATGGGACTTGCCCAACTTGGTAGGTGCAGAATCATAACATGCAGTCATCTCATCTTCTCCAACTCCTTATGTCTCTCACATCCTGACCTTCTAGTTCCTTCTTCTCATTTCAGAAAAACTTGTCACCTGGCTCAATTCTTCACCTCCATACTGTGGCCACTATCCTGATTTTTTCCAATCATATGGGCACTGGTATTTTGGTCCCTTAACTTCTTCTTCTAGACATTGTCTCCTCTTCCCATGGTCACCACTCAACTGATCTACTTTAGAAATCACAAATTCATCTTTTTCTCTATATAGAATTTTCATTTTTTCCAATTTTCTCTATCAAGTACTCCCACTGTGACAGTTCTTTGACTTTACCAGATACTACTTCTGGCTGACTGACCCCTTCATTTTCTCCCCATCCATCCATAGCCCCTTTCTGTTTTTCCTTACTATCCAGATTCTGTCTTTACATTCTTCACTGTCCAATATCCTTAACTCAGTTACCCTCTGACCTGTCCCAAGCCCCACGAAACTCCCAATCTGTGGGAAGATTGAAAGAAAACAGATTCATAATTTGTTACAGGAACTTGGCTTGAATGTGTGCATCCCAAACTCCTGTAATGCCTATTTAGATCTACTCTTATTTCTTCCAACATCCAACTGTCTTGTTCTCAGTGCCACAATATTCAAGTCACGTAATCCTTAAACGTGTTACATGATGAATTTGGCTTACCCCACCTTGACTGAGAAATAGAAGGCATGGATGAACCTCTCTCTGTTGATCACTCCCAGATGCACGCTCATCTATAATCCCAGTTTCCTCCTTCCCTTTGTTGTTGCAGGGCTTTTCCTCCCCCTTTCAAGCTGCCATGTGGAGACCCAGATGGGCTCCTTGCTCTGACCAAGTCAGGCACAGGACCTGCGTAGCACCCAGCCTTGGATACTGGGTGCTTAACATACCACTTTTTGTTTCAGTTTGTGTCTCTGGAATGAATATGAATATATATATTTTGTAGCCCAGAGCCTGATTCCTTGGAGACCCCAAGGAAACTTGGCAGCTGTCCCCATTAACTAGCTCTATGGGAAAATTCTAGGTCTTGATGCATTAAAGGATACAAGCGAGTAAACAGGGCAGGGAGAGGAGAAAGGAGGAAAGAAGGAAAAGGTGTGGGAGGCAGGGGCTTCTGAGTGTGTGCTCCCAGGACCTGCTCATCTCTGCTTCACTCATTAACAGGCATTTTGGAAGCATGCAGCAAATACGAATCACAATGCACACTACAGATGCTAGGATCAGCACAGACAAATACCAAACACTGGTTTATCATACTCATCAGTTTCCAAATACTCAACAGATCAAAGAAGTGCTCTGCTGGTCGCTGAGGGAGAATGTGAAATGCCATGCTTGTTATTTCCCTCGCAAAGTTGTCTTCATCTCCCCTTTCACAGCATTGACTCTTTTTTGTCTTTCACAATCTTGCTTTTATTTCTTGTCCTCTATGAAGCTTTCTCCAAGCCCTAGGGCCAGTCTCTCCTTGCTCAGTGCCCTCATAGCCAATAGACAAACTAGTCAGGGCATGTATCTCCACATATGAAGGCCCAGCACTTACGTATCACACCATCCGCTATGCCTCTGAGTCACTCATAATTGGCCTAATTCACCATCATGTTTCCTGCACCCAGCATAATTCCTAAGAATCCAACACATGCTTATGCAATGAACGAACGAAAGGATGAGACCAGATGAGAAATTCCAAAAAGATGAATAACATATGTAGGAGCTGCATCTTCAATCCCAAGAAAGCCCTTTCTATTCACACCCAGGTGCTCCTGGGGGGCCCTCTCTCATCCTCCCTATAAAGATCAACAGGTTTCCTTATCCATGCATCTCTCTTCAGCAAGCTATTTACTTTGGTCAATACTCTGTGTTGATCTACCAATCATAGCTGGTTCTACCTGACTGAAGGAAGTGGCAGGTGAATCTCTCTAAATCAACAGTGTAGACCCTGGGAATGCACCAGCCACTCACCTCGCTTGCTGGCAGACGCAGCAGACCCAGGCCTTTTCGTGCTTCTGGTAGGAGCAGCAGCTCTTGCAGACATTGAATTTGCAATCTCCACACTGGCGCTTGGTGTTGACGAGGAAGGTGAAGGGCGAGCAGCAGCGCATGCAGCAGTGCTCCACAAACTGCTGGTGCTTCGAGAGGATGCTGCACTTGCTGCCTTCCTCATCCAGCTTCTGCTTCAGCTCACTGGGAAACCAAGGTAGGGGAAATGGGAGGAGGAGAGAAACACAACATCAGGTCAGGGGGTGTCTCCCCAAAGCATGCACCCTGTCCCTCCCTTAGGCCAAGCTACCATGTAGGACCTTCCTGGAGAACAAGAGAACTCAGAAAGATCAACTGCTCAACATTATGTCCAGAGAAGAACATTAATCGTAGATTAGTTTTGTGTACTCCTGTATGTCAGATTTTCTATGAGAAAGCATGAAAACATTATCACTTCCATTTCAGAGACTACATTGAGATACAAGTTATTAAAAAACTAATAAGCATATCCTTGAAAAATAAAACCTTTAACTTAATTAATGCCTTTTTAAAGGAGCAGGAGATCACTTATGATAAAACATTAATCCTCACACAGCCCAGCTGGGAATATGATAAATGCAGTCCTGGCTTTATTTAACATCCCTGGAAACTGAAGTACTCAAGGATTTTTAAAAGCTTTCAAATCTATATGAGTTAATAAGGATTCTATGGGTGATGGGCAGATCGAGGCACTGGTGATTCATAGTTGGATAAAAGAACAATTCTGTTCTTTTAAAAAGCTCCTGGTCACTGGGCACACAGCCAGCCACACTAATGCAAAACATAACGGTGCATACACTTCTCTCTGTGCTCAGTGAGAAGAAAAATACACTGCCAACAGGTTGAGTAACCTGGGGAAAAAAAAAGAAAAAAAATTACCCTGAATCAGCAGGTTTGAGTTGTTTTTCCTGCTACGAAAATGGGGGTCCCCAAAGAACAGTAGAAAAATTATTATTTTTACTACTATTTTACTATTACTATACTATATTACTAGACTATAATTTTTACTATTTTAGTACTATATTACTAGACTACTACTTTTACTATTTTCCTACTGTTGCACACTATCATTATAATAGAAAAACACAGTCCCCCACTTATAATGGTTCAACTTATGATTTTTCAACTTTTTGATGATGCAGAAACTACATGGATTCATTAAAAAGCACCAGAAAGTGATACAATACTCTATCATGATGCTGAGCATAGCAGCAGTGAGCCACAGCTCCCAGTCAGCCATGAGGTCATGAGGGAGATATTCTATGGTGGACTATGTTTTACTATGTTGTCAGATGACTTTGCCCAGCTGCAGGCTAATGTAAGTGTTCTGGGCATGTTTAAGTTGGCTGGGCTAAGCTGTGATGTTCAGTAGGTTAGGTTTATTAAGTGCATTTTCAACTTATGACAGTTTCAACTTATGATGGGTTTACTAGGACGCAATCCCACTGTAAATCAAGGAGCGTCTATACTAAATTTTACTACAGCATTCTACTATGATAATACTTGATAGTATTTTACTACTATTTACTACTACTATTGTTTTACTACTATTTTACTTTATTACTTTTTTTACTTTTTATCTTTACTACTATTTTTATTTTTACTATGACTATTTACTACTCTTTACTACTATTACTATTTTTTATACCCAGTTGTGATTATGCAGTTAAAACTAGATATATTTAAGATGGATGTGGCAAATATATTCTCCCGTTCTGCCCTTGTCTTTTTATGTTTATGGTGTTTATTCTCATTTAGAAATGCTTAATTTTTCTGCAGTTAAATCTGTCAGGCTTTTCTTTCATGGACATTGGACTTTATGTCTTGCTTGAGAAGGCCTAGACCACCCCATCAGTTTATATACATAGTCAATTAGCCCCTGTAGTGGGTTGAAGGTTGGCTCTCTTTTTTTTTTTTTTTTTTTTTATCCTTCCAGTCTTTATTATATGCTTGCTTTTACATAGTTGTTATAATATACACATAAAGTATTTTGTATCCTGCTTTTATCATTCAACATTGTACATGTTATAAGCATTTTACTATATTGTTATATATCTTCACAAAGTTGATCTGTAAAGCTGTGTAATTTGAAGGCATCCATAGGGTGACTGTACCATAATTTTGATTCATCCCTTGTTGTTGGATTCTTGGTCAGGGGTTGTTTGTTTTGTTTTATTGGTAACTTTAAAATTTTGAATACAATTTCAGATTTACAGAAAAGTTGCAGGAATATCACAAAGAACTCCTATATATCTTTTATCCAGATTTACTGAGTGTTTACATTTTATCCCATTTGCCTTATCTATATTTCATGTTGCATTTTCTTAATCATTTGAGAATAATTTGCACAGATACCCCATTATGCCCAAAACAGTATGCATTTCCCTAAGAACAGGACATTCTCTTCTAAGAGAAGAAGAGAATTACTTTAAGCATTATTCAGTATTTTTTTAAGTATTATTATCAAAATCAGGAAGTTTAACAGTGATTTAATACTGTTATCTAACCCATGATTCATATTTAAATTTTGCCATTTATCCCAATAATGTCCTTTGTAGCCATTCTTTTACCTTGTGCAGGATCGTGTTACATTTGTAAACGTGTGTCTCTCAATACTGCAGATTCCTCAACTTTCTTTTGTCTTTCATTACCATGACATTTTTGAAGAATACAGGCTATTTTGTCGAATGTTCCTCAGTTTGGATTTGTGTGATGGTTCCGCATGACTAGGTGAGGGTTTTACATTCTG
Source organism: Homo sapiens (assembly GCF_000001405.40). Taxonomy (NCBI): domain Eukaryota; kingdom Metazoa; phylum Chordata; class Mammalia; order Primates; family Hominidae; genus Homo; species Homo sapiens. The sequence goes on along the minus strand of NC_000003.12, from coordinate 40,041,465 downwards.
GGTGGGAATATCACAGAAGCAGTGTGTCGTCAGTGCGTCGTAATCAGCATATAATGTCAGTTGGTCCCATTAATGTTGTTAACTCTGTTCACCGCTTAGGTTGGTGTCTGCCAGATTTCATTTTAAATTTACGATTTCCTCTTTGTAATTTACAAGTAATTTGTGGGGAGATACTTTGAGACTATATGAGTATTTTGTTCCTCATTCACCAGTTATATAGTATCAGTTGATTAGTCTTGTCCCAGTTATTACTGTCATGATTGACCAACATGATTTCCTAACTCCATAATGCCTTCTACATTTATTGGTTGACATTCTACATACAAAGAAAAACATCCTTTCTCACCATTTATTTATTCACTTGTTTATCAATATGGATGCAGGGATTCCTGTTTTACTCAGAGTTGCAAGCCATTGCTTTGATTTTTTTTTTTTTTTTTTTTCTGCTGGTAATATTTTCTTTTTTTTTTTCTTTTTTTTTTTTATTATACTCTAAGTTTTAGGGTACATGTGCACATTGTGCAGGTTAGTTACATATGTATACATGTGCCATGCTGGTGCGCTGCACCCACTAATGTGTCATCTAGCATTAGGTATATCTCCCAATGCTATCCCTCCCCCCTCCCCCGACCCCACCACAGTCCCCAGAGTGTGATATTCCCCCCTTCCTGTGTCCATGTGATCTCATTGTTCACTTCCCACCTATGAGTGAGAATATGCGGTGTTTGGTTTTTTGTTCTTGCGATAGTTTACTGAGAATGATGGTTTCCAATTTCATCCATGTCCCTACAAAGGATATGAACTCATCATTTTTTATGGCTGCATAGTATTCCATGTTGTATATGTGCCACATTTTCTTAATCCAGTCTATCATTGTTGGACATTTGGGTTGGTTCCAAGTCTTTGCTATTGTGAATAGTGCCGCAATAAACATACGTGTGCATGTGTCTTTATAGCAGCATGATTTATACTCATTTGGGTATATACCCAGTAATGGGATGGCTGGGTCAAATGGTATTTCTAGTTCTAGATCCCTGAGGAATCGCCACACTGACTTCCACAATGGTTGAACTAGTTTACAGTCCCACCAACAGTGTAAAAGTGTTCCTATTTCTCCACATCCTCTCCAGCACCTGTTGTTTCCTGACTTTTTAATGATTGCCATTCTAACTGGTGTGAGATGATATCTCATAGTGGTTTTGATTTGCATTTCTCTGATGGCCAGTGATGATGAGCATTTCTTCATGTGTTTTTTGGCTGCATAAATGAACAGACACTTCTCAAAAGAAGGTTGGCTCTCTTAAATGATATGTCCATGCCCTAAATCACTGGAATCTGTAACTATTACCTTATTTGGAAAAGGGGTCTTATAAATTAAGAATTTTGAGATGTAGTTATCCTGCATTATATGAGTGAGCTCTAAATCCAATGACAACTGTCCTTTAAGAGACACACAGAGAAGGCAATGTGAAGACAAAGGCAGAGATTGGAGTGCTGTGGCTACAATCCAAGTAACACCAAGGTTTGCCAGCAGCCACCAAAAGCTAGGAAGGAGGCATGGGCAGATTCTCCCCCAAGAGACTTGGGAGGGAGTGTGGCCCTTCCAGCGCCTTGATTGTAGACTTCTGACCTACAGAAGAGGGAGACAATACATTCTTATTGTTTTAAGCCACCTATTTGTGATAATTTGTTACAGCAGCCTCAGGAAACTAATATAGTTTCTACCTAAAAAAAAAAAAGGGAAAACAGTAAGTACAAACTTTCCTCAACACTATATTCTCATCTAATTACCACTCTCTTATAGTCGTAACCTCTTCTAGTTAAAATTCCTGAAAGAACCATCCCTGGTGGTCAATATATGTTCTTTATTTCCACTCACTCCTGGATCTACTCCAATGGGCCTTTTGTTCTTTTTCTTAAAGAAAACAAAATATCTGCTTGAGATCCCCCACTGATCTTCATGTTGCAAGATCCAAAGGGACTTTCTAGGCCTTGTCTTACCTGATTATTCTTACATTCTTGAAATATTCTCTTCCCTTCCTCGTGTTACTCTTGTTTTCTCAGCCCTTTTCCAATTCCTTTGCAAGCTATCTCTTCCTCCTATTCTGACTTTTTAAAAGTTAGACAAGACTTTTTAAGGCATGATAAAGTATTTATTCACTGATGAAGATTGTTTTCAACATTAATGTTAACCTTTTATTGAATAGATTGTTTGAGGCATGGTCTATGTGACTAGGTAGACTTTCTCCACCCCAACTTTCCTCAAGCATGGACAAATCCCTTCTTTTCAGTTCATTGAAGCAACAGACTCTAAGGTGTGGTGGGTGATGGACGTTTATTACCAATGGTTTAAGGGTAGTGGAAGGTAATGGAAGAGGAACCCAGCTCCAGGCCGAACAGAAAACCATTTCATGTGGGCATGCTGCAGTTAAAGCCCTCAGCCACCACCTTTGGGATTCCTTCATTGGCCCTGTCACTGGACATGTTGCTGTTCCATCTCTGCCTATCCAGATTCCCATATGTCCCCTCTCTTCTCTTGTTCCAGGGCCCTTCATGGCTGGTTAGAGGAAAATTATCCAAAGCTGCGACCTAACTGGTAAAAAATGGCTGCATATGTAGGAGTCACCTTGTCTGAATCACAAGGCATGGGAGTAAATGAATCAGGACACAGGTAAGCAAGAAGGAAGACCATGAGAATTACCTTTCTTTCTCTCCCCTGCCCCTTTGTTCCCTCTCTCTCCTTCCCCTGTCCCCATATTTTTAAATTAAAAGGATAGTATTATTTATACTATTTTAATTATGAAACCTAAAAAATGATCTATTTTTGTTTAGGTTTTCAAGTGTGTTGATATAAAGTGGTTCACAAATTTCTCTCATGATTATAAGATCTCTGCTACCTCTGTCATTATGTCCCTCTTTTCTTTCAGAATATTGTTTATTTGTCCCTTGTTCAGTAAGTTCAGAGGTTTACTTATTTCATTAATTTTAAAAATAACTAGCTTTTAGTTAGGTTGACGGTTGTCTACATGGTTTATTAGTCCTCCATTGCAATAAAGTCCAGTCTTATCTTTATTATTTCTTCTTTCTACTGGTTTGAGTTTATTCTTTTCTCTAATTTTTAACAAGTAAAATTTTTTAAAGTAAACTCACTTTTAACATTTACTCTTTCCTAATCTATGCATTTAAGGCTATAAAACTCTCTCAACACATCATTTTTGTTGTACCTTGCAGGTTTTAAATAAGAAATTTTTTTATTGTCATTTATTCTTACATATTTTATAATTCTCAGGTTTAAAAATTTCCAAATATGTGGCTTTTGTTATTAACTTTTTTTTTTAACATTTTGATCAGAGCGTCTCAAATAAATTCCTTGGTATTCATTGAGACTTTCATTATAGCTTCATAGTTAGCCAATTTGTGTAAAGCCCCATATGTGTTTGAAAAGAATGTTTATTCTCTACCGACTGATAACAAGATGCTAACCAAAAAGTGATTGAGGCAGGTCTCAATGGATAGAGGTTTATTTAGCCAAGGTTGAGGACACTTCCAGGAAAAACACAAGTCATGGGAGCATCTGTGACCTAAGCTTTTTCCAAAGAGGGTTTGGGAACTTCAGTATTTAAAGGAGAAAGTGTGAGCCAGAGAGAAAACAGGAAGGGGGGTAGGCAATGATGTAAATGGTTACATTCTTGTGAGGCTCTGATTAGCATTCACAAATCTACATTTCACATGTGAAAAGAGGGTGCAGAGGGAAAAGTCAGCTCTGCATCCATCTCAGGGTAGGCAGGAGGATGATTTCTGGTCTTGTCATTGTCCCATACCTGTGACAATAAGCTGGTAATTGACATTGTCAGATGAGAGTCAACAGAACTCAGTTTTAGGACTAGTTTATAGGGGGATATGTATCCTGAAAGATTTAGTGGCTCACAGGGAATTTCCTTGTGAGAAATTTGTGAGGGAGACCATCTGGGGCAATATGTGTTGTAAAAGGAACATAAAGTCCCCAGACCCCAAACCCACTAAGCCAAAGGGAAAAGACAAGCTGGGAACTAGGCCATGCAAACCTGCCTCCCTCTATTCCTAAATAGACAGCTACAAGATAAAAGGCTATATATCTCCCTTGCAATTTGCTCACAAGGAAGTCCCTTTACTTCCATTCAATTTTACCCTGACAGTGTAAATTAACATCTTATCTTCACAGGTACGGGACAAAGGACAGAATTAAAAGTCATCCCTTGGCTCACCTGAGACAAATGTGTAGCTGACTGCTTTCTGTACTCCATGATTATTTTATCTTATGCAAAAATGCAGATTCACTGAGAGCAAGACATACATTTATATTGAAATTACTAATAGATTTGGACTTTTTTCTACTATGCTGTGTTTTATTTTCTATCTACCATGCCTTTTCTGTTTCTTCCTACTTTCTATCAGATTGATTGGTTTTCTTTGCTCTCTGTGTTTTTTCATTATGATTAGGCATTTTATGTTTCATTTCTTTTAGTGGTTAGCTTTAATATATTAACATGCATATTTGGACTAATGTATAAAGTTAACAGATGTCTCGTCATCAACAATACAAACTTTAATTTCCTCTGGTGTTCTACATGGCTATTGATTTAATGTTGGTTTGTAATTGCAAAAATTATGCTTAATATTGTTTGATTGAAGTTTTAGCCACCCCACATGAAGAAGACTAGGGCCTGCCCTGAGAATGAAAGTCCTAAAGATAGGAAACTCAACTAGTGTCATTTCCTTCATCTAAGTATCAATGCTTCTCCAGCATCTCGTGCATCTGGTTGCAAATGGGGTGTTCTAAGGCAATATATACTTCCTTCAGAAAGCGTATTTTTTATTTGCAGGAGTGTTGGTCCAACAGAAGCTTACTCAGCAATCATCAATAGCAGAACTCTTGCTATTTTAAATTGATTTTTGTAGAGATTTATACACATTTAACAATTTTGTTGCCCATTATTGCTTCTTGCATCTGATTTTCCTTCTGTTAATTTTCTTTATTGCTTCACTTCTTCTGGTAATTCTTTCATCAAGGTAAATTCTAGCAGCCTCTATTTAACCCTTACATTTCAATGACAGTTTAGAAGGCTGCAGAATTCCAAGTTGACAGCTCATTTTGAATAAAGTTTTTTTTTTTTTTTTTTTTTTGGTATCAGTTGTTGCAATGGGAAGTCTGTCAGTGTAATTCTTCCTTTGTAGAAGACTCTAACTTCTCTCACTGGTTAGTTTTAAGAATTTTTAAATTTTCTGTAGTGTTCTTCAGTTTCACTATGAAGTAACTAAGTGTGGATTTGTTTGCATTCATTTTGCTTGGATCTCTTCGTCATTTTTAAAACTTCATTAATTCTAAAGAATTCTCTAGACATTTTTGAATGTTGTCTCCTGCTCTATTTTCTCCTCCTAGAATTCCAATTATATCTCAAAGCTTTTCTGTTCTTCCATGTCTCCTAATCTCTTTGTTTCATCTCTTTGTATTTCTGAGATACATTCTGGGTAAGTACTTCAGTTCTAGTTTCCATTTTAATAATTCTTTGTTCATCTGCATTTTCTCTACTATTTAATCCTTTTGAAATTGTATTGAGTTTCATATTTCCAGAAGTTCTAATGATTTGTTTCCACTTAAATATGCCTGTTCCACTCATGTGCCATTCATTTCTTGGTTCCTATACCTTCTTTTAAAAATTATTTTAAATATACTTCTTTTATAACCTCTTCCTGGATTTTAATAGAAATTTTACTGATTTTTATATTTCCAGAAGTTCTAATGATTTGTTTCCATTTAAGTCTGCCTGTCCTTTTCTCCTTGGTGCCATTCATTCCTTGGTTCCTATACTTTTTTCTAAAAATAATTGTAAATATACTTCTTTTACGCCCCCTTCCTGATTCTTATATTCAGTTCTTAGAGGCGGCACAAATCCGTCTATTGGTTGCATCTATTAACTCTTGTTCCAGGTAGGTCCTTTGCTTTCATGGTTTGTCATTTTGATTAAGATAATCTCCAGTCAAGACTGCTTTTTATGTCAGTGCACCTTTTCAGTGCAAATCATTCATGAGTCATCACCAAGAAGTCCTCAATTCTAGAACAGCTTCACATCTGTTTCTCATCTTGGGGAATCCATTACTACGTGACTTATACAATTTTAGTTTTCAATACCTTGTTGTGGTGGAGGCTTGGGGTTTTGCGGTTTTGATTTCTTTTTCTTTTTTTTAATTTTTAAAATTTTATTATTATACTTTAAGTTTTAGGGTACATGTGCACAATGTGCAGGTTTGTTACATATGTATACATGTGCCATGCTGGTGTGCTGCACCCATTAACTTGTCATTTAGCATTAGGTATATCTCCTAATGCTATCCCTCCCCCCTCCCCCCACCCCATAACAGTCCCCAGAGTGTAATGTTCCCCTTCCTGTGTCCATGTGTTCTCATTGTTCAATTCCCACCTATGAGTGAGAACATGCGGTGTTTGGTTTTTTGTCTGTGCGATAGTTTACTGAGAATGATGATTTCCAATTTCATCCATGTCCCTACAAAGGACATGAACTCATCCTTTTTTATGGCTGCATAGTATTCCATGGTGTATATGTGCCACATTTTCTTAATCCACTCTATCATTGTTGGACATTTGGGTTGGTTCCAAGTCTTTGCTATTGTGAATAGTGCCACAACAAACATACGTGTGCATGTGTCTTTATAGCAGCATGATTTATAATCCTCTGGGTATATACCCAGTAATGGGATGGCTGGGTCAAATGGTATTTCTAGTTCTAGATCCCTGAGGAATCACCACACCCACTTCCACAATGGTTGAACTAGTTTACAGTCCCACCAACAGTGTAAAAGTGTTCCTATTTCTCCACATCCTCTCCAGCACCTGTTGTTTCCAGACTTTTTAATGATTGCCATTCTAACTGGTGTGAGATGGTATCTCATTGTGGTTTTGATTTGCATTTCTCTGATGGCCAGTGATGATGAGCATTTTTTCATGTGTCTTTTGGCTGCATAAATGTCTTCTTTTGAGAAGTGTCTGTTCATATCCTTCGCCCACTTGTTGATGGGGTTGTTTGTTTTTTTCTTGTAAATTTGTTTGAGTTCACTGAAAATTCTGGATATTAGCCCTTTGTCAGATGAGTAGGTTGCAAAAATTTTCTCCCATTTTGTAGGTGGCCTGTTCACTCTGATGGTAGTTTCTTTTGCTGTGCAGAAGCTCTTTAGTTTCATTAGATCCCATTTGTCAATTTTGGCTTTTGTTGCCATTGCTTTTGGTGTTTTAGACATGAAGTCCTTGCCCATGCCTATGTCCTGAATAGTAATGCCTAGGTTTTCTTCTAGGGTTTTTATGGTTTTAGGTCTAACGTTTAAGTCTGTAATCCATCTTGAATTAATTTTTGTATAAGGTGTAAGGAAAGGATCCAGTTTCAGCTTTCTACATATGGCTAGCCAGTTTTCCCAGCACCATTTATTAAATAGGGAATCCTTTCCCCATTGCTTGTTTTTCTCAGGTTTGTCAAAGATCAGATAGTTGTAGATATGTGGCATTATTTCTGAGGGCTCTGTTGTGTTCCATTGATCTATGTCTCTGTTTTGATACCAGTACCATGCTGTTTTGGTTACTGTAGCCTTGTAGTATAGTTTGAAGTCAGGTAGCGTGATGCCTCCAGCTTTGTTCTTTTGGCTTAGGATTGACTTGGCAATGCCGCCTCTTTTTTGGTTCCATATGAACTTTAAAGTAGTTTTCTTCCAATTCTGTGAAGAAAGTCATTGGTAGCTTGATAGGGATGGCATTGAATCTATAAATTACCTTGGGCAGTATGGCCATTTTTATGATGTTGATTCTTCCTACCCATGAGCATGGAATGCTCTTCCATTTCTTTGTATCCTCTTTTATTTCATTGAGCAGTGGTTTGTAGTTCTCCTTGAAGAGGTCCTTCACGTCCGTTGTTAGTTGGATTCCTAGGTATTTTATTCTCTTTGAAACAACTGTGAACGGGAGTTCACTCATGATTTGGGTCTCTGTTTGTCTGTTATTGGTGTATAAGAATGCTTGTGATTTTTGTACATTGATTTTGTATCCTGACACTTTGCTGAAGTTGCTTATCAGCTTAAGGAGATTTTGGGCTGAGACAATGGGGTTTTCTAGATATACAATCATGTCGTCTGCAAACAGGGACAATTTGACTTCCTCTTTTCCTAATTGAATACCCTTTATTTCCTTCTCCTGGCTAATTGCCCTGGCCAGAACTTCCAACACTATGTTGAATAGGAGTGGTGAGAGAGGGCATCCCTGTCTTATGCCAGTTTTCAGAGGGAATGCTTCCAGTTTTTGCCCATTCAGTATGATATTGGCTGTGGGTTTGTCATAGATAGCTCTTATTATTTTGAGATACGTCCCATCAATATCTAATTTATTGAGAGTTTTCAGCATGAAGAGTTGTTGAATTTTTTCAAAGGCCTTTTCTGCATCTATTGAGATAATCCTGTGGTTTTTGTCTTTGGTTCTGTTTATATGCTGGATTACATTTATTGATTTGCATATATTGAACCAGCCTTGCATCACAGGAATGAAGCCTACTTGATCATGGTGGATAAGCTTTTTGATGTGCTGCTGGATTCAGTTTGCCAGTATTTTATTGAGGATTTTTGCATCAATTTTCATCAAGGATATTGGTCTAAAATTCTTTTTTGGTTGTGTCTCTGCCCGGGTTTGGTATCAGGATGATGCTGGCCTCATAAAATGAGTTAGGGAGGATTCCCTCTTTTTCTACTGATTGGAATAGTTTCAGAAGGAATGGTACCAGTTCCTCCTTGTACCTCTGGTAGAATTCGGCTGTGAATCCATTTTGTCCTGGACTCTTTTTGGTTGGTAAGCTATTGATTATTGCCACAATTTCAGAGCCTGCACCAAGTGGACCTAATAGACATCTACAGAACTCTCCACCCCAAATCAACAGAATATACATTTTTTTCAGCACCACACCACACCTATTCAAAAATTGACCACATAGTTGGAAGTAAAGCTCTCCTCAGCAAATGTAAAAGAACAGAAAGTATAACAAACTGTCTCTCAGACCACAGTGCAATCAAACTAGAACTCAGGATTAAGAAACTCACTCAAAACCGCTCAACTACATGGAAACTGAACAACCTGCTCCTGAATGACTACTACATGGAAACTGAACAACCTGCTCCTGAATGACTACTGGGTACATAACGAAATGAAGACAGAAATAAAGATGCTCTTTGAAACCAACGAGAACAAAGACACAACATACCAGAATCTCTGGGACACATTCAAAGCAGTGTGTAGAGGGAAATTTATAGCACTAAATGCCCACAAGAGAAAGCAGGAAAGATCCAAAATGGACACCCTAACATCACAATTAAAAGAACTAGAAAAGCAAGAGCAAACACATTCAAAAGCTAGCAGAAGGCATGAAATAACTAAAATCAGAGCAGAACTGAAGGAAATAGAGACACAAAAAACCCTTCAAAAAATTAATGAATCCAGGAGCTGGTTTTTTGAAAGGATCAACAAAATTGATAGACGGCTAGCAAGACTAATAAAGAAGAAAAGAGAGAAGAATCAAATAGACGCAATAAAAAATGATAAAGGGGATATCACCACCAATCCCACAGAAATACAAACTACCATCAGAGAATACTATAAACACCTCTACGCAAATAAACTAGAAAATCTAGAAGAAATGGATAAATTCCTCGACACATACACCCTCCCAAGACTAAACCAGGAAGAAGTTGAATCTCTGAATAGAGGTTTTGATTTCTTATGGGAGACTTCATTTCTCTCACCCAATGGTCCAGGTAAAGAAACTTTTTTTGTAGATCCGCTAAGCCAGTAGGCAAAATTTTTCTGGGTTCTCTTTCACTAAGAGTACAGCCCTTCAAGACCAAACTCTAAGCAGGCATCTCATTTTCAGCTGCCTTGTCTTGCAAAGGCTCAAGGCCACATCTCCTGCCCCATTCAGAAATTAGCATTGCAGCCTCTAGCCATCAGAACCTAGAGCCCTGTTTCCCACTGGATTAGACAGACCACTCTGGTTTTAAATTCCTTCTTTCACTTTTACCCTGCTGTGGTCTGAATGATTGTGAAAATTCTTAGGTTGAAAACTAACCCCCAGTGTGATGTTTTTAGGAGGTGATTAGGTGTTAAGAGTAAAATCCTCGTGAATGGGACTAGTACCATTATATATGGGACTCCAGGGCCGCCTTGCCCTTCCACGATGTGAGGACACAGAGAGAAGACATTATCTATGAACCAGGAAGCGGACAGACACCAAATCAGCTGACATCTTTATCTTGGACCTCCCAGTCTCCAAAACTGTGAGAAATACATTTCTTTTGTTTATTAGCCACCCAGTCTATGATATTTTGTTATAGCGGCCAAATAGACTGATATACCCTCTAGGAATTTTCCTTTCTTACTCCCCTCCCCAGACTTTGAAAAAATTAAGATATAATTCACATAGTAAATTCACTCCTCTTAAGTATATACAATTCAGCGGTTTTTAGTATATTCAAAAAGTTGTGCAACCACCACTACTGTCTTACTCCGTAACATTTTCATCGCATCAAAAAGAAATTCAGTATTCATGAAGCATTCTCCCCTGCCCTCAGCCTCTGCAAACCACTAATCTACTTTCTGTTTCTATGAGTTTGCCTATTCTGAACATTTTATATAAATGAAGTAATATCATATGTGGCCTTCTGTGTCTGGCTTCTTTCACTTTGCATAATGTGTTCAACGTTTATCCATGTTGTAGCATGCATCAACATTTCATTCCTTTTTACTGCTAAATAATATTCAATTTATGGATATACCATTTTATTTATCCATTCATTCACCATAAACATTTACATTGTTTCTAATTTTTGGTTATTATGATGAGTGCTGATATAAACATTCATGTACATGTTTTTGTGTGGACGTGTATTTTTAATTATAGGAGTAGAATTGGTAGGTCACATAGTAACACTTTTTTTAACTTTTTGAGAAACTGCCAGACTGTTTTCTAAATGGCTGTACTATTTTACATTCCCACCAGCAAGATGTGAGGGTTCGAATTTCTCCACATCCTCCCCAATACTTGTAATTGTCTGCATTTTAAAAAATTACAGCCATCTTAGGGGGTGTGAGGTGGTATCTCATGCTTTTGACTTGCACTTCCCTAATGACTGATGAGGTTGAACATCTTTTCATGTGTTTATTGGCCATTTGTACATCTCCTTGGAGAAAAGTTTATTCAAATTTTTGGCCCATTTCCTTCTTTCTTTCCTTTCTTTCCCTTCTTTCTCTTCCTTCCCTTCCTCCCCTCCCCTCTCCCTCTCTCCCTTTCTTTCTCTCTCTTTCTTTCCTTTCTTTTCTTTCTTGTAGAGACAGGGTTTTGCTCTGTCATCCATGCTGGAATGCAGTGGTGGCATCATAGCTCACTGCAGCCTTGGACTCCTGGGCTCAAGTGATCCTCCCACCTCAGCCTCCCAAGTAGCTGGGACTACAGGCATGTTACACCTGGCTAATTTTTTAAATAATTTTTTTGTAGAGACGGGGTCTTGCTTTGCTGCCCAGGCTGGTCTCAAATTCCTAGCTTCAAGTAATCTTCCTACCTCAGCTTCCCAAAGCACTGGGATTACAGGCATGAGCCACCAGGACCAGGTGGCCCATTTCTATATTAGATTATTTGTCCTTTACTGGTGTGTTGTAAGGGTTTTTTATATATTCTAGATACAAGTCCCTTATCAGATACATAATTTGCAAATATTTTCCCTTTCTTATATTAAACCCTACATTTTATTAGTATTTTTGTTTGGTTTTAGTAAAAGAAAGCATCTCACCAGCTCATCTTACCCTGCTACTGGATTTAGAAATCTATGTATGTTTTTACAACTTCTTTTTTTACTTAACAATATATCATAAACATCTGTTCATGACAATCCAGAATCTTTGCAGCTTTAGCTCTTGGGCACCTTTAGCTGGCTTACATATCTTCTAACACATGAGCAGGGCTCACTGCTCTGCATAGAAGTGCCCGGTACTTATTTGTTGCCTGATTATTGTATAATAAAGGGAGGCTGAATCCAGAATTGTAAGTGAAAACTATGTCAGACCAGCTAATAATTCTATGGGGTAAAATATATACATACACTTGGCTGAATAAAATGTTAACAGGGAGACAGAACAGAGGTGATATTTCCAAGGAAGGAAGATGTTATTCAGTCCCTTAGATTAAAGGCAGAAGATGTGCTAAGTCATTGACAGCTCTGACATCTCTCAACAGTATAACAACAGCCTCAAATTGACTGGCTTATATCGATATCTCAGAGATACTAAATTAAATAGGATAAAACATCCAAAAAGAAAATTATTTGGGGATCATAAAGCTCTGTGAACTCTATCCATAAGATAACTTGAGCTTTATGAGTTTTGTTTGCTGATACACAGGACTGCAAATTCCAATGGCATTTTAAAGCTCACTGGTATCTAGTAATAACTGTACCAAGCCCTCTAGCATTTATTCCAAGCAAATGAGGTGTTTTTCAGGCTCAGTGGAGGAATGGGTTGCCATTCTTCAGACCATCTCTCACTTATTAGATTATATTGCCCTGTAGTATCTCATGGAAGAAGTCATTGGGCAGAATTGTATAGTATGACTTATAATGGTTAATTACAGATCAACCAAGAATGATGCAAGACAGGCTACCTGCTTTGAAATATCTTGGGAAAGACCAGGACTTCAAATGGTCAGCTACATGGGAAAGAGTGATGGGTTTAACATCAGAAGTTAGTGTTCATAGCTGGGCTCATCACTTACCAAAAAGTTCCCCAACCTTTTGGGGCCTCTGTTTTTCTGAGTGGCACTTATAATTTCTACTTCACAGGGTTGCTAGAGGTTTTAAATGTGCAAAGCTACAAAAGCAAATACTAGTCTTTCCATTGGATTAGAAAGAAATTCAGTGATCCAAGTATCTATAACATTTGAACATATTTGGCTATATGTCAAGAAGGTTTCTGCAATAGCGTCTGGGCAATAATGCTCAAGACTTATTTGTTGCTTGAGCACTGGGTAACAGGGGGTGTGAAGTGTTAGCTCACTGTGGCTTTTATTTGCATTTCCCTAAAGATGTTGAACATGCTTAGTCTGATCTTTAGCAGTATCTTCTTACATCTGGTGTAGTCTCCTTCTGGTCTTACAACAGGCATCTTAAAAGCCTATTAACATTTCATGGTCTCTTGGTCTATCACCACGCCAGCTCTGACAGGTTGTTAGAGGGTAAAGCATTCCGTGTTGAGAGGACACACACAGGCTCAATGGAGTTGGGTGTCATGATGAGGTAGCAGTGTCTGCCATGGGCGTAGCAGGAAGTGATGGCATGTACATCACTTGTTTGCTATCCTTCAACTCAGTTACCAAAGAGAGGGTAATTTTGATCTATAGCTGTGAGCTTGGCCCTCTTTTTCCCGCTTCCTGCCCTGACCCCCTAGGGTGACTCATCCATTCCTGTAAGTGAAGATGTTTGTGAAATTGACTTCCAAACTCACTTAGCTGGTCCCGCCCCTCCTCTGAGCTGCAGAAACCCCCATCCAGGTGTCCTCTTGACCCTGCCCATCTTGCCACCCCTTGATAGCCATGGGCTTTGCTTAGAATGTCAATCATTCTCTCAATTCACACTTATTAGGCACCTATTATTACAGGTGCTAAGGATTTTTTTTAAAAAAAGACATAGCCCCTCTCTTCATAAAATGTGCATTAAGGTAGGAATTCAGATGATAAATAATTAAACAAAACAAAGTAACTATAAATTATGAGGTATTCTCATAAGAATAAGTAGGATACTCAGACTGAAGATAACATCAGGACCTACTTTAGATTGGTGGCAAGAGAGGGCTTCTCTGGGGAAGTGGCATTTCAGTTAAAACATGAAGATGAGAAGGAGCTAGTCCAATGGAAGACACAGCATCCCAGACAGAACAAGTAGCAAAGAAAAAGAGCTTAGTATTGGGGGGAGACAGGAGGAGCACAAGTGCAAGGGGGAAGTTATGGAGGATGTGAGCAGGGAACTATCAGCCACTGTCAGTAAAGCCCACTCTTAGAGGACCTTGCATGTGTGAAGCATGGGGAGCACTGCAGTCATCTTGGTGAGAGTGACTGAGGTTTGGGCTGGGCAGGAGTCATTGGAGAGTGCAGGGAAGTGGGCTGATCTCTGTTGCACCTGTTGAGGGCCAGGAGAGAGGGCAAACCAGATTCTGGCTTGTGTAACTACGTGGGGAGTGAAGCTGTTCATGGAAAGAGAGAAGACTAGGGTGGGCAGGAGCAAGTTTTAGTGAAATCTGTGAGGCATCTGAAGAGCAATGCCAAGAGGACACCTGGATGTGGGTTTTAGCAGCTCAGAGGAAGGGCTGGGCCAGCTAAGTGAGCTTGGAAGTCATCATCATAAACGTCTTTACACATAGGGGAATGGATGAGCCACCCTAGAGGGATGGGGCAGCCAGGGGGAAAAGAGGGCCTAAGAACAAGCCAAGAAAACCCCAAACATTTAAGCTCAGGGAAAAAGGCTGAAGAGGGGAAGCCAGACAGAAGGACTGAGGAGGAACAAGGAGGATGTTTCAAGAAGGGGAGAGTGGATGGCTATTTGCTGTGAGGACAGTGATATATCCACTGGATTTGGCTGCATGGGGGTCAGCAGTAACTCTGAGAAAGGCAATTTCAGTGGTGGAAGCTAGGCAGGAGCCAGACTGTTGCAGACTGAACAGTGAATGTGAAGTGAGGAAGCAGATCCCTCATTGTTGCAGTAAGTTGGGGACCCTGAATGGAGGGACTGGCTGGAGCCATGGCAGAGGAAACATAAATTGTGAAGATTTCATGGACATTTATCACTTCTCTAATAATACTCTTATAATTTCTTATGCCTGTCTTACTTTAATTTCTTAATCCTGTTACCTTTGTAAGCTGAGGATGTATGTCACCTCAGGACCCTGTGATGATTGGGTTAAGTGTACAAATTGATTGTAAAACATGTGTGTTTGAACAACATGAAATCTGATTGTAAAACATGTGTTTGAACAATATGAAATCAGTGCACCTTGAAAAAGAACAGAATAACAGCGATTTTAGGGAACAAGGGAGACAACCATACGGTCTGACTGCCTGCGGGGTCGGACAAAATAGAGCCATATTTTTCTTCTTGCAGAGAGCCTACAAACAGACGTGCAAGTAGGAGAGATATCACTAAATTCTTTTCCTAGCAAGGAATATAATATTAAGACCCTAGGAAAAGAATTGCATTCCTGGGGGGAGGTCTATAAACGGCCACTCTGGGAGTGTCTATCTTATGCGGCTGAGATAAGGACTGAAATACGCTCTGGTCTCCTGCATTACCGTCAGGTTTACTAGGGTGGGGAAAAACCACACCCTGGTAAATTTGAGGTCAGACTGGTTCTCTGCTCTCGAATCCTGTTTTCTGTTGTTTAGGGTGTTTATCAAGACAATACGTGCACAGCTGAACATAGACCCTCATCAGTAATTCTAATTTTGCTCTTTGCCTTGTGATCTTTGCTTTGTTCTTGCTCTGTTTCCTCAGAAGCATGTGATCTTTGTTCTCCCTTTTGCCCTTTGAAGCATGTGATCTTTGTGACCTACTCCCTGTTCGTACACCCCCTCCCCTTTTGAAATCCTTAATAAAACTTGCTGGTTTTGCAGCTCAGGTAGGCATCGTGGACCTACCAATATGTGATGACACCCTCCGTGGCCCAGCTGTAAAATTTCTCTCTTTGCACTCTTTCTCTTTATTTCTCAGACCAGCCGACACTTAGGGAAAATAGAAAGAACCTACATTGAAATATTGGGGGCGGGTTCCCCCAATACCTCATGGAATACTTCTTACAGCAATGTTACAAATGCTTTTAAGAGCTGGGCTCCAAAGGGTAAACCCACCTTAGAGTATAACAATATTAACAGTGTTCATGATAATTTAAAAGTATACTTTGCGTTTAGTTTGTCATGGGTAATATCACTCTCCCATTAGGTACTTTCAGACAGAATCATTTTGCTGCCCCTGACGGTGTTATAAAAAAAAAAATCTGTCAAGGCTAACAGAGCCCTTGATACCACAGATTTATGAGTAAAGAAAATCAAATTTAAACATTCCCTCCAAATGTTAATGACACACAACAATACGCTTTGTGGTTACCAGTTATAAATGGAGGGGACCATTTTAATCCAGAACCTGGACAGTTGGAGCACTCGCCATGCCCCACTCATCCCACATGAGTGCTGTCTGATAAGGCTACAGGAACCTCACTAGCCTCAGGTTCAGCGAGTAGCTCAGTCAACATGGATGTTGGGAGAGACTGAGGGCTCCAGCTCTGTTCTTCACAGCTATGAGCCACTCAGTCTTCTAAACCTTGGTTTCTTTTTTTGGCAAAGAAGGGATATCAGCAGCATCCTGAAATGCTTGTTGCAGAAATAAATAAGAAAATGTACCAGAGTTGTGCAGCAGGCACCAAAAAGTAAAAGCTGCCCCATAAATGTCTGGAATTATTTCAGTTCAAACCAGCTAAGATTCTGCTCCACAGCAGGTGCTCAGAAAAGGCTCCCATCTCTCCATTGGATCATCTGGAATATTTGGCCAATAGCCAGAGAGTGAAATCAGGCACATCCACTCCTGACCTTGAGCAGGTGGAAAGCTCTCTAATAACCAGTGAGGGTATCTTAAGAGCATTACAAGTATTTTCTTGAAAAGAGCAATGAGAGAACAGCTGCGAGAAAGCTGGGATCATCACACTGTACACTCGTATTATACCACAGCATACCAGTGCTTCATCATAAACCTAGACTTTGGCCAGGGACATGTAAAAAAAAAAAAAACCCACAAAAAGCATCTAGCCTACAGAGGAGACACAATTCCAAGTCTGTAGGCTCATCAGATCCAGTGGAAACACGTGAAGTAGATATCCCTACCTGAAGTTGCTGACTGTCCCATCTCTCTCTGCACCTGCCCTCCAGCACCATCCCGCCTCCTGCACCTCCCACCACCCAATCATCTCCAGCTATGTCTGCTTCCCTAATCTCATGGTAGCTCAGGGCAGCCTCCTCCACAAAACACCATTTGACAATCACTATCTTCACAACTCTGTTAAGTGGAAAGGTCAATCTTATTTCCCACCTTCTCAAATCAGCCACAGTGCATACGACAGACCAGGATCCTTCATTTAAGAGCTATGAATGACTTCATTTGAGCAGTAGCCCAAGAAAAGTGGAGATGTGAGGGATGAGAATAAAGGTGGCTGACAGAGAATGTTTCATATACAAGTAGAGGAAGCTTCCTTTTCCATAAAGTCAGGTTCCACATGTCCTTGACAAGAGCGAGTACCCTACTTCCTCCACCACCCACTTTCTTATGTGTAGCCCATTTCTTCTTTGTGTTTAGTCTCACATAGGCCACATTAATCTTAGAGAAAACTGTGCCCTAAATCTTTATTAATCATCAAAAAAGTCACAAAATCCATGAATCACTGATAAACCCATGACACCCTGTTACATCCTGTGAAAATGGGCACACACTACATATTATCATTTTGAAAAAGGAGAAAGAACAGTATCTAGGATATAAAAACAGTTGCCTTAGTTCCTTCTCTGAGATATTAACTGTTGGGACCAAGCCTCTTTCTTCCACTCCCATTTCCATAGTCTCCTCTGTGTAGCACAGGGGGCTGGAAGCTTGGAAACCACCTTTCCTAGATTCTTCTGCCTGCTGTTGTTGGTTAGGCTCTGCCAATGGAAGGCATTTGTGTGAGACTGGAGGTGGAAGGGAGACGTCATTTTTCGGCTTTACATTCCAGCAGAGGCAGGAGACTGTGGGTGAATGTGGCTTGGTTCCTTCTTGCAGTGGGGGTCCCATCAGTAGTAAGAGTGGCAGCAGCAGCAGTGATGTCATCGAGTGAGTGCAGGCTTGTGGGATCCTACTTAAACACTCTTTCCTCCTCTTCCAACCCTAAGTCTGGGGCAGCCTGCATGGTTACTGATCTCTGGGTAACATTATGTTTTTCCTGTTGCTTTTCCAACTCTTCTAATACTCTTGTAAGCAGTTTCCCAAATCAAAAACTCTCTGTATGAAATATTTAGATGGTTTCTGTTTTCTTGATGGAACCCTGACTGACACATCAGAGAGCTGAAGTCACGTATTGTCAAATCCAGATTTTTTTAAAGTCCACATTCCACATGGCCTCCTTGACATCTGCACTTGTGACCATTCTGTTCTCCTGACACCAGTGACTCCCTCAAAGCCACCTGGCTTTCTCTTCAGATTAATTCATGTTTCATTCTTTCTTTCCAAGAGTTTTTTCCTTAGACCACTTCCTTCCTTGTTCTATATTCCCCCATCGAGGAGTGTAATCCATATGTGTGTCATAAACTACTGTTAATGTGCCAGTGGTTCTCATGTCTTCAGTCTCACATTTTCTCATAGGAATTGTCACTGCCTGGAATTTTTGCCTAGGATCTGTAACTGCCAGTCTCTTTTCCAGGTCACGATCTTATGTGGAATCAAACTCAAAACGTCTAAAATACTCAAAATATCTAATAATACATGTATTATTTCCACTCCTGTATTTTTTCCTAAAGAGCATAACTTCTATCCAAAGATCCCTCTGGAATCCTAAGAGTCATTCTCTACTTTTCCCTCTCTTTTACTTCAGGCTTTAATCTTGCATTAAATCCTACCCATTCTGCATTAAAATACCCTTAATGGCACCTTCCCTGCTCCTGCTCTGCCATTGGCTTAGCTTGAACGCTCCACATCCCCGACCTGCATTGCACACGAGCATTCCAAGCTGCCTTCAATGACCAGAGCAGAGAGATCTGCCTCAAAACAAATGTCAAAAACAATGCCTCCATGAATACTCAGAGCCATTTGATGATGACTCCTTTGTGCTGATCCCTTGAGCTGTAAAGAGTGCTCCATCCCTGTGCATGCCTGTGTCCTTTCCTCCACATGCTGTGCCATTCCCTCCCTGCCTTACTGACAAATTTATCTTTTTCCTTGAAGACTCACATTTCAAATGTCATCTTCTCTACCAAGTCTCTAGTTCTGCCATGCATAGCTACTGCTTTGTACTTAACTCGATTATAGCCCATACCACACTGAATTTTAATACTTTCCTTATGTGCCTTTGATAGGACAATGAACTCCTTAAAGAGGAGGACAGGAATGGCCACCTTCGTCCCTAGTACAGGAGGATTGGCCTGAATCATGTGGCTGGGTGTGCATGTCCTTTCTCCTCAAATACAAGTTCAACCAATGGGCAAGAGATTATGATAAAGCATGAGCAGTGGACAAATGAAAATTAAAACTTCCTAACAATTAATTGTTTAGGCTTCTAACACTGTAAAAAACATGTAGGCAAAACAACTGAACATTTGATCAATTCTTCCTTTGCATCTATAAATTTGGATCTTGCATAAGGCAAAACTTTCCGCTTTGTGTCTGCTTTTAATCTACCTGAAACTAAGCACCATAGGAAAGCTAAAATAATATTCAGACATATATGATGACAAGTGGTTTTCACATCTTCAGTGCCACTAAGGGATAGGATTCTTATTTCTGAATAAAAGATAAGTACAATATGTCAGAATTTAAAGCTGTTTCATTCCTCCTTCACATACTAATAATATATACAAATAAATTTCCAAAGTTCAAGCCTTTGGCTGAGTACAAGCACTCCTCCAGAGTTGGTCAAAACCTGTATCACATGGTGCCCACAGAAATAGATATTTTTGTCCTAGAGAATTTTCTTCCTGTTGTTGGGCACACTGATGTAGATTTGACCTTGAGCAAAAAAACTATCTCCCAAGAGAAATGAAACTGTCATCACGCTCTTGGTTGTTGTAAACAAGATAGAAATGTTCCAGACTTCATTCTGTCACTCATCTAAGATGAACACAGGCTCAGAGGATCTCTACAGCTCAGATCATCACACATTTTCTGACATTTAATGCATCATGCATTGTATGTGAACTCCTACTTTAATTCTATTAATATTTGATTAATCCATCTAGAAGAGAATATTTGTAAAGGTAAATGTCAGTTTGTGGAGAGATGCCAAGTCTCACTGGTGATGCCCTCTAGCTGCTAAGCCAGCTACCCCTCTGATGTCTATCTACAGCTGATCCTCCTAACTGGAAATTCCCTTATTACTGTATAGTGAACCACCTTTCCTAAATTTGTGTACAAAAACTATCAAAAAATCCTACAGAATGTTTTTTAAAAGCATCTTAAAATATTACATTTCTGTGACATCTCCCTTACCAGAGCAAAGGGGGGTAAAGGCTTCCTTGCCTTAGTCATGCTTTTATAAAAAGGAATGGGAATTATCTTTATGGAATGCTAGCATGTGTGAGGCATTTGGCAGAATTAATCCCTACAAGATCTGTGGAGGTAGAGAAGAGGGGCTTCCATGCTTTACTCTGCTTGCTTTCTAGAGTATGCTCATACATGGCTACACCCCATATTGGAATGATGAGCATCCAGGGGCCTGGTGGAATCCCTTCACTTGCACAGCTTCCAGAACTGAAGCTTGTTCATGTTAGCACTTGATATCAACGTGTTGGCTACAATGGTGTTGGAGAGGTACACTGCCAACAGTTTTGAGAATACAAGATACAAATATCAAAATTATAAATTAGAAAAATCAGGGGGGCCAAGAAAAGTGATTATATGCCTTACATATAAAGTCTGCCATTTGCTACACGTACAGTTCTTCCTGGGTGCATATACCATCTTTGCAACTGATATTCTGTACCCATACGTTTGAGCTCAAGGAAAACCTTATGATTTCCTAGTAAAGCCCTCCTCAGTCCATAGACAGTTACCAGGCCCAAAATAACACGTGCTACTTCACACAGGTTGGTCACTTGTCTGTTCCTGTCTTTAATGTTCATCTTCACTCGAAATTTAAGCACTGTCTGGTAAGATTTGTCAAACAGCCAGGGCGTTGGACCAAAGAAAACACCAAGGCACAAAACTCGAAAGGTGTAAGTAATGATGTATGAATTCTATTTCTAGAAATAAATACAATCAAGTAACTTAAACAGCTGCAACTATTTGTTGACTCTATCACACATCTAGAAGTAATAATTGGTAAGAATAAATTGGTATTAAACACATATTAATTCTTAATGCAAGAACAGAAAACCAAATACCACATGTTGTCACTTGTAAGTGGGAGGTAAACATTGAGCACACCTGAGCATAAAGACAGGAATAACAGACACTGGGGAGTACTAGATGTGGAAGAGAGAGGAGTTTTGGGCTGAAAAACTATCTATGGGTACTATGCTCACTATCTGAGTGATGGGGATTATCTGTATCACAAATCTCAGCATCATGCAATATACCCATGTAACAATCCAGTGCTTGTATCCCATGAATCTAAAATAAAAGCTGAAATTATTTTTAAAAATGTAGATTCAAATACAGAAGGAACTTTAAAATAATCCTAAAAGATGTCAGTTCAAAACATATATCCTTATCATCTTGCAGAGATATTAATTTTGTTCACTAAGTCCATTTGAATGCCCAAAAAGTTTTCTTTCCAAAGTAGAGTATCTCTCATTAATTTGAATCACTTGCAATGCTAATGGTAATGGTATTGTGCTAATGGTAATTCACACTTAAAAAAAAAACACATTTTATGTGTTGTCTAACAAAAAAAAGCGGGGGGGGGATTGAATTGTTTCCCTTATTCCTGGAACATTCATTCATTCTTTCATGTATTCATTCATCCAAGACTTTAAGCTCCTATTTTATGCCTGGCTCTCTGCCAGGTGCTGGGGACATAAAATAAATCACAGTTCACAGCCTAAGGGAGTAGACAATGGTAAAAACATAGCCACAGAACAAAGTCCGAGGTACAAGAGACAGGCATGTCAATAGGCATGTAAGGAGGCAGCAGAGGTGGGCAATCAGGGAGGTGGGGTGCAGTTTACAGAAGCATCGCTGCTTGTGCTAGGCCAGGAAGGATGTGCAGGAGTTCACTAGCAGGAGAATGGAGCAGGATATTGTAGGGAGAGAAGACACCTTGTACAAAGGTACAGATACATAACTGAACGTGGTGTGTTTGAGAAGGTATGAGTGGTTGGTTCAGTAGTTGGAGTCAGAAATAGTGAGGAAAGGCTGGGGAGCAGGTTAAGTTTGTGGTTGGTCCTAAGGGGCCTTGCACACCACCCCAAAGAATGAACATTTTTTAAAGTAAATGGGACAAGAAGACAAATTCATTGGCAATGATGGGCAATGAAACTATCAATCTACTTTAAAAAGAGAAACCTCTGACACAAGAGAATGGATTAGAAGGTTGCTAGCAGGATCAGAGGAGAGACATTAGTTAAAACTTTTGGTAACAATGATGGTTACAAAAGCTGAGAGCATCAGGGAAGACCAGGTAAGGGAACTGAAGAGGAAGTAATGAAAAAGAGGTTTTTAAGTAGTCTGCTGCATAGAATGTTGGAGCTCATTGTAGTGAGAAGCTGGGGATGGAAGTGGGGTTTCTGGTATGGGCTGTTAGATAGGTGAGGTGTATTATTATTTGGGATCATTTCTTTCCAGTATTTTTCTCATGCTTATTTTTTGTGACTAGTTTATTGATTTGATTGTCCATAATGTTAGAAGCATTGCCTATGGAAGTAACCTCTTTTTGGAGTCCCTGGATTGCTATAATTACTGGGCCTATGGGAAAGGTAGAAGCTGTGAGAGGAAGGGGACAAGGGCCAATGCTGGCAAAGTCTGGACCAGGGAGGTGGCAGTGGAAGCAGGAAGGGTGATGTGGGCATGAGTGACATGGTGACGAAACATTTGAGAGGATGTGAAGCCTGGGATACAGGAAATGAGGGACAGGAAATGAGGGACCAAAAGACCACTCATGTCTTTGGTCTGCATAACCCATATGATAAGGGGAACACACTGTGGAGAGGAAGAAGAAAGTCAGAATGAAGACTGGGGTAGCAAACCATGCATTTAGTCTCACTCACTGAAAGCAAAGTGAACATGTTTAGCGGGAGACAGGAAAGCAGACTGGATAGAGCTCTGGAGAGAGAGAGACAAGCACTCGATTTATATCATGGCATCATCCTTGTAAAAGTGGGAGCTGAAACTGTGAGTCAATTTCTGATGGTAAAAGAGCAAAGAGAAGATATTGAAGATAAGCAGTGAAAATTACCAATAGTTAGGGAGCAAAAGAATACAAAAGCACTGATGAAACCAAGAAATCTGTCAGAGTGTTGAGACAGAGACCAAGATAATGCAGTAATGTGGCAGCCAAATAAGGAGGTGCCTCCAAAAGAGGGACAGGCAACACTAATTCATGTACATCTTGCTGAACTATGATTGATACATTCATAAGGAAACGAGAAAACTTCTAGTTTAAAGTTCATAGAGGTCTCAATTCTCTCATTTTGCATGAGAAATTAGTTCATTTCTGCCTGTTCACAATGAAAATGCACAGTAACACCCAGTCACAAATTAACAAAAGACAAAGCTGATTACTCATTAGGCTAAATAGTGAAAAGAGGGAAAGCCTTCACATTAAAAATATACATTTAACCTGCTAAACTGAAAACCAAATTGATTCTTTCTCCAAAAACTCACAGTCTGGCCTTATTAGACATCTTAGGTACAACTGGAATTTCCGGAGTAAGTCAGTTCCTTGTCTAATACTGCTCACCTTCAGACAAAAAAAAAAAAAAAAAAAAAGAAGTAAATTATTTCTTTATTTATTTTAGACTCTCAGCTCTTTTCCAGGAAATCTACCTGATTAAATGAATTTAGGAAATTGTTCAAAGTTCCCTTATGTATCTTTTTCAGAAAAACTTCTGTTGGTGCTAGGTATTCAAGCAAAACAAACAGAGATACAAATATGAGTAATTAGATGTTCAAAAGAATACAGAATCAGGGGTCAGCTGGGTTGGGTTTGAGAACTGACTTGTCTACTAACAGGCTGCCTCATCCTGAGCAAGCCCTACCTAATGAGAACTCAGTCTGCTCATGCGTTCAGTAAAGGGATTGAACCTGATCAAGGGTTATGGAGAGTTCCAGTTTCTATCTCTATCCAGCATTGTATCTAAACATACACTCATCGTTTTGTAGTGGTCATTTGGAGAACTGTATTAAGAAGAATTCTGAGGGCACATCTAGATACACTGGGAAAGGTGCCTTGTTTGATTAGTAATGTTTGCTTCATTCCTGGATGTGCAAGGAAGTGGGAGTGCAGGAGACTTGCATTTGGCTTTGCTTAAAGTTCTCTTCAAATTTTAAAATGTTATATTCCATGTATAGGTATCCAATATTTTGTTAAGTGGCTTTAAATAGTAAATTCAAAAAGACAGAGGTCAGAAATTCCAGAAATCCAAAAGACAGAAATCAGATCTCTGTAATTATGTCAATGAGGGGAATTGCATGTGGAGTTCAAGAACCCATTAGAGTGTGATCTTTGTATGTATCCTCTCAGAATTTCCATGTCCTCACCTGGAGAAGAAGGTAACACCTGGCCCTGCCCAGCAACTCTGGCCAGCTCTTTACAGGAAACCTGACTGAGCCATGATATATGGCAATCTGTGACTTGTAATCCGCACAAACTTTAACTGACTGCACGTATGCTTTGTGTACGTTAATAAGACACTGAGGGGTTGGGAGACATTAAGTTTGAGATACAGTAATTTCAAGCTGTGACAATGACCTCTGACTTAGATCAGATTCAATAAGCAGAGCCTGAGATGGAGACTGTGTTGAAAGGAATTCCCTCAGGTGGGGAGCAGTGAGAAAAACAGGGCTGGGCCAGGACAACCCGCTGAGCAAGGCTGCAGTCTTGGCTGTGGTCTGGTCTGCAGTCGGCTTCAGTCTGACCCCATGGGGAACTCTGGAGCATGGATTACAGCACAGAGTTATCCCACCTGAAGTAAGAGGGCTGGGCTTTTTGTATCCTACATCAGCTGGTCATTGGCAGAGATCTTGCCTCCAAATTGGGAAAAGGCTTGAAGGAGGCAGATCCTGTTTGGTGGAGGACGACTGGTTGAAAGGGCTGCTAAGGGCTCGCAGCTGCCCCACACTCACAGAACTGGGGGATAGGCATACCTGGCAGTGAAGGGGTTCTGGATGAGGCACCAACAGCCATTACTAAAATATCAAAGCAGAAATGTGGAATAGCCAAGAGGAAACACAGGTCGGAGGCTCAGAGGAGAAGCTGGGCAGAAGATAAAAATGCAGTAGTCACCAGCATAGAGATGGGAGTGGACACAATTATCCAAGGAGAAGAGGACAGAAGGAAGAAGGGAGTCTAGGACCAAGCCACCTGCTTACCTGTGAGGCCGGTAGACAGAGTAGGAGGAAATCAGGAGGGTGTGGGGGATGTGGCAAGAATTCTTCAAGGAGGGCATGGCCACCTTTGCCCAATGCCAAAAGAGGTCAAGCAATATGAGGACCAAAATGTGTTCACTAGAGTTACTAAAACCACTAGGAAGAGTGGTTTCAGTGAAGTGGGGAATGTTATAGAAACTGGACTGCAGTTAGGAGTGGTTTGTGAGATAAACTTTCTTATTTACTAAATTTCAAAATAGATATGATGTTAGGTTATAGGTGTTGTTCAGTTTTATCAACAGTATTATCATAATAATGTCTTTAAAAGACACAGAGTACAAAATAAGATCAATTGCCAAGTGCAAGCATGCACAGAAGTCCCTGCTGCAGATACACACTGAGGGCTGAGGGAGGAACAGCAGATGATGACAACCTGCCTGGCTGTCCTGGCTAAGGAGCTTACCAGGCCATGCCACTGGGCCAGCCTGTGGCACCCAACCCTTGTGCAGAATCTGGCTCCCTTGCAGAGGGGAATGCAGGGCCCCCTAGAGCTCCCCTCCTCTGGCATTGCCCTGCTATGACCCTGCTGGTCCCAGAATCCATGATTGTGAGGGAGATGTTCTTGGAATGTTACTGTAGCCTCTGTGAAAGGTGAGCCTGAAGTGTGACTCAGGGTCATGTCTCAACCCTGATCAAAGCTTCTCTCACTTGTCTTTGCAGTACTCTGACTGGCTCTCCACTTGGCCCTTGCTCCCTGGAGCTCTCAGGTGGAGGACAGGGGCCTGCAACAAACCTGAACAAATTCATAACTGAACTCTCACTCACCTTGCAGCCATATTTTTTAGACCCAACCTAATTACTTCCAGATGTAATCACATAAGCCAATTAGAACTCTGAGATTCCTCACAGCACTGTTCTATGAGGAACCAGCAAGAACAAAATGCAACTTTGGAAGGTAGGCATCTTCTTAACTTGTGCTTAATAAAACAGATCCACTAAAAGTTGAGGTCATCTCTCATTCTTAGAGACACCTCCACTAACTGCCTTGCCCCACTAGGAAAAGCAAATAGAATGGACTTTGCTAAAAGATCACCAAACTCCCCTGGGCACACGGTCTGGACAGGTGAGATGAGTGTGAAAGACCAGGGTATGTTGGGGAGCAGGAGAGCCCAGACCTTCTGACCCAATGAAGTGCCAGAGGTAACTCAAGCCCAGACAAAAACTGTAACGTAAGGCCAGCATTGCAAATCCTCTAGTTTCTCAATAAAAGCTCCCAATTAAATTTTTATGTAAATTTTCCTGATTCAAAACATGTACATGGATCCAACAAAATGTATGTAACTGGGACAAGTTTCCCAGGTCACCAGCCTTTGAGCCTCATTATAAAATGACTCGACATGTAAGACCTTTCCAGAGAGATAGAAACTACCATAGACCACAATGGTGGCAGGAATAGGAAGTACAGGAAGAGTGTAAGGCTTGGTGTCCTCATTGTACATGTGAGGAAACTGAGGCACAGTGGAGGGATGACTGTCCAGGGAGTAGTGGACTCTGGTGTGGGTCCAAGTGTCCCAGGTACAGGGCCCAGGTTCTTCCCACTGCTCCATGACATCCTCAGAATGCTAATGGGGGTAATTGTTCTCATCCCAAGATCCCAGGGGATGTTCTGCTGAATGTCTGGATGTCTGCAGGAAAATAATATGAAAGATGGGAGTCAAAGAAACTTAAAACCATTATTTTGTAAATTGTGTAAACTGTTTCACATTTTGCTTATTATTTCTCCTTATTATTTCTTAAGATTTATTTAGCACAGGGAAAAAATTCAAATAAATTATACCAAAGGAGCCTTTTAAGATTTTGATCTTGGGAATTCTGGAAATGTTTACAAATCACTCATAATTTTGTTTATATGGGTAGAAATGGCAAAATACACATTTAATTAAATAAGAATCTTAAATCATCACAGTTTCACAGGAAAGCAAACCCAAAAAAATGCCTCCTTATAAATATCCTCCTAAACATCAAGTATACAAAATGCCCTAAGAGAGATGTTTCCTCCTCCTTATGAAAATGGAGTTATGCTTATGAATAAATTTAATGCTTATGGTACATCAATAGATTTTAGTGCCGCTGGCACTGGGACCCAATACAACAGGAGCTGTGTTTAGAATATGAACCAGACAGGATGAGAACAGAAGTGAGAAATTAAGCATCCTTTATGTTTTAAATTAATAAGCTGCTCACTGGCTCTCAGATATGCCTGAGCTGCCTAAAATGACAATGTGCAACCTCCACAGGCACAAAGAACTTTTGCAGATGCTGATTCCATTTAGTTGCACAGTGATGATGTGTGGTAGAGGCAGGCAGCCATCATCCCTCCATTTTACGTATCAGGAAACCAAGGCACAGAGAGGTTATGAAACTAACTCAGGCTCACAAAGCTAATGAGTGGTTAAGCCTGGGCTGGAATCCAAGCCCCATCCTGAAGTCCCAATTTCTCTTTTCCACAGCAGACCACTTCCCATAGTTGGTGAGATGCCACAGAAAACAACAGAGGTTCCCTCTTTCCAGTATGTTGCTGCTGGATGAAGACACATGTTCTGATCTCAGGGGAAAGTTTCAGACAGGAATAAGACTCCTTCTCTTCTGAACCAGCACAGCATGTGCACAGCTTGGGCTCCTAAAATCTGGGTGCTGCACTTTGTAAGACACTTCCATGATCTCTTTCCTTCCACGGGAATAAAAGGTTTCCTTCTTCCAGCAGAGACCATTCTGCACACTTGCTTCTCCTGCACATCACAGAAGCAAGGTACTGTTAAGGTTCTTACTTCTCCAGGATTGACACGAGAGTAATAATGGAAGTGCAAAAACGTGATTCGCTCTGTTAACCCCATGTCCTGCTTGTCTCACCCAGACCTCCCTCACTAAAGACACAATAGAGAAAGGTGTGAGGAGGGGGACATGGGGTAACCAGAGAGAAGCTGTACAGGCTGAAAAATAGAAATGCAGCTTGCAGCAAATAGCAACAGTGTCGGCAAGAAATGCAAAAAGGGAGTGTAATTCCTCCCTCAGTAAGTGCAGACCAGACACTCCTTGAGGGGAGCTGGCAGGGCAGTGAAGGAAGAGGAGTGGAATGCAGGTGTGATGTGGTTTTCCAGAGAAACTGAACCAATAGGGGAGAGAGAGAATGTGTGTGTATATATGTAGACGCATGCAATTATGGGGGCCGAGAACTCCCATGATCTGCTGTCTGCAAGCTGGAACCCCAGGGAAGTCAGTGGGGTAATTCAGTTCCAGTCCTAAGGCCTGAGAACCAGGGAAGCCAATGGCATAAATCCCAATCCAAGGGCAGGAAAAGATGAGATGAGATGTTCTAGCTTACTCTATGAGGCAGGGTAAAAGGTGGCAAATTCTTCCTTCCTCTACCTCTTGCTCTATCCAGGCCCTCAGTGGATTGGATGATGCCCATCCACAAGCGGGGAGAATGATCTGCTTCACTAAGTCCACCTATTCAAATGCTAATCTGACTTAGGAACTCCCTCACAGGCACATTCAGAAATCATATTTAACTTGGGCACCCTGGGGCCCGGTCAAGTTCACATAAAATTAACGACCACAGGCAACTTTGGTGAGACAAAAACCTAAGCTATTACACTTGGAGATGTCTCCATGGACTTCAGTATTCCAGGGGTTCTGTAACTGTTGGGTTTAATTCCATTTTAATATACTTAACTATTTATAATGTTGAAATAAAAAACAACATGCACATTTAAACACATCATGTATTGAATTTTAATATTTTGAAGCCACCAGTCGGTTATCTGGAGCTGCCAGGGTCATTTACCACTCTGTACTAGGTGGATTCAGAAGAAAGCTGCCCTTGTCATCTACACTTGATTGAAGAACATGACTGAAGCTGTGAGATAAACCGTAAAAAGAACTACTTATCTGTCTATATCCAGATTTCCATGATATTATGAAATCAAACAAAAAAATGCACATAGAAATAAACTGGGTATTAACATTGTTGTAAGACTACATCTGTAAATCCGGGTTTCAAATAGTTAAACTTATTAATATAGCTTCATTTTATTTAATTGGTAGTGTTTATAAGTAAGTATATATTATGATGTATAAGTAAATTTATGGAACTAAAACACCATTTTATATCTTTTACATATTGGAAATCAGCCTGAGATTTTTTTAAATGGATTCCTCTACTTAGATTGCAAATCACTGAACTAGGGTACCTTGAGGCTGTAGCTTTTGAGCTTTTTCATTTTGTGTATTTACTTATTATTTTATTGCCTGAAAGAATTTCCAAAGTTGAAGTAGAGATTGTTTACTTTTTATATGCCCCAGGAACTTTACTTTCCTATTCTAAATCTATCTGTCAAATTGGTTCATTAAACCAAAAAAAAGAGAGAAAGGATTCAGGACAGAAACTGTGTTTGCCTTCAGCTGCTGTAGTGCTTTGTGTGAGCTTAATCACAACAAGGCAGGTGTCTAGATCAATGCAATGGATTTGGGCAAACAGTGGTGAGCAACAGTGTGCAGAAGAAGACAGAGAAGCTCAAAGAATGGCTATGATGTTGGTACTAAGTTAAGGTTAGATGTGTATTAGTTTTCATTCATACTTGGCAGTATGAGATACTGAACCCAGAAGAAACGCCCAAACCATGATTAACGGTGAGCCTAGGTCACTGAAGGAAAGAAGGAATAGAAAGAGGGAAGGGAAGTACCCTTCCTCCCTTCTTCTTTAATGACAGAATCTTGATTTCTAGGTATTGCTTTCCAGAATGAAGACTGTGTTTCCCAGCACCACTTGCAGCTAGGTGTGGCCATGTGACTAGGTCCTGGCCTATGACATAAAAGTGGCTGTGATGTGTGGGGCATAGGATGCTTAGAGGGAGCTCATTCAGCAAGGAGGGTCACCATTTTGTCATTCTGCCTTTTCTCCCCCATCTTGCCCTCTGTCCATGCTGGTTCGAGCTCTAGTTGCCATCTTGATCTATGATTTGTCTTTGAGAGGCTGTGTAGATCAGAAATGCAGGAACTTGGGTTCTCAATGACATGGGGGAGCCACCCCACTAGTCCTAAACCCACTGCTGATTTTTTTTATGTAAAAGAGAAATGGGTTATTCACATATATGCAGATAAAACTAACTCTGAGACAGAAGAGCAGGGTCAAGGTCAAGTACAGCAAGAATGAGATAAAGTTGGCATCAGGAGGCAGAGAGAGGCAAGATTCAGAGCAAGATGACAGTGAAAGGAAAGCAGGATGGCACAAGAAGTCCAGAACCAGAACCAGGACCAGGCATCCTAAGAGATTTCTGACATCCTTAGGTCCCTTAAATGTGTAGTAGGGGCAGGGGAGGTATGGCAGCTTAGAGCAACCATACTGGCTGAAGAACCAATGCAAAGCATAGTAGAGCATGTAGAAACATTCTAAATGCACCTGGAATGAGGTGGGCCATGAGGTGTGACTAAAACCAACCCTGTTTTAAAGCATCTATCTTTACATGGACTTCTGAAGCCACCAAGCCTCACTGGTTCATGATGGGCTGTCCTGTTCTGCTCTTGGAATCAAGTGGAAGCAAGTAGGTCTATAAAGAACTCTCATTTCACAGGCCTGTAGGGTTTAGAAATGGTTACTGCTACCCGGCACCTCTATGGCTGTCTCCTACTAGAATATCTGGGGTGGCCAGGGCTCCTCTGCTCTTTCTCCTCCCTTCCAGGCACTGGGAGGCACAGGAAGCTCTGCTGTCCCCTCAGCTGCCACTCTCAGAGGCCAGCTTTCCGTGAGTTCCTGGTGACCCTAACTCCTCAAGTCTTGGCAATGCTTTCTCCTTGGCCTTGCTGTCTAGCAAATTCCCAGAAATCTGCTGGCTTTGTGCTTCAGAACAAGCAGTGCTGTTGCATTCCCTCTCGCTGCATTCTTTCTGGCTCCATTCCCTCAGGCACCCTGGATATTCTGCCTGCATATACAGCTCCCACCTTGGCTTGCCCTTGAATGGCTGGCCATCTGCCTAGGACCCTCTCATTCACTGTCCTTTCTTCTGAGTTCCCAGGACAGCATTTTCTCCCTAGGCTC